>NC_000012.12:124984392-125286016 GCF_000001405.40 Homo sapiens | reverse complement strand
TTGTTTCCCATGGCTGGTCCTCAGTAAATAGGCCCTGAGTGAAATGCTCTTGCCTCTCTTACCCTTGCACAGGGTGTCTAGGCGCAGAAAGCACCTTAAAACTCCCTGTCAAGGATGTTTACCTTCTCTAATGTTAAATGATGCCCCCCACCACCCCAGGTTCTCCTCTACCTCCCCAGGCCCTGCTCAATTGCTGGGAAACGCTTTGCCCCCTGGCCACTTGGCGACGCCCCAGGCCAGGCCCTGGAGTATGATGGGGCAGCGGCCAGACCTGGGGTCTCCCTCATGTTGCTACCAGGGATCTGGGGTATGGGTGGGGGCTAGGAGACCTGGGAGCAGCCCCAAGGGAACTAGGACTCCTTCTGTGGGAACCACCTGTGCCCAGGTGGCCTCACCTGGTGAACACTGGGTCTGACTCACTTTGGGAAAGAAATTTCACCATGTGCTTTGAAATCTCCACATCATGCTTGAATGGTGTGAATCCCCTCTCTCACTGGCTCAGTCCAGCGCTGGATGGATGCCCAGAGCTCAGCAAAATAAAGGGAGGCTTCAGCTGGGAGTGCCCAGGACTACTCACTGGGGCCTAGACGCTGAGCCACGACCACGCAGCTCTGGCTTCCTCTCTCCCTTCTGGCTCTTTCCTGTAGTTCCTTTAGCTATGTCTTTGCCTCTGACTCTATCTACCATTGTAGCTAACATTAGTGCTAGCCAGGAAATCTTCACTCTTCATTTTTGCGGAAATCCCTCACTCAACCTCAGTCCACCCGGTTCTTAGGAAGGTTAACTCCACCCTCTGGTTCCAGAGGCCCTGGCCTGACCAATCAGTTTATTGTACTCCTGCCCTCAGCCAAAACGATTGGGTCAGAGATTGTCACATGACACAAGTTGGTCCAATGAGATCCAATCCTGAGACTTGTTACTATGGGGAGGAAGGAGGTTTTCTTTTTCCCTCCAACCTGGGAGAATACAAACCTTTGACTGATGGTGTGGGGTATCTTACAATATCAGCTCCATGCAGGCCAGGATTTGGGTGTGTTTTCTTCCTGCTATATCTCCAGCATCTAAGACATGTGGCACATTGTAGGTGTGTAGTTAATATAATAGAATAAGGACTTAATAAGCCTTCTTATCTCTGAAAATAAAGCCAACACAGAGCAAAGCAGGACTCACAGACCAGGTCCAAATGACATGGTTCGTGCACCTGAATATGGCCCTGCCTGTCCACTTCTCTGGATATTTTAGCTACATTGGCCAATAAATTGTCAGATCTACTCTCACAAGTGCAAAAGGAAATGTATACAAGAACACTGCAGCATCGTTTATAACAGCAAATAAAAAAAACGCAGAAGCGATTTGAATGTCTATCCACCAGATACTGGCAAAAGAAACTATGGTATATCCACGTGATGAAATGAAACACCATCATTAAAAAGAGACAATGCTACGCAAACTGGCATGGAAGACCCTTGAAGATATAAAGTTCAGGTTTAACAAAAGCACAGAACTGGGGGTATAAGAAGGGAGCAGGGGGGAGGAAGAGAGATCTTTGCGGTCTAACCCCTGCTCCACGGCAGCGGGGTCTTTGTTCTGTCCACTGCTACAGCTCCGTGCCTACAGCAGAGCCCAGCACATGCACAGTGCTCAACAAATAGTTGCTGAACGAGTGAATGAATCAAAAATAGGTGATGGCTCATACATGCATAGAAAAATCTCTGCAAAGATTCATGTAACACTGGCTGCATCTGGGAGGGAGGTGAGGGAGGCTGGGGAACAGGTGTAGGAGGAAGAGAGACTGAATTATCAGTGTATCCCTTTTGAATTTTGAGCTATGTACATGTACATCTATGCAGAAAAATTCACTAAACAAATAATAAGACAAAAAATCACCTACCATAGAAGGAAAAATCTCTTACCTCTACCTAGACAGTGACATCCCCTAGGAAACAGGGCTGTCAGTCAAGCCTGGTCTCCTCTGGCCATCCTGGGGTAGAACTGAGTGGGGTAACAAAGGTAAACCAAGTCAAAGGATGGAAGTTCAAGTACCAACCATGGCTACTGACTCACTTGGAGGCTTTGGTAATTCTACTCCCCTTCCTGGACCTCGATTCCTTTATCTGTAAAATGAGAGGGTTGATCTCAAAGTCTGTCCTGGAAATCTAGGATTCTGCGACAACAAGCAAACACTACTGAAACTCCTAGTATCTCTCCAGAGGGAGTGGCAGACAGACCAACAGTCTCACTTGACTCCTTCCATGCTTATCTCCCTTTGAGGTGGAATGCACTGGAATGCATCTGCCTTGGTCTGCACCAGACAAGACGCATTACAGGACAGCTGCCGGAAGCTACTCGGAGGCTAAATTGTTGGACGCGACATCTTACCTTGCCCCCTTCCCTGGTAATTTATGCTCTGGACTTGGCCCTATCAACGCTTCATTACAGAGACTGGCACTCATGGTAATTACATGTTTCCCGGGCCAGATTACTTGTTCTCAGCATCTTCCTGGTTTTTAGCACTCCTGTTCCTTTATCAAGGACAGCTGAGCATCTGCCAGGACCGCCAGCGAGAGTCGGGTACACAGCAGGAACAGAAGACGGACCCTGGTAACTCTAGTTTTCTCACTTAATTTTCATGAGTTGAAAATAGCTTTCCGGAATATAATACATATTCAACAGATTTAAATAAATAGTAATTTTGACTACTGAAGCTCAAAAACTTGGCTAGAATATAAGGAGGTTTCACTGCTAAAATAGTACCTACTTGAAGAAAACCTAATATGTACGAATCCAGAACCACAAAGCAGAACAATTTGGTGACTCTGCATTTTACAAAAGGATTTGCCAAACAGATCATTAATTGGCAAGTCCCCTGGGACTTGTAAAAGGGGGCTCATGTTAAAGCTAATCAAATTGAAATTGCATACAGTTGTGCGCGAACACAGCTGCTGCCTAAAGTGGGGCTGCCTTTGATGCTGCGGTTCCCATGATCTTTGGGTCTTTCCATGAGTGAACAGAATACCCGCTTTCTCCTGCACCAAGCTCTCGGGCTGTACCACTTGGACTCCCAACAAACACTTGGAGGGCCGTCCCAAAGAAAGATATAAGGACCACATTGGAATGGTTGTTCAAGGAACCAGGGCCAGGAAGGAAAGAAAGAGAACACTACCAGGTATTAAGCCAAGTGCTTACTATGCACCCAGAGCTCAGAATGCACCAGGCACACACATCTCCCTGCGTGCTCCCAGTGACTCTGTGTTATTAGAAGAGGAATCTGAGGCTCAGAGAGGTCAAAAGATTTAGGGACAGTCACACATCCCCAAGCAGCAGCACCGGGAGCCCTAGCTAGGATCTCTGATTGCCACATCCAAGCTCTGCCAATTAAATCACAAAATCATATTCCCTTTGTCCCCAACAAAGGGGAGGGGACAACATAGCTGCCCTTGGGCCTCACAGTCACTAAGAGGTCAGCAATAGGCATGAGGAAAGGACACCAGTGCCCACATGAGGTGCCATGAGATGTGTGTGCAGGCCATGGAAGACGCGGAGAGTGTTATGAGAAGTCAGAAACAGATGGCATCCTTTGGTTGTGGAATGGTTAGGGCAGGGGTGGGTTGGAGGAGCTTCCCTGCAGGGCAGTCTGAACTGATCCTTGCAGAAGAGGACAAGCCTGGATGAGCTGAGGAGTGAGGGAGAGTGTCCCAGGCCGGGGAAGGCGGGGGCACCAGGGCACAGAGGCAGGCAGGCAGCACACGGCATCCAGCATCGCAGGGGGCAGGGAGCTGGGCAGTGTGAGTGCAGCAAAGGGTTTACAGAAGGGTGTAGTAAGAAGGCAAGCTCAGATGGGAAAGACAGGCCAAACCAAGGATGGCAAATGTGATGCACACAGCACCACTTCCATGTCCGTGACAGGCACCAATAAGCAATTGGAGCACACTCTCACCAAGCTTCAAAAGTCTCTCTTTTTTTTTTTTTTTTTTTTTTTTTTTTTTTTTGAGACGGAGTCTCCCTGTGTTGGCCAGGCTGGAGTGCAATGGCGCAATCTCGGCTCACTGCAACCTCCGCCTCCCGGGTTCACGCCATTCTCCTGCCTCAGCCTCCCGAGTAGCTGGGACTACAGGCGCCTGCCACCTCGCCCGGCTAATTTTTTGTATATTTAGTAGAGACGGGGTTTCACCGTGTTAGCCAGAATGGTCTCGATCTCCTGACCTCGTGATCCGCCCACCTCGGCCTCCCAAAGTGCTGGGATTACAGGCGTGAGCCACCGCGCCCGACCTCAAAAGTCTTCTTAACACAGGTCCCAGGGAGCCATTGCTGAAGCTTCAGAGTTTGCACCTGAGATGAAATCACTTTACCCTCATCCCTAATCCAAGGGAGGGGAGTAGAGGGACATTGTAGAGAGCACCTTCTGTGTGCCCAATATTACGCTACGTGATGCAGTGCTCACCGTCGCTCTGCTAACTGGCAAACTGAGCTCTGTTTTATGGTCAAGAAAATTGAGGCTAAGGGAACTTAAGCTCAAACACAGAAAGCAAGAGGGGAAAACTGATTCAAAGCCACCGGGGTGGGCTTTCGAAGCCTGGTTTTTTTCCACCACATCCTGTGGCCTCCTTCCCACTTTCTCCCGCCACCACCCATGTCTGAATTTTAATTGTGTGGGGAAACATTTCAACATCTATTCTCCAACCCTACCAAGCAACCCACATCCCAAGCCAACCCACCTCAGAAGCAAAACACAGGTTCCTCAATCGCCCGCCCCAGTCCCCGGGCTTCCCTGCCTGCCCTGGCCCATTCCTGCTCACACCCACTCCGCATTTGCATATTTCTGCCAACCTCTTCCCTCCTCCCTCCCCTGGGTGCTGGAAGGGGTGACTCTTCCCACTAGGGAGGCATGCCCTGTATCCAGGAACCGCTGGGGGTCCCCTGCTGGGGCCTTTCTCACCCCTCTCCACCCCAAGGCCAAAATGCTTAGGGTTCATTGTGTGGTAATTCCCCAGCGTTCCCTCACAGAGAACTTCATGTCGCTTTCTAATTGAATTGTTGTCATGGAAATCACTTTCATTTGCTCTGAAAGGACTTAACTATCAGCCCCCCGTTTTCTCACTTCTGCCTTTGATAATAATCAGCTCACTCCTACCCCCTCCTCTCAACTCCCAAATCTTCCTTCAATGAGCATTCTTCCCGCAAAGTCTGGAGTCAGGGAAATCAAAAGTCTGGTTTCCTTCCTAATCCTCGCTGGAGCATTCCCCGTGCTGCTGACCGAAGAGTTGTACTATCTGCCCTGAGGACGCACAGTAGGACTCACTTCCTGGCTTCCCAGTGCCTGGGTGGGGTCATGTGACTACTCTGGCCAATGAGACGTGAGCTGTCCCGGCGTAGGGGAGCAGCAGCATCTGCTCCCAGCGCCCTGACATCCCACAGCAAGTGAAGACGGGCTGCTCCTCCGGCAGCCTAGGTCCAGGGGAGGGAGGCAGGGAGCAGAGCCCATGGCCAGGTGCGATGGACACTCAGATTGAGCAAGGAATAAACCTTGTTATTTTAAGCCATTGGCATTTTGACATGCTTCGTTATCCCAGCTTATTCTCACTGATACACCCTCCGTTAAAAGGCGAAGACCAATTAAGTTAGCCTCTTTTTAAAAAATACTTTTTATTTTTTTAATTGTCACATAATAATTGCACATATTTATGGAGTACATAGTGAAGTTTTTATACAAATAATGCATGGTGATCAGATCAGGGTAATTGGCATATCCATCATCTCAAACATTTATTTCTTTGTGTTGGGAACATTTAATATCCTCCTTATTTAACTTCTTTAGACTAAAGCTAGTTTCCAAGAAGGCACTGGCTCCAATTACCAATCCACGGAGAGTCCTACGTTTTTGGAGGATCCCAAGTGTCTGCCATTCGCAGCCTGGGAGTTTCATTCTCAGCTCCACCACCTATGAGCTGGGTGACGAAGGACAGGTCACTTCCTCTCTCTGTGTCTCAGTTTTCTCATCTGTAAACTGAGGGATAAAAGTAATACCTACCTCTAAGGATGGTTGTGAGAATGAAATGAGTCAATCTATGTAGAGTGTTAAAACAGCACCTGGCACATTGTGTAATTTAAGTGTTAGTTATTAATATAATCACTGATACATGTATCATTATCATCTTCATCAAGGCAGGGACTCTGAATTGTTTTAATGGTGGAATTGAGTTTACAATGAACCATCCTGTTAGAGGGTTTCTCAAGACCACTCTCATATGTTTAGTGATTCACTAGAAGATCTCATGGAGCTCAGCATTTGGTTGGACTTATGACTAAGGCTTATTACAGCAAAAAGATATACAACAGGATCAACAAGGGAAAAGACACAGGCAGATTTTGTAGAAATCCATGCACCAGCTTCCTTATATTCTCTCTTCCTCCCATGAGGGTCACACAAAGCACACTCTTCTTCCAGCAAGAAAAACACAGCAACATATGCATGCTGTTTCTGTCCCGGGAAGCCCATCAGAGACTCAGTGCCCAGGGTTTGTATTGGGGACTAGTCACATAGACCCCTCTGCCTAGCATGTACCCATATTCCAGATTCCCAGAAGGAAAGCAAGTGTTCACCATAAGTCACATGGTTTGTACAGTCTAGGAACCAAGACACACACTTATTCAGGGAATAGTCCAAGTGCCAAGCTCCCAAACACCAGCCAAAGGTCAACCCTGTAAGCAGGCCTTTCTAGGGATAACAGTCTCAGGCCTGCTGCATTTATTTTTCTATGCATACCCTTCAAACAGCCCTATAGCCTGGGATGGACCTACCTGGCAATGGCCTTGTATAGACTAATGGAGTCAGCCAATCACAGATGAGGACCCTGGAGCTCAGAAGGACATGTGATCAGCTGACCCAGCTCCTGGTCTCTAATCCAGGGATGGCAAAGGTATGGTTAAATGCCCAAATACCTCCACTACCAATGACCCCTGTCTGTACCCAGCATGGCACTTCTTCCTGTTGGGCAAGGTAGACACAGAAGCTTTCTCAGTGCCGGGCTAGAGGGAGCCATTTGTGCTGGAGCAGAGGTGGCCAAACAGATCTTCCCTCGCTGGGTTACATCCAACCTGGGCAGAGTTATTGCCTCTTAGAGGGTCTTCAGAGAGGGAAATTCAAGAGTTTCTCTCAGTCACTCTTTCCAGGGTTCACCACCTTGAGCAACAAAAGCTACCTCCTTACAACCAAAACAATTCTTTTCTGCTGTATTTTTAAGTTCTGTTTTTTCTTGCAGAGCCTTCCATGGACAGGGAAGGCCAGTGTTTCATATCTTGCCTTTAAAAACCAAACATGAACATTTGATAAAAATAATGGCATAGTTTGCTGGCTTTCTAAACTCTGGGTTAAACACCCCACTCGCTCATTCCCACCCCATCCCCAAAAAGAAGCTCAATGCTCAATACCTAGCCAGCCCTCACTAGTTTATATAAACTTATAACTGCCTGCATACCCATTAATAAAAAATTGGTTAAATGACTCATATTACTCCATTTATCTTAAAAAAAAAAAAAAAAGATGGAGATTCCCATTTTTGACATGGAAAGATGACCTTGATTGACAGTTAAATTTTTGAAATTAAAAACCAATATGAGTTTGTTGCCCTCACTTAAAAACAAGGAGAATTCACATAAAAATCTGGATTTCTTGATTCTCCAGAATAAGGGTCAGCACAGTCTTTCTGTAAAGGGCTAGAAAGTACATGTTTTCCACCTTACAGGCCAAATGGTTTCTATTGAAGCTTCTCAACCCTGGGGTTACGGTGCGAAAGCAACCGTAGACAATATGTATATGAATAGGCATGGCTGCTTTTCAATAAAACTTTGTCTATCAAAACACATAGAGTGCCACATTTGACCCACCGGCTGTAGTTTGCCAACCTCTGCTCTAGAAACCAGAAAGCCAGAGATAGGCTCTTTCCAACACTTCCATCCCAGATCTATCACGAAACAAGCGGCTGCAAGCTTAGAAACCTAGAGAGTCTTGACACAAAACACAACTGGGAGAAGCAGGCTGGTTTTAGGACAACTGGAAGTGGTGGTGACTTGGGCACACTGCAGAGTTCCAGACTTTTCCCATCGGAGAATGCTGGCCCTCTGTGAATAGATCTGATTTTTCTAGAGATGCCAAAAATCCAGGCTTTTACATAAAATTTCTGTTTTTAAACAGTAGCCATTTGTCCAACTTTTTTTAACGTCGTTGTTAGCTCCCCAGAGCTGCCACAACAAATTACCACAAATGGGATGGCTTATAACAACAGAAATTTATTCTCTCATAGTCCTGGGGGCCAGAGGTCCAAGACCAAGGTGTGGGTAGGACCCTGCTCCCTCCAAAGGCTCTGGAGAGGTTCTACGCCTTTCTCTTTGCCTCTGGGGTCGCTGGAAACCCTTGGTGTTCCCTGGCATGTAGGCACGTCACTCCAATCTCTGCTGCATCTTCACATGGCCTTCCCGTGTGTGTGTGTATGTGTGTGTGTGTGTGTGTGTGTGTGTTCTCCCTCTTCATCTTTTTTTTTTGAGACAGAGTCTTGCTCTTGTTGCCCACATAGAGTGAAATGGCACGATCTTGGCTCACTGCAACCTCCGCCTCCCAGGTTCAAGCGATTCTCCAGCCTCAGCCTCCTGAGTAGCTGGGATTACAGGAGCCCACCACCACGCCCAGCTAATTTTTGTATTTTTAGTAGAGACAGGGTTTCACCATGTTGGCCAGGCTGGTCTTGAACTCCTGACCTTGTAATCCACCTGCCTCAGCCTCCCAAAGTGCTGGGACTACAGGCATGAGCCATCGTGCCCGGCCTGTTCTCCCTCTTCATCTAAGGACACCAGTCATATGGGATTAGGGCCCACCCTAATGACCACATCTTAACTTGACCACATATGCAAAGACACTCTTTCCCAACTAGGTCATGTTCACAAGTATTAGTGGTTAGGACTTGGACATATGTTTTGGTGGACATAATTCAACCCACGGTACCCACAAATCCAGCTCATAGCCTTCTGACTCGCAACCTCTACGTTAAAATCGCATGTGGTAAGACAGTGTGATGAAAGACCGTTTGATTAGAATCCAAAGTTATGCCCAAATTGGATTGCCGGGAAGGGCTGCACCTCTCCCTGCCTACCTTTCAACAGTCCAAACCCTCAATCAATTCCTCTCTTCAGACTTAAACATTACACGTGCCTCTTGGAAAGCAAGCTGACTTCACCGGCGCTGACAGTTGTTACTGCACCAGCTGTCAGGGGAGACGCCAGCGCTTCCGCCATTTGACTGACAGCCACACCAACAAGGGTCAGGTCAAGGCCAAGGGCATAGGCAAGCACTGCTTAACAGACAGGCAGCCCCCAAAGGCACGAGGGACTCACACCCACACAAATGCACTCTCGAAGTTACCCCATGGAGAAAAAGCATCCTCTCATTCCCAACTCCACTCCAGCCATTCAGCCTTGACGGACACCCCCAGACAGCATTGAGATGCCTGAAATCAAGCATAGCCCATGGCCTACTCGTCAGAAATCTCATCTAATGATTATTAGAACAAAGTCCGGGATGGATAGTTCCTTTCACCTGGTGGCTTTGTTCTAATTAGCCAAATGCCCAAAACAACTCTCTGCAGTTCTGGTCACTGTGATCAGACCCACAGTCTGATCTAAATGGCTGAAAAATGCTCAGAGACGCACCTCTGTCGTGCAGAGATCAGCTGCTGTCACCAGCTGGAGTCGTCTGACCGCTTCGAGGTCAGAACAGAAGCCAGGGCAGTCACAGTTCTAAGAATAGGGTTTGTCTGTTTTTCCTTATCCTTTATTCAAATATCCAACAGATGTAAACTATATATTTAAATAAACAAAGGAATGCATAAAAGGCACCACTGGCACTGATTTCCCAACTAACTTCTAATGCTCTAGTGGCCAGAGTCAAACACCCATGGATACTGAGAAGATGTTTGTCAATTTTCATTAGTATTTACCTTTAAAAATAATTTTAGGCTGGGCACAGTGGCTCACACCTTTAATCCCAGCACTTTGAGAGGCTGAGGCAGGAGGATTGCTTAAGCCCAGGAGTTCAAGACCAGACTGCACAACATAGGGAGACCCCATTTCTACAAAAACTTAAAAAATTAGCCAGGCATGGTGGCATGTACCTGTAGTGCCAGCTATTCAGGAGGCTGAGATGGGGAGATTACTTGAGCCCAGGAGGTCAAGGCTGCAGTGAACTGTTATCACACCACCACACTCCAGCCTGGGCAACAGAGTGAGACCCTGTCTCCCAAAAAAAACACATTAGCCAAAGGTTTCCAAGGATGCAAGATAACAAAATTACAATAATCTCCAAAGCTAGGAAGGTGGGACATAGTCAACTTACCATCTGTTCAACTCCCACTCACCTTTCAAAACCCACTTCAGAATTATCTTTTGTTTGAGCAGCTTTACCCAACTTCTTCATTCAAAGAAACTCTCCTTAATAATCTGGATATTCCTCCCATCAAAGCCACATCAGATCACTCTCATTTATTTCTTGCATTTCTCCTGAAAAGCATGTCTCCATCAAGGGCAAGGGACTCAGTTTCTTTGATTCCTCAGCCATGATCATCAGGCCTGACACATAATGGGTGCTACCAATAACTTCCTGAAAGAATGAGCTAGGGCAAACACTGCACTGGTCCTATGAAGAAGAAAACCTAAGATGACCTCAAATTAAGAAAGCCAGACTTACACTCCACAATGGGCTAACAGAATATGATTAAATAACAAAAAAAGCTGAATCTACAAACAAATCCTAGGAATTCAGAATCTGGAGTGAGCTGTGAGCTGGGGTGATCACAGAGCTCCGTGGAAGGAGAGAAAAGTCCAGCCCACGTTCCGGGTTAGCTGGGTTTGGGACGGCGCTTTGAATGAGGAAGTTGGGTAAAGTTGCTCAGACAAAAGATAATTCTGAAGTGGGTTTTGAAAGATGAGTGGCAGTCGAACAGATGGTAAGTTAACCATGTCCCACCTTCCTAGCTTTGCGGATTATTGTAATTTTGTTATTTTGCATCCTTGGAATCCTTAGGTTATTTTTTTTATTTTTTGGGAGACAGGGTCTGATCTCACTCCATCACCCAGGCTGGAATGCAGTAGCGTCATCATAGCTCACTGCAACCTTGACCTCTTGGGCTCAAGTAATCTTCCCATCTCAGGTGAATGAGAGGCCGTGGGCATTTAAGTTATCAGAGACGGCATAGCTAGTGGTCTTTAGGTCGCCCTTAGGAGGCACCCAAGTTCTCAACCAACTAAAATAGACAAAGATGTAAGGCAGATGTAGATCAAAATGTCAGCTGTATTACCGCGAAGTTAATATTGGGGAATGCAGCCTGTTCTCCTCTTTGGGGTTCTTCCCCAAATGAACCCAAGTTGGGCACTGAATGATAGTCGCAGGCAGCACTCAATGTCTGAATAGTCTGGCAATGAGCATTGACAATGAGCATTAACAACAATGCACCATGATCGGAACACCTCTGTGTCGCCAGAGCGGGGATCAACCTGGACAACCACTTTGGAAAACAGTTTGTCACCATCTGGCAAAGTTGAAGATGCAGTGAACATATGACCCAGCCATTGTAGACACTGAACCTGGAGGATTCAGGCCTGTCTGTGTTGGGATACACATACAAAAATGTTCACAGCAGCCTTGTTGATTGGAGCAAAGGACAGGCAACAACCCAAATGTCAGCTGTAAAACGGATAAATCCTGGAACATTCCTAGAATGGAAGAGCATACAGCTGTAGAAGGGGGTGAATCACTGCGACACATTTCAATGTGAAAGAGTCTCCCAAATGCAATGTTTAGTGAAAGAGGGGCGGCACCAAAGGACACCCAGAGTATAACTTCACTTACACACCACTCACGAAGAGACCCAAAAAAATAATGTATTATTTAGGGAGCAAACAGAGCAGCAAAGGAATGACGAACACAGAATTCAGGAGAGAGGTTCTTTCTGAGGGGAGAGGGAATGAGACTGGGGAAGAGCACAGAGGGCGCTTAAAAGTAGAGGAGAGTCCAGGCACACTGGCTCAAGCCTTTAATCCCAGCACTTTGGGAGGCCAAGGTGGGTGGATCACCTGAGGTCAGAAGTTCAAGACCAGACTGACCAACATGGTGAAACCCCATCTCTACAAAAATACAAAAATTAGCCCGTGTGGTGGTATGTGCCTGTAATCCAGGCTATTCGGGAAGCTGAGGCGGGAGAATCACTTGAACTCGGGAGACAGAGCTTGCAGTGAGCCAAGATCGCACCACTGCACTCTAGCCTTAGTTGTCTTAGTGACAACAAGAGAAAATTGGGATGTCAGGGGAAATCGAGATATGCTGTTACTGTATGTACATCACCCTTTTACCCTATGTAAAAGAAATAATCTTTTCTTTTCTGTTTTTGAGACAGGGTCTCACTCTGTCACCAAGGCTGTGTGCAGTGGTTTTGATCACGGATCACTGCATCCTCAACCTCCCAGGCTCAAGAGATCCTCTCACCTCAGCCTCCCAAGTAGCTGGGACTACAGGCATGAGCAACCATGCCCAGCTAATTTTTGTATTTTTTGTACAGATGAGGTTTCACTGTGTTGCCCGGGTTGGTCTTGAACTCCTGGACTCAAGAGATCCTCCCACCTCGGCCACCCAAAGTGCTGGGATTACAGGCATGAACCACCACACCCGGCCTGTTTTTCTTAACTAAGTAGTAGGTACATGGGTATTCATTGTATGGTTTTATTCTTTAAGTGTAATTTATAAAGATGATTTTGTATCTATTCAAGTTAGTATTTAAAAAACAGAATTACATATATAGAGAGAGATAAATAGAGATATATGTGTGTTCAAAAGGGCACTATTTTTCTTAACTAAGTAGTAGGTACATGGCTATTCATTGTACGGTTTTATTCCTTAAGTGTAATTTATAAAGATGATTTTGTATCTATTCAAGTTAGTATAAAAAACAGAATTACATATATAGAGACAAATATAAATAGAGATGTTTGTGTGTTCAAAAGGGCACCATGAGTGGAGAACATCTCCAGATGAGGTCACCAGTGGCCCTCCTGACCCCCGGCATCTGACTGTTTGAGCGAAGAATGACATTCAAATGCAAACAGATGAGCCATGCTCTGCGCAGAACACTCTGGAAGTGGAAGTGCCAACATCTGTAGCAGGGATGGGTAATGACCTGCCAGGCAAGGCCACAGTGTTAAATTAATCCCTGATGTGTTGGAGGGTTTTTATTCTTTCATTGGGTCATTTAATAATGTGACGACTCCCTCCTTCCCTCCGCCTTTAGCTCCCCCATTGCCATGGAGACAATTGTGAATCAGCTATCATAAATAAAAATAATCCAACTGCACCCGCCCGCGCCACATGCCACTTGGATGTGGTGCCAACTCGAGTTTATTTTTTTTTTAATCCAAGAGCTCTCAGGAGCTCGAGCAGTGCAGGACATCTCCTGAGGAATGGATGCTATTCAGTGCCTGTTCAAAGACAGGCCTGGGCGCAGGGGATCAGAGGCTTATGCCTGCCTCTTGCCAATCGCTGGACCGAAGAGGGAGTTTTTGCCTAAATGGGAATTTCCCACCCGCTGGGGGACAGGGACGCCCTATTCATCAATATATTCTGCTGCAGAAACTACTCCTGTACCCCTAAATAACCCCCCAAAAGGTATCCCAAGGGCTTTTCTGCAAATGCAACAAATGCAACAATCCCTTTAGCTCGGAATTCAAAGCCCTCCACAGCCCTTTCCCAAGTCCTCCCAGCAATGTGGAAGATGATTTACAAAAAGGTTTTCAGGAACATGGAATCCCACCATTAGAAGGCTATTCCTTTCTTAATTCTCCTGTAATCCTTCTCATAAAGAGAGGAAGCCTCCATCTCTGCTAATGAGTCTCTAACATTTGGCTAATGGCCCTTGTTAGACGGGAGACAGCAGGTCTCTGTCTGAGAGCCTTTGGCAAGCCGCGGTATCTAGCTGGAATTTAAGGTCATTGCTTTGTTTTCATTGTCTTTATTTTGAAGGTTTCTGGCTATTTATGGCAAGTGATACTGGCTTTCTATTTGTGGTAGTGATAGAGTCTGCTTTTAAAATAATCATATTTAAGTAAAAACTTGAGTTGATTTTTAAAAATAGGTATTAAATTTTTTACAATAGCCAGAGAATACTGTAGATATGGTCAAATATATATTATATATTATATGAAGGTAATATATTTAAAAAGGTAATATATTAAAGGTAATGAAGGTAATATATTAAAAAAACCAAAGTTTGGGAAACATGGCCTCTTCATTGTAGCCTTTCTTCCTACCTGTGCACATGCCAGCTGTGCACATAGTAGGTTTGCAATTCAAAACTGTTGAAAATATAAAAGACAATCAGAGAGAGCACCAGAGGTGAGCATAGCTCAGGATAAGCCAAGTACCACCTTCAGATGGGTCTTATCCCATTTCACTCTAATTTTTAAAATTTTTTTACTCAACCCTCATGAATTGTGAGTGCTACAAATACCAAGGGTCAAGAATAGCAGACTCTCAATACAAAACCTTCCACCTCTCCACCACCATACCCATGGCAGACACTGTCAAACAATTGCGGAATTCCTTCCCACGATCAATCATAATGAATGGAATGAAGATCACGGTGTGCTAGAGTCTGCCATTTGTTCTCCAACATCCTTGCAACAGTAATCAATCCCCTGACTTTTGCCAAACTCGTGGCCACTGTGAATAAAAACCACATTTCCATCCCAGTACTTTAGGAAGCTGAGGCAGGAGGATCCCTTGAGGCCAAGAGTTTGAGACCAGCGTAGGCGACATAGTGAGTCTCCTTCTCTACAAAAATAAAGATTAAAAATTAAAAATTAGCAGGGTATGGTACATGGTGGTGCACACCTATAGTCCCAGAAACTCAGGAGGGTGAGGTGGGAGGATCACTTGAGCCCAGGAGTTGGAAGCTGCAGTAAGCTAGGCTTGCACCCCTGCACTCCAGCCTGGGTGATAAAGCAAGGCCCTATCTCTTTCGGGAAAAAAAAAAAAACAACTATGTTTCCCAAGTTCCTGTGCAGGTAAGCATGGCCATAAAGCTAATGCTCCATCTCACTTTCTGTCAGTCCATCTTTTTGCCCTGGCTCTTGCTGTAAGAAGTTGGGCACATGTGGAGCCCCCAAGTACCTCTACTGCACCTCCTACCCGCCCCCCCAACCCCCACAGAGTCTCTGCAGGAGCCTGTTCAGCTCAAAACCATGAGTGCAAGGGATTCAACATCCTGGAGAGCAACCCTTGACCAATGGGGTTTGGCAGACGGAGTAAATACTCCCCTCATCCGTGTCTTTGGTGAACAGTCCTGAGGTGTGTTTCACTCTGCTCCTGGAAGCAGTCTCAGCAGGAGGGAATCCCAAGGCCTACAGTGGTAACCACCTGGGTCATGCAGCCTTGGATTCATTCTTCCCTCCTCTCCTGTTTCCTCTTCCCAGTTGCCCCATTCCACTTCCTTTGAATACATTTCCAAAATAAATTACCTGCATTCAAGCCCTTATTATCAGCTTCCACTTTTAGAGGGAACCCAAGTTAACATAATAAGTTCAGGAAATGGGATATTGTGGGGTACTACATGCAACTTCTTGGAAAGTGGCCTTAGGGAGCAAAGGATCATATGCTAACAAGAGGGAAAATAAAACTTAGCAGGGTAGGATGCATGGTGGTGCACCTGGAGTTCCAGCTACTCAGGAGGCTGAGGTGGGAGGATGGCTTGAGCGTAGGAGTTCGAGGCTGCAGTGAGCTGTGATTGCACCACTGCACTCCAGTCTGGGTTACAGAGCAAGACCTCGTCTCTTAAAACACACACACACACACACACACACACACACACACACAACAAAGATGTGAGATGTGGCATTAGCTTTCTGGCCATGCTTAGCTGCAAAGGAACCTGGGAAGTGTAGCGTTTTTTTTTTTTAAGAGACAGGGTCATGTTCTACTGCCCAGACTAGAGTGTAATGGTGCAGCCTCGAACTCCTGGGCTCAAGTGATCCCCTTGCTCTTTTCCATTTCCTGCTACCTGGAATGTGGGAGGCACATCTGGGACTCTATCTTGGACCATGAAGAGAGACCCACACCTTAGGAATGATGGTGAGCTGGAAGGAACTGGAAACAAAGAGGGTTTTGCCGAGAGGAGCTGCCATACCAGTTCTGGATACTTATTTCTGCGCTTGTATATGAGAGGGAAATACACTTCCGTCTTGCTTAAACCGTTGTTATTTAAGGTCTCAGTTCCCTGCAGCCAACCTAACACATAGGATTTAAGTGATCAGTCATGCTCCGTGCTGGATCCTACTGAACTAGGGAGATATAAGGTGACAGGATGATCCCCGGACACCAGGATTTCTCATTTTGTTTAAACAAGGAGAAGGTTTTTATTCATCCTGGGTGAGAACACAGTACATCCTCTCCCAAGCTCCCTTGACAAGCTGCTGTGCTGAGAATCCTCAGGACACAGGTAAAGAGCTAATTACCAGGCTCGAGTCCCAAGGCAGCTCTCAACAGCTCTCTGATCTTCAAGAAAAATGTCATTTAAACAGCACCTCTGCCAGAGAACCAGAAAGGCTGCCTGCCTCGCTCCACAAAGGGCCTGCATTTGTCACCCTGCTTTCTGCAGCCAAGGAATCATTATTTTTCCTGGTGCCGCAGGAGGAAGGTGAAGCAGCAAGGAGACCCTCCAAGTCCCCGGAATTCCAAAAACACTCAGGGCAGCACCTGGCCCGAGTCACTGGCAATGCTCAGGTGATGAAGTAAACCTAAGGGAAACCAGCCCAGGTCTGCTCGATGAACTGCAAAGTAACTGCAAATATAATCAGAGGTGTATCTGGGAACCCAAGATCCTTCAGAAGAGGGTGTTGCCTTGGGGCGGTTATTATTGAGGCCAAGAAAAACAGCAGCTCCTGCAAGAAACCCAATTAACTATATCAGTTGGTAAAATAAATTCCAGCTTGCTAGTTAACAAGGTAGAAGTTCTTCTGAACAGCCTCTAAGATCAAAAACTAGCAGCATGGTAAGATTGCTGGGGTAATAAGATGCGGTGCTGGGAGACACAAACAGGGATGCTGATTCTAGCCCCCAGCTGCTGTGTGATGCCTGGGAAACCCACGCCCTCTCAGAGCCTCGCTAGTCTTTCTTGTCTTTTATCTTAATTTTATTTATGTTTTGAATGGGTAAAACATTTTCATGTCTCAAACTTCAAAAGATACACGATTCTAGAATAAAATGTCTCCTCCCTTCTGTCTTACACTCAACTCCCCAGAAGCAAGCAACGTTATCAGTTTCTCATGAACCTTGCAAAAATATCGTGTGTATATAAAAGTGCACATATACACACACACTATATTACTTTTTCTTTTTAACATAGTCACATACTATATGCACTGTTCTGCACGTGGTTTGGTTTTTCACTTAGCAATCTTTTATGGAGATGGTTACAGCCAATATATACACTGTCTTCATTTTTCTCACGCTGTATAGCATTCCACTGTATGGCTATGCACCAACATTTATTTACCCATGCCCCTCTTGATGGACATTCAGGTTGCCTCTAGCCTTATGCTACTGCAGGGTTGCAGTGAATAACCTCATGCATGGGTTAATCTGCACAGGTACAATCTCTCTGAATGATAAATTCTCAGAAGTAAACTGGATGAGTCAAAGTGTGTGCATTTGTAATTTTAACTGATAATGCCAAACTCCCCTCCAGAGAAGGTGAGCCAACACTTCTAACACAGTGTATAAAAGCCGAGTCCCAATTTCCTCATTTATGAAGTTGATAGATCCCTGAGCTCTGCCAGTCAGAGGATAACACCATCTCCCTTTGGCATAGCAGCCTTTATTTTTCGTTGTTGTTTCTTTTTCTTTTTGTAGAGATGGAGTCTTGCTAAGTTGCTCAGGCTGGTCTCGACCTCCTGGGCTCAAGCCATCCTCCTGCCTCAGCCTCCTAAAGTACAGGGATTACAGGTAGTGCAGGCACTACCTCACCTGGCTCATAGCAGCCTTTAGAGTAGAGAGCACCAACCAAAGGTCCACAGGCCAAATGCAACTTGTACACGAATATTGATTGGTCCACACTGCATTTCTTACACCGAACCAAGATTGAAAAAATCAAGACACTTCTCATTTTAAAAAAAAATCTAGATTTCTAGCTTCTCTCGAGAAATCAAATCTGTTAACTCTAAGTTGATATTCTCACAGAATAATAAGTGACAGTCACAGATTAGGAGCCACTGCCCCCCTAACCCATGCTCAAGCTCTGTAATGAGCCACAGTCCCCACCACTCCCTATTGCATGCCCCAGCCATGAGTGCGAGTTTCAGTTACCTCTTATCATCCCAACTGCAGTGTTTCTGTATAGTAGAGAAACATTTCTGTGTGACAATGTGCCTATCAGAAGAACAAACCAAAAAGAGAGAGGATGTGACAGAAAATGGCTAATTCTAGTTTCCTTTCTCCCCTTCTTCCTTTTATTCATGGAACCCCCCAACACACAAGGTCGGAGATTACCTTTCCCAGTCTTCTTGCAGCTGACAGTGCCTGCATGGCTCATTTCCAGACTTTGGGACATGAGCCAAAGTGATGCATGCAATTTCCAAGCCACACCCTTTAAAAAGGAAATTCGCGGCCCTGCACTTCCTCACTCCTTTCCCCACCCAGCCTGGAATACACCTATAGAGATGAGGCAACCCCAATCATGACACACAGACACCAGCCTAGGGAGTAACAGAGCAAAGAGATGGAAACCCCTGGGTCTCAGGATGACCTCAGAGATCAGAGCAACTCCTACATGGGGATGGTTAAACGAGAAGGGAAAAAACGGTCTTTTCTGAGCCACTGCACGTTGAGGTCTCCATGATACAGCGCTTGCCACATCCCCAAAAATGGGAGAAAGCATGGTTCTTTGTGAACAAGAAGCATATTCCCAAGTGTTTAACATTCAAATGCCTGGCCTGCTTGACCAGCAAGGCTCACCATCCTGAACTCACCAAGGCTCACTATCCTGGGTCCAATACAATGACTTGCTCACCACTGTGGTCTCACTGGACAGCCCAGCCCAGAGTGCCATGGGACACATTCGCTTTCAAATTAAATGACTTCAAGGCAGTCAGAAAACACAGACTTGACTGATAACTCACAGCCAGACAATCTCATGAGCTACTGGGACTTGGATAAGAAGCCCAAAATCACCCTGATGCTAAAATAAATTCCAAATATCTAATACTTTCAAAAGAAATCATTGAAGTATCAAAAGAAAACTTGGGTAACATTTTTTACAAGTGTGGTGTGGAGAAGGCCTAACCCAACCCAAACCTGACCCTCAGCCCCAACCATGCCAAAACAGAAAAATCTCCAAAGCAGAAAATGCTGTGAGCAATTACTTGATCTCTGTGAGCAGGCCTGGCCTGAGCAACTAGACTTGCTTCCATGCCATTCTGTGTGTTTCCATTTTGACCATGTACATATATTACTCTTAAGATTTTAATTATAATTATGCTCAGTTATAATAAATTGATTTTAAAGGGAAGGTAATACCCAGTGCCCACTGGCGATAGAATGGGAAAGCAGTGATAGATTCACATAAGTCAATGCTCAACAGCAGACCTTGGCAAATGTTTTCCATAAAGGGCCAGAGAGTAAATATTTAAGGTTGTACTGGCCGTTTAGTCTTTGCTGCATATTCTTCTTTGTCTGGGGTTTAATTTTTTAATTTTGGGTTTTTCTTTTTAGGGTCTCTCTTTGTCACCCCGGCTGGAGTGCAGTGGCGCGATCTCAGCTCACCCAGACCTCCACCTCCAGGGTTCGAGTAATTCTCCTGCCTCAGTCTCCCTAGTAGCTGGGATCACAGATGCCCGCCACCACACCTGGCTAATTTTTGTATTTTTAGTAGAGACAGGGTTTCACCATGTTGTCCAGGCTAGTCTTGAACTCCTGACCTCAGGTGATCCACCTGCCTCGGCCACCCAAAGTGCTGGGATTACAGGCGTGAGCCACCACGCCTGGCCTGGGGTTTTTTTTAATATATAATCCTTTAAGCTTAAAAACTATTCTTAGCTCACAAGCTCAATTTGGCCCATAGGTTATACTCTGCCAACCTCTCTGTTCTACAGCAATGAGAATGAATGAGAAGTCACTACTTGTAATAATGTGGATAAACCGCACAGACATGAGTCAAGCAAGAGCTCCAGTCTCATGACTTGTTTATAGAAAGTAAAAAAACAGGTAAAGGGTAAAGGTCATCTATGCTGGTAGAAGGAAGGATGGTGGTCACCTGGGGTCAAGGAGGGTGCTGTGTGATTAGGTGCAGATTGCAGAGGCCCCTGTTTTCATGAGTGTGTTCAGTTCGCAAAAGTTGTCAGGCTGTACACTTGTGATGTTTGTGCCCTTTTCTGTATATACAGTAGTCTCCCTTTTTCCTTGCTCTCACTTTCTGTGGTTTCAGTTACCCATGGTCAACTGGGGTCCAAAAATCGATGAGTACGGCAAAGAGATATGTTGAGAGGCAGAGAGAGAGACCACATTCACGTAATGTTTATCACAGTATATTGTTATAATTGTGGTATTTTGTTATTGTCATTCATCTCTTACTATGTCTAATTTATAAATTGAGCTTTATCATAGGTATGTATGTATAGAAAAAACAGCCTATATAAGATTTAGTACCATCTGTGATTTCAGGCGTCCACTGGGGATCTTGCAATGTATCCCCTGCAGACAAGCGGGGAATACTATATCTACATACAGTCATGCACCACAAAATGACATTTCTGTCGACAACAGACCATGCATACCCTGTGAATTAAAATACTATATTTTTACTATACATGTTTAGAGATGTTTACATACACAAATGCTTATCCCTGGGCTGCAATTGCCTGCAGTATTCAGTACAGTAACAAGCTGTACAGGTTAATAGCCTAGGTGTGTAGCAGGCTCTACCACCTGGGTCTGTATAAATATACTTTGTGATGTTCGCACAGTGACAAAATCACCAAACAGCAAATTTCTCAGAAGGTATCCCTGTCATTAAGTAACGCATAACTATGTATTATAGTTCAATGAAAATTTCAAAAAATAAATGAATTTCGTAAGGAAAGATGGGCTGAGCGTGTCTATGCACATGCGTTTGGGTGTTTGCATTCATGCAAGGGGAAAAGAATGCAGATGGACTTTATAATCGAGGGGGTGAAGGAGAAGCAGACCAGAAAACAAATTAGGCCACTTTAAATTGTGTTTGAGAACAAGGTGTGTCATTTTATTGCAGGGAACTGCATGCTTGCCACGCAACAGTTGTGCACCAGCTGTGAGCTGCTCCACTCTCCCAGACCCAACTGCTTCTGAGACCCCTAAAGACCTGAGCTGGGAACAACTGGTAATGTTCCTCCCACCCAAAACAGTCCATCCCCCATCAACACTCCAGCAACTGGGCCCCAGGCCCTATCTGCCCAGAATGGTCCACCTTGCTTCGCTTGGGCCCCTCCAGGCTGCCAAAGCCCATCCAGAACACCCTACCTTTTCTGACTTCCCGGGACCCTCAAAAGCTTAGTAGAGTGATTGCCTCCAAAATGTCCACATCCTAAACCCCAGAACCTGTGAATATGTTACTTTATAAGACAAATGGGACTCTGCACATGTGATTAGGTTAAGGATCTTGAGATGGGGTGGATATCCTGGATTACCATGGTGGGTGCAACATCATCTCATAGGCACTTATCAGAGGGAGGCAGGAGAGGCAGAGGCAGAGGCAGAGGAAGCGATGTGACGATGGAGACAGGTTGAATGCATGCTTTCAAGACGGAGGAAGGGGCCACAAGCCAAGGAATGCAAGTGGCCTCTAGAAGCTGGAAAAAGCAAGGAAACATATTTTCCTCTAGAGCTTCCAGAAGGACACAGCCCTGCCTTGATTCCATTCCTTAAGAGTCATTTCAGACTTCCAACCTCTAGACAGTAAGATAATAGATTTGTGTGTGTAAGCCACTGAATTTCCAATAATGTGTTACAGGAGCAATAGAAAATTAATACATGGAACACCACAAGTTTTCCCAAACAGCCAGTACCCAGGACTATGTCTGGGCCAAACCTACTCCACAATTCCCTCAGATGGTTGTGACTTTCTACATCTGGTTGGATTTCACCCATAAACCATTAACACAGCCACAGACACTAACAGTTCACATCCAATCACATCTCCCAGGCCACCTCTTGCACCAAAACCCTTGGTTATACTGCACATCTGACTTCCGGTTTGGAGAAGATGTTTTTATACCCATATCTCAGATACACACCAACCTCAAAAAAAATTTTTGAAACACTTCATTCATTCTTGATACATTTATTGACCACCAAGGGACTGGAACTGTCCTGGGTGCTGAAGATACGGCCAGAAACAACAAATATGCACGAAGACCTCACATGTGCTAGGCACTACTCCGAGTCTGAGGTATAGAGAAGGGAACAAAAACACAACGTCCTCGCCAAGTGCCAGGCACCAAGGACTTTACATGTCAGAGCTTATCAAGAATCGTAGTACCCTGATGAGAATGTGTTATTATTCTGCCTAGTCGACAAGTGAGGAAACTGAGGCACAGCCAGGTCAGACAGCTTGCACAATGCCACATGCAGTCTTGCTTCCAGTATGATGCTTTGAGGCACGTACCTCTCCATACTGTCCAGCAGAAAAACAGCTGCTCCCATCAAATGTTCATTCCACTCTGAGCTGCATCCGGTGTTAGGTGAAGTGGAGGGTACAGACACATTACATAAGAAAAATCTGACCTCAAAGTCAGGAGATCATTGTCCCCACAGATGTAAAACCACCACTGCCAATACCACGGGATAATAGACAATAGCAAACTCAGTTGATTACTTGAGAAGGAACGAGCAGTTCTAAGTGGAAAACTGCTGGGTAAAAGCTTCCCCTGCTGTGAGCTATTCAATTCATTCATTAAGGATGAAACAGACTCCAATCCACTCCATGCTCAAGGGGCCTGGGAGGCTGGTTTATTGCATCTGGGGGCACCAGGCTCTGCAAGGTGCTCCCCAATAGTCGGTCTGCCTTGAAGAGGCCCTTCCTGGCCTCTTAGCTGAATCCAAGGGTCAGAAAGTCAAATGCCTGCAGGGATCAGACAGCAACAGTAAATGAACAGAGGCAGCCAACACACTTTGCTTGAATATTAAATACATGAGAATGATCTTCACTTCTACAAAGATGTTCTCTCCTATTGTTCTCTAAACACACAGCCCTCTGGAAGCCTCTAATTTTTGACAGCGTCTTTCTGGGAAACAGAGAGATATTTGTCTCCCATAAGAAAAACTATAGTTCAAGAATGATTATAAATGGTAACTGACAGCCTCAATGTAGGGTAGACAAGAGGGGGTGGTGGTGACTGTGGCAAAGTGGCAAGCCCACGCCTTAACTAAAGGGGGCACACACTCATCAGCACCATTCCAAAAGCCTGTTTCTAAGTGGGGATGCACAGCCAATGTTGCCAGTGCTTTCTCTGTTTCAAGACAGACCAAAAATACAGCTATTTATGAGCAATAGTCCATTTTTTTTTATGTTGGCCCCTATTTTTTCAGACACTTCTTAAGCAAAACAAAACATATCTGTTGGTCAGATTCAGTCTTTGGACTGAATCCAAGCTGGGACCAAAGGTGCATACCACCAGGTCTGGCTAAGGTTTCCTTTTTTTTTTTTTTTTTTTTTGTAGAAACAGGGTCTTGTTATGTTGCCCAGGCTAGTCTCAAACTCCTGCCATTAAGCAATCCTTCTGCCTCAGCTTCCCAAAGTTCTGGGATTACAGATGTGAGCCACTGTGCCCAGTCAATATTTATCTTTAAATTGACCCACTTGTTTTTAAACTTAATGCCAAGTTTAGCCTTGTCCTGAGGTATAGGTATTACTGGTTTGTTGTGCTGGTTATATTTCTTTCTGACTCATATTAAAATAAATATAAGCTGCGCATGGTGGCTCACTCCTGTAACCCCAAGCACTTTGGGAGGCCGACGTTGGAGGATCACTTGAGCCCAGGAGGTCGAGGATGCAGTGAGCTATGATTTCACCACTGCACTGCAGCCTGGGCATCAGAGCGAGACCCTGTCAGAGCAAGTGGGCATCATTTTTCATCTCCTGCTTAGGGGAAATAAGGGCCATTGATTATGGAAGCAAATGCCAGTGTCCAGGGACACATATAACCCCTTTTTCTGGCCTTCCTCTGGTTAAATAAATCTTCCATTCAGCCTCCATACACTCCAGATATTCTGAAACCATTACATTTTCATGTAATGTTATTCTTTCAATAAAATCCGTTGGTTAATCACATAGCTACTAATGACAATTTGAATTTTCTGCACTTGTGGAGCACGGAATATTAATAAGTTTCAGATAATACATCCTGATTTGGGGTATAGGAAATATGGTCATGGTATACATGAGTTCACCTCTCACCAAATATCACCAGTGTGCAGAATTCCTCTCTCTTTCAGCTAAGCATTAAAATCAATTCCACTGGATCTTTAAATCAGACAACGATATTAGAGCAACGAAGACCACCTGGTACACAGTCCCATCCCAGGCCCTAGGATAGAAGCCAGAGAATATAATAGCACATTTCAGGTCCATGAAAAGTGACCTCTGAGGAGACTCACTCTGAATTTTGTGGCAGTCAATGAACAGTGATCTGAGAGATTCTTTCTTGTATGTGCCCTTACATCATTTTGCAGGAAAAGAAAGAAAAAATGGGCACTGAAAACAGTCACAGAATTTAAGACAGGATGTATCTTTGCCCTAAAATACCTGGACCAGAAACTTCTCACCGGGAAGACAAGTGGGTGGAAGTTGCAAGTTTCATTGCACTGGAAAAGCAGGTACGCTATTCAGCCAATGTAAACACAACCAGTGTGCACACAGCCTACCTATCAGTGAGGCAGAAGATGACTGGATGGCACACACATTATTTGGTTGTTTGAGGTGGTAGACAAGGGAAATTATTTTGTATTAATCACACACACACACACACACACACACACAATCTGTAGAGACAGGGTCTCGCTCTGACGCCCAGGCTGCAGTGCAGTGGTGAAATCATAGCTCACGGCATCCTCGACCTCCCGGGCTTAAGTGATCTTCCAACGTCGCCCTCCTAAAGTGCTTGGGGTTACAGGAGTGAGCCACTATGCCCAGCCTTTATTTATTTTAATATGAGTTAGAAAGAAATATAACCAGCACAACAAACCAGTAATACTTATACCTTAGGACAAGGCTAAACTTGGCATTAAGTTTGAAAACAAGTGGGGCAATTTAAAGATAAATATTGACCAGGCACAGTGGCTCACATCTGTAATCCCAGAACTTTGGGAAGCTGAGGCAGAAGGCCAGGAGTTTGAGACCAGCCTGGGCAACATAACAAGACCTTGTTTCTACGAAAAAAAAAAAAAAAAGGTAAACCTTAGCAAGACCTATGGTCCCAGCTACTTGTAAGGCTGAGGCAGGAGAATCACTTGAGCCTAGGAGTTAGGGGCTGAAGTAAGCTATGATCGCACCATGGTTGACACAGCAAGACTCTATCTCTAAAAAATAGAAAAACATACATAAATAAGTCATAATAGAGTTTGTACACACTTAAATGGTGGCTAGGTCATAGCGGCAGCTTGGCAAACCCTGGAACTATTTCAAGTAGTGATGTACTCCAGAGACCAAGACTCATTTTGCCAAAACTGCAAGCTCTAGCGCAAGACAGGAGCCCCAAAGCTCCATAAACGTTGACCAAACATGTAAGTGAATGGTGGCAAAATGACAGAACAAAATACGTCTCTGGGTACCAACATACACTTCGATCTCTCTCTCAAAGCTCCAACCTGGCTTGCACAATCTCTTCAGTGTGGATACCAGTGGTTTCTACCAAGTTAGCTTGCATCCATGGGCTCATTCCATGCAAAACATAATTTCTACAGTTGGGAGAAACCCTTCCCTAGGACGATGGCTGCCAAATCCACAAATGAGTGAAGAGACCCCTCTGGGCAAACAAGGTCACCGAGAGCTGACTGGAAGACTCTGCAGTGAGCTCAGCCCAAAGCCACGAGGGCGGCAGCACCCCCATCCTCTCTTTTAACCTTGATTCTAAATCTCAGCTCTTACCAGTATGCGCGTTCTCATAAATCCAACAAAACCTTAACCGCAGCATTAAGTCCTCGTGTGCTGCCTTCCCCCATAAACAAGCAAGATTTATACCTTCCCAGGGCTATTATCCAGACACATTTATCTTTATTTCTGTGCGTAAGTAATGAGTGGGATGCCACTGCCGACGAGTCCCCGGGGATTAATTACAGAAACCATTTAAGGAGGGTTCCCTCCCAATTCTTAGAGCATTTTTCAAACCCAGGAAAGAGAATTTCATTTAAAAGACCCAACGGCCCTTATGAGTAGCGTCACTACTGGGTTCCAACTCAACCCGGTGACAAATTTCAAGCATCCAGAAGGCTGACGACATTGCTGGGCTTTTCTCTAATTCTTTAAATCTTGTGACAATTACTGAAGTGACAGACATCCAACTCAAGGAGAAACCCTCTGCCAGGCAGCCCTGTGTGGCTAAGAGGTAGACCTAGTCAAGCATGAGTCATTCATTCAACGAATTTTATCGGATGCCTATAGATGCCGGGCATCCTGTTACACACTGAGAATGCTGGTTTTCAAGACAAAGTTCCTGTTCTCATAGGATTTTAATCTAGTGGGGGAGACAAAGCATCAAGAAGTAGACAAATAATTTCAGAAAGCAACTACATGCAGAAGAGATAATAAAACAGGGTGATGGGGTGATAAGATAGGTTGACTGGGAAAGCTAAACTCATTCCCACCCAGAGACTTTTCCCTCATTTTTTTCCCTCTTCTTGGAACATCACTGGCACAGTCATCCTCACAGTTCACAGCTGACGTCCATCCCAACTGGCCATGGTGTTGTTGCTGACTGCTCAATGCCGTATCGTATGTCTACTAAGGATACAATGCCTCTCCGCTGCCTGGATCACTCTTTCTCTGGATCTTTCCAAGGATGGCTCCTTCTCCGCATTCAGTATTCAGATTAAATGACACCTTGCAGAGAGGCCTTTGCTGATCATCCAATCTACAACAGCCCCCACATCCCAGTCACTCCTGATCCCGTTATCCTGTTTTATCATTTTTCTGCATGTGGCACATTGCATTTTTTAAAGATAGCAGCATACCGCGTCCCATGCCACAAGCTCTTCTACAATGTCATCTTGTCATTCTTCCCACCAAGAAGTGGGGTCTATGTCCCTTCCCATTCAATCTGGGTGGGCTTATGAGGACTTTGACCAGCAGGGTGCCATACAAGTGATGCTATGTGACTCTGGAGACAGGATCCTCAAAGGCCATGCAGCTTGCCTTGCACTTGGAGTCTGGAGGCCAACATGTTGTAAGGAAACCCAATCACACACAGAACCACATGAAGATACTCAGATTGGCAGCTCTAATCTTCAAGCCATCCCAGCCCAGGAGCCAGACATATGAATGAGGAAGTCATTGGTGCTTCCTGCCCCTAGCTATTGAGTCACCACCAGCATAGAGCCTTCCCAGCTGAAGCCCAGACATTGTGGAGCAGAAACAAGTCACCTCCACTGTACTCTGTCCAAATTCCCAACTCATAGAACCTGAGAACATAATAAAATGGTGGTTGTAAGACACTAGGTTTGGGGTAATTTCTTATGCAGCAATAGTACCTGGAACACGGCACTTACTGCTTCATGAAACCGTCTCATTTGTCTGCCTTCTCCAAGGCAGGAACCATGCCTGCTTTGTACACAGCCCTTAAACAGTGCCTACACACAAGAGGCTCCCTGTAAATATTTCCTGAACAAATATAGAGGGAAATAATGGCAAAAACTTGCACAGTTTAAAAACCATAGCATCAGTGTCTTATAGCTGCTGTAACAAATTGTGCTGAAATGAACTTGGTGGCTTAAGACAATACACATTTACTCTCTTTGTTCTGGAAGCCAGAAGTTCAAAATCAGCAACACTGGGCTGAATTCAAGGTGTAGCCAGGGCCTCACTCCCCCAGAGGCCCTAGGGAAGAATTCATTCCTTGTCTCTCCAGCTGCTGATGGCTGCAGGCATTCCTTGGCTTGTGGCCACATCATCCCAGTCTCTGCCTCTGTGGCCACATCACCTTCTCTTCTGTCTGTGTCAAATCTCTATCTGCCCACCTCTAACACTTTGACTACATTTAGGGCCCACCCAGAAAAATCCAGGATAACCTCCCCATCTCAAAATCCTTAACATAATCACATCTATAGAGTTTTTGGCATATAAAGTGACATTCACAGGCTCCAGGAATGGGGGTCATCCTGGTGGAAAGGAGGTTTATTCAGCCTACCACACCATCCAAGACAGGAGGTCCAGCTCCTGGACAACAGAGCAGCTCCCGCACACCACCCACACATGCACAGGGTTCAGCCAGTGCCACATCTGGTGACAGAAGCCAGAACCAGAAACGCAGAATCTGTTTGGAGGAGCAACAGCAGAGATTCAACAGCACGCAGAAAAGCCTGCTTGGTCATTCATTCTCCCTGCACTGACCAACGGTAGAAACAGGGAGCCTCCAGGTGAAATTGCTACTTGACTTTTTTTTTCAGAGACGGTCTTTCTCTGTTGCCCGGCCTGAAGTGCAGTGGCATGATCATAGCTCCCAGCAGCCTTGAACTCCTGGGCTCAAGTGATCCTCCCACCTTCACCTCCCAAGTAGCTGGGACTATAGGCGAACATCCCCACACCAGATTTTTTTGTTTCTGAGAGTTGGAGTCTTGCTATGTTTCCCAGTGGGTCTCAAGCTCCTAGCCTCAAGTAATCCTCCTGCCTCAGCCTCCCAAAGTGTTGGGATTACAGGCATAAGCCACCGTGCTGGCCTTGACCATCTTTTTTACCTACAAAAACTGCAATTTCTAATAAATCCCAGGCCTCATGAAGACAAGGATCTCCAACTCCTCTCTGAAAAGGCTTCTTGTTGGAATTGCTCCTGAGAAGCAGAAATCTCTGTGTAAAGAGCCCCCTGTTCTCTCAACTGCTCACCCTTAGATGAACAGAAAAGTTACCCAGAAGAGGTGAAGCGCAGGTCAATGGACAGTCCTCAACAGCCCTGAACTGACTGCACAATTTAGTTGCCTCATCGTCTCACTTTTATAATATTAGGTTGGTGCAAAAGTAATTGCGGTTTTTGCAACTGAAAGTAATTGCAAAAGCTGCTATTACTTTTTGCACCAACCTAATACAAACTTAAAAAGCAGAGGAACCCTCTAATGAAAGTGTGGGCAAATGTTTTCTGTAAAGGGCCAGATGGCGAATATTTCAGGCTTTGCAGGTCACGTCTATTCATCTCTGCTTTTGTAGCTCCAAAAACAGCTGCAGATAATATGTAAATGATGGGTGTGGCTGTGTTCCAATAAAACTTAATTTACAACAAACAGGCTGGGGACCGGATTTGACCCAAAGACCCTACTTTGCAAATCTCAGCTCCAAGTTAAAGTTTTGCCTTCCAACGCAAGCACCAACAGACCTGAAAGCAAGTTTACCGGCTCCCCTGACCACCCCTCCATGACTGACCTTCCTCGCAGCACAGCTGATGTTCTTAAGTTGCCCTCAGCGAGGCTGTATTAAAAATATATGAATCCTGTGATGTGGCCCACTCCCTTTTTTAGAGACTGTATTGCAATTTCCAAACACCTCCCTGTTTTCCAGCACGGCTGTCAGAGAAGAAAGTGCAGCGGATTCCTGAAGCTGGCCTCTGTCTCTTTCCAGCAGAAGCTAATCATTTTCAGCTGCAGCAAGATCTTCAGAGTTTGATGACAGGGGCCAGGACATGAACGCACTGACTGACCCAGAATCGCTTCTGTGAAATCCAAGAGATGAGAAATTCAAATGTTTTTCTTTTTAAAATTAAAAAAAAAGCGACACACAAAACCAGATGACTTAAAACTCAGTGATTAGGGTTGACAACAGAAGCATAAAACAGGGCCCAGGTGAATTTACTAATTGTTTCTCAGCATCAGATACCAGTTTCATTAAACCCACAATCAGTCGCTGTGACAGCTTCAACCAGAACATGTCCTTCCAGAGCCATCTTTCATCTCTACTTGTTGAAAGATGTCGTTTTCCCTCAGACACATCCACTCTCGAGAACATCTCATTTCACCTGTATTCCAACTGCCCCTGTGAGATCAAAATAAATAAATAAATAAAATTTTAAGAGAGGAAGGAAAAGGGCAGAGACCTCGCTCCAAGATCCCCAGTCCCTGCCCGGCACTCTCCAAGGACCAGGCTCAAGCAGGTGCGCTAGGTGGACTGTACTAATTGTTGAACAAGAAAAGATCCTTTAATATGGTGGAGCTGAACCCAAGGGAGCAATTTTTAGGAGACGAAAAGGCATCTGTATGCAGCAGGATACATTTGCACACTTTTCCATTTCATTAGGAAAGTCTGCGGATTTTTGACAGTCACCTTGAACAGAATCAAAGACAGAACTGATAATTGCCTAAAGCCTACAGCACAGCCATGCCGCCCCCGTGGGCAACTGTGGCTCTACAACCCCCACCCCCTCGCGCCCACATACAGAGAAAGAGAGAGAAGAGAGGAGGGGGGGTGAGAGAGAGAGAGAGAAAGAAAGAAAGAGAAAGAGAGAGAGAGGAGGAGAGAGAGAGGAGAGAGAAGAGAGAGAATTTGCTCCGCAAGCTGCCACCCTCTCCTCCCCGCAAGCCCCTACCTTGGTTCTGAGCTAGGGATGGAGGGTGGCAAAGGCAAGGGCACATCACGTGGATTTCGGCAACCCCCACTGAAATGCAAAGCAACACCCTCCCTCAGCTGCTCCCCGCATTTCCACGCATATCATCAAATCAAAGAGGAGGAGAGCTTCCTGTCAACCTCCTCGTCACAGTCCCCATCGTTTAAAGTAGGAAGAGGCGGCCGGGCACAGTGGCTCACACCTGTAATCCCAGCAATTTGGGAGGCTGAGGCGGGTGGATTGCCTGAGATCAGGAGTTTGAGATCAGCCTGCCCAACATGGCAAAACCCCATCTCTACTAAAAACACAAAGTATTAGCCGGGTGTGGTGGCAGGCACCTGTAATCCCAGCTACTTGGGAGGCTGAGGCAGGAGAATCACTTGGACTCGGGAGGCGGAGGTTGCAGTGAGCTGAGATTGTGCCACCGCACTCCAACCTGGGTGACAAGAGTGAAACTCCATCTGAAAAAAAAAAAAAAAAAAGTAGGAAGAGGCTCCTAGGCCCATTCCTAAGTCCCAGGAGAGAGGACCTTGCACTTAAACAAATACGCAATTCCATCTCTAATCCAAGTGTCTCTGGAGGGGATACAGGCAATCTCGCAGGGTCTTTGTGTAGGTGATGGGTAAGGAGGCTCCCCAGGCAAAGCTGTGGCTCTCTTGGTTAATGGACAGAAAACTAACCAACTTACAAGCAAAACCTCAAGGAAACATCTGCTGCTGCTTCCTGAAGTCTGCAGTCTAAGGGGGCTGATGAAGGCAAACAGAACCTCGCCCAAGCTCCTTTCTTAAGTTCTCCTGATCAGGATGCCGCCAGGTCTTGTCTACAATTTTTTGGTTTTGCTCTTCTTCTCAAAGTTAGTTTTGCTCTTTTTTTTTTCTTTTTTTGAGGCAAGATCTCACTCTGTGACCCAGGCTGGAGTGCAATGGCACAAACGTGGCTCACTGCAGCTTCGACCTCCGGTGATCCTCCCACCTCAGCTTTCTGAATAGCTGGGACCACAGACATGCACCACAGGCCCAGCTAATTTCTGCATTTTTTGTAGAGATGGGGTCTCACTATGTTGTCCAGGATGGTCTCTAACTCCTGGGCTCAAGTAATCCTCCCGCCTCGGCCTCCCAAAGTGCTGGGATTACAGGCATGAGCCACCGCGCCCAGTCTAGTTTGGCTTTTCTTGCTCCTTCCCTCCTTCGCCCATTTATTTCAAGCTCTCTGCAAAAGCCAAGCTCCACAGAAACAAAGACAAACACAACATTGTTCAAGAGAGTGATGCCCCCTGCAAATGCCAAAGTCAGACCCAGGTTCAGAACCTGACCCTCTGCTTCTTAGCCGGGTGACCTTGAGCATATTATTGTAACTTTCTTGGGCTCTGGAATAGGGATAATAACAATACAGCCTCATGGGGTTATTATGAGGATAAAAAATGAAGGGATGGGCCAGGCACCGTGGTTCACGCCTGTAATCCCAGCATTTGGGAAGGCTGAGGCAGGAGAACCACTTGAGCTCAGGAGTTTGAGACCAGCCTGGGAAATATGGTGAATACCCATCTCTGCCCAAAAACAAAGATTAGCTGGGCGTGGTGGTACACACCTGTAGTCTCAGCTACTAGGAAGGGTGAGGTGGGAGGACTGCTTGAGCCTGGGAGGTTGAGGTGGCAGGGAGCCATGATTATACCACTGCACTCCAGCCTGGGCGACAGAGTGAGACCCTGTCTCAAAAAAAAAAAAAAAAAAGTGGGGGGGAAAGAAAAAAGAAAATGAAGAGATGTATGAAATGTTCTCAGCACTGTGCTCAATAAATAGGCTTTATTATTATTACTGTTTCATTAGCAGATTTTGCACAGACGAATAACTGGCTAGTCCTCATTAATGGACTTAACGCAGTGCCTGGCACATGGTGAAGCTTCCATAAATATGAACCAACGGCAACACTCAGGGACCCAGCTCTCATGACAAGGTGGATAAAGTGCTGAGAAAATGCAGAGATGAGAGGGTTTAATTCTGTGTGGGGAGGAGGGGGTCAGAGGCAGCCTCCACGAGGGGGTCATTTCCTCTGCCAAGCTCCTTTGCAGTGACAGATGAATTTCTTACAACAAGACAGCTCACATTCCCATCTCAGCATCTCTCGAGGAGGAAGGCTATTCCCTCCCGGCTCCACGGGGCTCCAGACACAGAGCAAACAGATTTTTTAAAGTTGTTTTCGTCTTACAGTTAACCCCTTTGAGTTCTTAGAAATGCCACTACTTTTACAACTGTCCCAGAGGTCTGGGATGAGGTCAGGTACCCTGTTTCAAGAAAATGTTGACCAATTTGAGCTTTTCCCCAGCGAGTGCACAGACCGGAGAGTGACTCTGGAACCTAATCAGCTGGGAAACGGGGAGGAACTGTGGGTACTGAGCCAGAAGATCCACCCTCAGGGGAGACAGTCATCCTTGGTCATGGGGCAGGGACCCTGGGCTTGTCTGTGTGGTTCTGTGGGAGGCAGGATTAGGAGCCACAGCAGAAGACTTCTCTGAGACAAAAGTCCATGCAACAGAATCACAGGGACACCTTCTAGGGGTTCCGGGTGAACTGTGGGAGTCACATGACATTTCCCACCCGTGGAGTTGGCCAGGTTTGTTCAGAAGCCATCTTTGTTCTGTGTGATCTCACCCCCTGGCCATAGCTGATTGGACCAGCGCACGACACCTGCTTGTAGGTGAGCCAATCAGATTCTCTCTCCTGGACCCTTGGAAATGAGAACCAGAGACAGCGAGTGCAGGCCTCCGTGGGAGGCTGGAACAGACACGCCTAACGGAAGAAGCTGTGAGGCCACCACATGCCACCGTGGGAACCGGAGGCCTGGAGAAAGGCACTCACTAGAGAGAAGGGAGAGGGAAAGCAAGTTGCAGAGGGAAGCAAAGCCCAGGAAAGGGGAATTCTGGTGGCTTCCCATTGCCTCCTCCGGGCCCTTCCTGAGGCCCACTAGCTGCATTCTGCCCTGAGCTTCTTTTTGGCTTGTCTTGGTTGTCATTATTTATCACCCAAGAGAATTTCTTACAACTCTTGCTGGGAAACAGTGGCAATCCCATCACGTTAGGTAGTGGGTGCACCAGTGTCAGTGTATACTAGAGGAAGACCACCTCTTTGTAAGAAGGCTTCACATACAACTCTCCCCAGTTAGGTGGGAGGTTGAAATTGGTGCACCCTAGAAATCCTTCCAGCTCCCAAATTCTAGATAACTTCAGATCATGCATAAAGGCCTTCAGGCCAGATGTGGCACCTAACTGTGTTCTAAAGTGCTGTATTGTTCTTTTGCTTTGTTTTGACCACCCGATATTTTTAAAATTATGATTATTAACGTTATAAACTTGGGAAATTTCACATGAAAATCCAAACGAATGGCCTTTCTAGGAAAATCAGCTCTGGCAACACTGGGCTCGTTACTCCCAAACAGAACCAATAAACTAGAACTGAGTTACCACTGTCCCCTTCATCTGGGGAACATGGTCTCCAGTTTGCCAGAGTCCACACCGTTCCCTATTGTCTCAGCAGCCCCGAGCCTGGGTATCAGTTGCCTCGTTGAGTTTATAATGCTATTTTTCTTATGGTAGAGAAAGGTTTCTTTATAATCAAGTGCCTATCAAAAGAGTTCAAAGATAGGCAGAGAGCAGCGAATTTCTTAAACCCAGACTTCTTCCCTCTCATACATTTCCTGTGTGAGCCCTGCAGGTATTTCAGTTTGCAATCCCTGGTTTAAAGGCTCATATAGCTGAACCTAAGTATGACTCCATCTTAAGCCCCATCCTTGAAGAAAAATCTCAAGACGCAAAATACATTTCCATCCAGTTCTTTTTTCTAAAATGCTATTTCATGGTATTTAATATTGAATGTTTAAAACTGGCTGGTTCAGCCCAAATTAATGATAGTTTTTGATATTTTCAAAAATCATCTCACTTTCTGAGCTAAATGCACCATGTATGGAGAAGCAAATCCCTTCTCCATGCCATTAAATCCTTAATCTCTCAGGCCAGCCCAGGAAGACACCTCTGCCCTATTGAAGGATGATGTCCTACTGAAGAAATCAAAGGGGATGCCACTCACTCCTGAGCACTGCTTTTCCACTTATTGTTAAATTAGCAATAGTCGGAAATGATCTCTTCTTTTTAGAGAAACCTCATTAAATGTAACAACAAAATCAAATAAGGAGAACAGGGCACTGAAGCAGAGGAAATGCTGAAAGGTCACCTTGGCAGTTGTGTGCACAGTGTGCTGGGCTTTTTAAGGGAATAAAGGAAGACTCAGATTTCCAGGAGGTAAAGATGGGGACAGCCACTTCCTTTTACCCAGCAGACCGTGGGCAGGGGCCTGCAGGCTCCTGAGTGTGGATGGGATATTTTTGAAACATAAATCGCTGTGCTTGCTGAGCTCTGTGATTCTTTCTCACTTGCAGCCCCCTCCTACTCAGTCCACTGGGTCTTCTGGGCTCACTGCTTCAGGGAAGGGGGAACCCAGAGAGAGCCAAGGAAAGCAAAGGGGATGCTCAATTTTTGAGTTTCAAAAGCCTGCACCTCTTGGAGCACACTAAGTGCTCCTGTGCTTAGACAAAAGATTGGATGGAATTGGTGATAAGCCTGAGCGAAGTTTCCATGCTGGAGACTGCGCAGGATCCTGGACTGGGGGCAGTGTGAGCAAGAGGGGAAGGGGACACGATGAGGGTGAAAGGTCAGCAGGGCCAGGACGAGGGTCCCAAAGGCAAGAGGACCACAGACACGAGGGCGTCAAAGAATCTGGAGAAGGCCTGATATGTGCAAGATGGAACAGCAAGGTAACTCTTTCTGCCAAGAGCAAAGTGACTTGACATTTTCTTTATGCAATGGGGACTTATTGCAGGTAAATGAGCCAGTTTTGCACAGGCTTCTGAAATACCACGAGGAGCTCACCAGGGACCTTGTCTGCAGCACTCACATTTTCCCACCTGCTGTGCTGGGCACTGGGGTGTGCCGCCCAGATCCCCCCACAATGTGGGCCTTTTTGCCCAGCTGCTGTGACGCTGCTGTGGGTGGCCTTAGCTGTCAGCTGACCTGCCCGTGCCCAGGGTGACGCAGAGCCAACTGACTCAGTCAGGGGTGTAAAAACACAGGCATGTCTGCTTAATGGGGGATTCTCCCAATAAAACGCCCTGCACTCTGGCCTCCGCCTCAGAGTCTTCCTCCTGGGAACTCAGCCTTGTAACCACTGGCCTGTCCCCCAGACTGGTAACCACTAATTCAGGGCAAAGGTGATGTCTAGGTCCCACTGAGTTTCTTATGAGCTGTGTGGCCCGATGGGGGACTCTCTGAACCTGTTTCTTCTAACTGTGACATGAGATTAAGGATACTTGTCCCACCCTTCCCATTGTCAGACCACGAGCTCTGAAAGGGTCTTACAGATCCCTTCATCTAATCAGTCACCCAGTGCTTGATGATAGCTTGATGACAACTGTCAAATTGCTTCAAGACCTGCCTGACATTGCCAGTAATTACCATCTTGGTATGAATTTCAGTGATGCAGAACCCCTGTCAGAGACAGCTGCGTTTGTAAAAGCAAGTCTGGATGACACAGTGATGATTACATCATCTCCATCTTCATCGCCATCTCATAGTAAAGTTAACCCACTGTGGCATCTGGCTGATGGTTTTGTGGGAGAGGATTCTATGTCCCACCGCAAACTAATCACTACTAATAGATCAACTTTCTAGATAATTCCTCGGCAATGTGGTTCAAAGAAAGACCTAACAGCTCCTGCCCTTGTGAGAATTTTCCTTTTGTTTCACTCGGTGGTTCTCAGAGCGTGGTTCTCGACCCGGCAGCACCTGCAGCGTCTGGGAACCTGCTAGAAATGCAAATCCTCGGGCCCCACCACAGGTCTACCGATCAGAAACTCTGGGATGGAGCCCAGCAGATGCCATTTAACAAATCCTCCAGGTGATCTTATGCTCACTCAAGGGTGAGAATCACTGAGCTAATTTAAGCCTCTGAGCTGTCACTTGTCTGAAAGATTGTTTCAGGTCCTGTGGTCCAAGGATCAGAAAAATTAGCACAAGTCTTACCGATCCCAAGTCACCATGAGAAACACAAGTCCAGAGAGGTATGTGAAGCCCTCCCCCACTCCACCTGGAGGTCACATGCTCATAAGGGGCTCAGTGGCACCTAGACCTGACCTTTGCCCTAAACCAGGGGTTACCAGTCTGGGTGACTGGCAGGTGGTTAATAAGAGGAAGGTGTCACAGGTTGGGTTCCCCAGGAAGAAGACTGATGGAGATGACAGCAGGACATGTTGGTGCGGACCCTCAGACCAGCACCTGCAGAAGGGGAAAAAGCAGCCACAGTGGGCAGAGGGAGAAGGGGAACTGTGGTGCAGGCCCAAAATCGACTACAACTGGGCAGACATCCTCACATGCTCCCCATACCCCACTCCCCTGACCCAGTCTCCTTCCCACAAAAAATGCTAGCCTAAAGCATAAGCCAACACATAAATAAAGCAGCCAGAATCAACTACACTTCTGCCTTTAAGTGGAACAGATAGATTACTTTATAATTTATTAGCCTTCCATGGGGCACACTCAGACACAACGCTATAGGCACATTCAGATGGTTTTCTACACATCTAGCGATATAAACTCTATCAAACGCTATATAAATCCAGATAAAGGTAATAAAGTTAGTGTAGTAAAAAACCAATGGCAATGCAATCATTGATGCCCCCTGGTAACCTATCTAAAATATTACAATAACTCAAGTCTCCATATGGAGATTTCATTTTCTTTTTCTCCTCTGAGAAAAGCCTGTTGTGAGCTTTAAGATATTTAAATAAGGATAGATTGAATTAATATGGTTTACACTCATAAAGATGCTTTTTCCGGTGTTTCTGAGGTTCTCTTTTCTTGACTATATCTCCTGCTAGCTCCTAATTTTTCCTCCTGAAGAAAGACAAGATCAGGGAACCTCAGAATTGCAGAGCCGTCGCTTTAAACTACAAGCTGTGGGTATCAAAATGCCTGCAGGTGACAGTTACAGCCTCTTTTCAGACTCTCTTTCCTGGTCACCACCTCCAAGATCTGCTTCTGGGAATAAAAATCATGGTGGCTGTGATTTTATGTAAAGTCTTCTGCCATGCTGCCTGGCTGCATAGAACACATGCGCTAATCCAAAGCCACACTGAAGGATGTGTCCCCAAAGCAGGAAGTGTCTCAAGGTATCTTTTAGCTGCAAATCACAGAAAACCAACTCAAACTAGCTTAAGTGAAAAGTGAGTTAATTGGCTGGAAAATAAAAAAAAGAGACAGCAAGGAGTAGTCCCTACTTCGTGCCATCTGGAGGTGGGGGCGGCACGTTCCCACACTGTCCCAGTAAAAGTTCTGAAATGAGGTCTAATAGGTCAGGCCTATCCCAGGGCCGGTGACATCGGCTAGGGGAAATGCTATGCTCTGATTGGCCAGGGGGATGCTGTTCTCTAATTGGTCAGGGGGCTGCTGTGCTCTGATTAGCCAGGGGGCCATGTTCTGATTGGCCAATAGGAAGGCTGTGCTCTGATTGGCCAGGATGTTATCTCTGATTGGTCACTTGTCTCCCTGGGGCCAAGATATGTCAGCCACCCCTAAACCAAATATGATCGCTGGGATGGAAACATGGACATCAAGCCTGAAGAATCATCGAGGAATGCCTTTCAACAGGGTACAGACGGGAGTGGCCTGGCAGGGGCATCAAAGATGGGTTCATGTCGCATCATCTGTGAATAGGCAGAATCTTAGGAGAACCTCCAAAGATCCCCCAGAACCTGTCTCCTATGAGGTTTTAAACTAGATAGAGCCTGTTATACGAAACTGTCCCATGCAAGTTGCCATCAAACTAAAAGCAGACAGAATGGAGCTTTTTCAGCCTGAAGATGGGATGTGATATTTGTGTCTCATACAAGTAAGAAGCCTTTTAGGATTGTTCTGAACAACTCCAGAAGTTCAAAGGGGTGGGTGATTATGGACACAAAGAAAGGAGAAAATAAGGCGTAACAGTCAGATGTGAACTTTGATGGAATGGGTTACCTTATAGGTAGTGAGTGCGTCATTACTGGAAGCAACCAAACAGCACACAGAAGAAATATTCCTGCATAGGGGAGGGTCCCCTCTCAGATTCCTTTTATTTGATTTAATGTCTTCTAAAAATACTATCCCAAGCCTTAAATAGTAATAACTTAAGTGGAAAATCCTGACTGTGCCCCTACCCCCACCACCTCCCCCACAAACCCCAGGCTCTCCCGGTGGGAAATGTGATGAAATGCTGAAACCCCAAATGGTGTCACATCAGAGACACTGGAAGTGCCTAACAAGCAGATGGATTCAAAATGACAGATGCCTCCAGACTGCAAAATCCATCACTTCTGTCCACAGGAACAAAGGGTGAGAAGATAGGTGCCTGAAAGCCGGCTCCGATTTAAGAATCAAAGCACTTCACAAAAGAGCCCGAAATGGAAAAATCAGTATTTGTTTGTTCTCTGAAGCCAACACTGGAACCAGGGCTTCCTCTTTAAATGGCACTGTGTGTGCTGGAGACGCTGAACTTGTCCTGAAGTCTCGCATGTTGTGCATTCATGCCGAAGCAAACGGGAATCACTTAATAAGGGCTTCCAAATGCCACTGCACAAATAATAATAGTAATCACAATCATAACACCGGCACGCTGTTTCGAAACAAGGCATCTGAGTGGGGACAGCATGTTAATAAACAAGATGAGAGACGCAGCCCAGGAAGCTGACTTCCTCAGAACAGAACGAGTCCCCTATTCATATTCATAATCCTTTGCATTATTTACACGGATCAACTTGCTCCCTAACTCCAAACCGGCTTGAGTTCCCTGTGGCAGGGAAGGCGGGGAAAGGAGGGGCCACCAGCTAAGCTCACACTGACAGCAATGCTGGTTTTTATGATCTAACAGGCTTGACATTCTCCTCGGCACAGAGCGACCTCCAGTCCAGTCAATACTGAGAGCTATCACTGTCATGAAGCGGAAAGCCAGCAGGATCACTGGATCACTGGAGAGGCAGCGCCAGTCACTGCCAGGGCCCAGATCAATCCCCACTGGTCAGTGGAATGGCTCTGCCCATCCTTCCAGTGGAAGAAGCACACGAGGGTCCCGTTTTGTGTTAAAATGGTCCTTGTTATTATCACTAGCCCAGCCTGCATCTGGCTGCAGAGATGTCGGGTGAATCAACTCAGGTATCCCCAGGGAGGCCTGACCTGGCAGCTCGGGACCCCATTTCAGAGCCTGGACCCTGGAGGACTGCTGGGGTGTGGGGTAGTGGGACAAGCCTGGGACACCTGCAAGGATGTGATGTGGGACAAGCCAGAGGCTGGAAGGGTCTGGGACATCTGCCCAGCACTCCCCCGGCACTGCCTGGGCTATCTGCCCACCTGGCAGAAGAACCAATGCTGCCAGGCCTGTTCCCAGGGCTAAGTCCCCCCCCATCCCCCGACATTCTGTATGAGCAAGGGGCTGGGGTGCTGGAACCGTCAAACATTTCACAGATGAGACCAGCTAGGTCTGACACTGTTTCCTGCCGGGGAGCAGCTGCTGCCCCTCCAAGTCTAGCTACACAGAACTGCACAGGCCCCATCGAAGCCCCCCATCCTGGGTCCTGCCTGTCTCAGGAGTCAGAGGGCAATGTGCTCTTCACAGACTGCCCTGGCTGTGACCTTCCAGGGTCAGAATTCCAACCTGATCCCAACAGTTCTTACCTCGGCCACCTGTGACCAGGATCAACCTGCAGAGGGGTGGGCGGGAGGGGCAAGAGTTGCCTGGTTGCGGGGGGTCTTTTCCTGGCAGGCATGGTGGGGGCCAGAGTAGCAAGTCATTTTCCTCCCTCCTGAACTGCAGTGGGGGGCTGCCTGGGGGGGCATCTGGGAACAAGGAAAGGTTCTTCATTTTCAACATTGCCCTTTTTTTATAAAATGATTCTGAAAAGAAACCAAGTGAAAAGAAAAATAACAACCAATAAAACGAGAGGAAACCAACAAAAGTACTTTTGTTGTTGCCTTAGAATTATTTCAAGGGATACGGGCTTTCCACTAGTGCTAGTAATTCAGAATTGCTCTCGTCCTGGGTAAATACTTTTAAGTGGAAAAACTAGCAGAGATGGTCGGTGCTGACTGATGTCTGGGAAACAGTTGCCCAGCTCCATCCGCCCCAATTGCACAAATGGGGAAACTGAGGGGGAAGCCGAGAGAGGGAAGTGAATTCACGCAGATGGTGGGGGCAGGGGTGACCTAAAGGCCCCTGGCCAGACATTTCCACTCCACCATGCTTCTTTCAGCGGCTCAGGAGCTGCCACCAGCACTCTCACCTAGGAGGGAATTTTCATAGTAAAGCCATCCTGCAACGGCTGCCTAGATGAGGACAAGCCATCATCCCTTCGCATGGCTTTGAAGGTTTTGTTCAAGGGGGTCTCGCTGTCATGTGAATGAACTGACCTTCTCTGGGGAGGGGAGGAAGGTCTCCTTACCATAAGCCAGCACAGTCGGAACCACTTCGCTGGCACTTGGCTGGTAAAATTTTTGTCCAGACACCCACCTTCAGTTCCCTTGGGTGTATACCAGTGACAGTGGCCGAGAGGAGGTGTTGAACAGAGAACACTGGGGAAGATGCAGCCTGGGAAAGCAAGGCCCCACATCAGCGGGGTCTGGGCCCTGGGTCCCCAGGCCGGAAGCTGGTTTGGCAGAAGCAGCTCCCTGAGGGGCCAGCACTGCACAGAGCTGTGCCATCCTCTCCCCATAGCGCGGTCATGCCTCACACCCACCTCTGCTCTCACTCCAGAAGCACTGAGCCTCCCCAATAAGTTGAATAAGTTGAAGATGGAGCTGCCCTGTCACCCAGCAATTCCACTCCTGAGCATAGACCCAAGGGAACTGAAAATGGGTGTTCGGGAAAAATGTACACACTCATGTTCGTGGCAACATTATTTACAATAGCCAAAAGATGGAAACAACCCACGTCTATCAACCGACGAATACACAAAACGCAGCATATTCATACAATAGAATATGATTCAGCCATAAAAAGAATGACATTCTGACACAGGCTACAACGTGGGTGAACCTCAAAAACATCACGCTAAGTGAAAGAAGCCAGACACAAAGGCTGCATTGTGTGTGATTCCATTGACAAGAAATGTCCCGAATAGGCAAACTCAGAGAGACAGGAAGGAGGTTAGTGGTGGGCAGGGGCTGGGGGGAGAGGGGGCGTTGGCGGTGACTGCTAATACGTATGGGGCTTCCATTCAGGGTGAGGCAAATGCTGTGGCTACATTTGCAGGTCTGCATTCGTTCAGGTCTGCAGAAACAGAAAACCAAATACTGCATGGTTACACTTACAAGTGGGAGCTAAACGGGGGTACTCACAGACCCAAAAATGGGAACAACAGACATTGGGGACTATGACGGAAGAGGGATGGGGGGAAAGGGCTGGAAAAACTACCTATTGGGTACTATACCCCCTACCTGGGTGATAGACTCATTTGTACTCAAAACCTCAACATCACCCAATATACTTTTGTGGCTGGCCACAGTGGCTCACGCCTGTAGTCCCAGCACTTTGGGAGGCCGAGGCAGGCAGATCACTCGAGGTCAGGAGTTCGAGACCAGCCTGGCCAACATGGTCAAACCCCATCTCTACTAAAAATGCAAAATTAGCCAGGCATGTTGGCGGGCGCCTGTAGTCCCAGCTACCCAGGAGGCTGAGGCATGAGAATTGCTGGAACCCGGGAGGCAGAGGTTGCAGTGAGCCAAGATTGTGCCACTGCACTCCAGCCCAGACAACAGAGTGAAACTCTGTCTCAAAAAAAAAAAAAAATTAGCCAGCCATGGTGGCGGGTGCCTGTAGTCCCAGCTACTCAGGAGGCTGAGGCAGGAGAATCCTTGAACTCAGGAGGCAGAGGTTGCAGTGAGCCAAGATCATGCCACTGCACTCCAGCCTGGGTGACAGAGTGAGATTCCAATAAAAAAAAAAATTATATATATATATATGTGTGTGTGTGTGTATATATATATATGTGTATATATATATGTATATGTATGTGTATATATGTATATGTGTGTGTATATATGTATGTGTGTGTGTGTGTGTGTGTATATATATATATATATATATATGAAGAAAGAGAGAGAAAGAGAAAAGAGCACAAACCTGCACATGTACCCCGATTCTAAAATAAAAATTGAAAAAAAGAAAATGTTCTAGGACTAGAGAGAGGTGGTGGCTGCACAGCAAAGTGAGCACCAGTCGGCACTAATGGTAAATGTTATGTTATGTGTTTAACATAATTTAAAAAAAGAAAGTGGACTAACAGGATGGAGCAGTGGGCAGTGGGAGGCTCTGGGGCTGGACCAGGGGACAACTGCTGCTTGGCAGCACCCTGGCCCCAGAGAACAGGAGATCTTGAAGGACAAAGGAGGCCTGCAGGCTCAGGCTCCGAACTGTCCAGTGTGATCCTCAGACACCCTAGAGGGACAAACACCTCAAGTGCACGGGGTTCCTCCTCCAGCTGAATGTGGAGAGGGAAAGGGACACAAGAGATCCTAGCACTGGGATGTCCTCAGGCTTTGCATCTCCACCTAGAGTCAGCTTAGTTCTGGAGTGGTTCCAACTAGGCTCAAGGCCAGGTTCTGCCACTGATAGGCTGTGTGATTTGGAACAAATCACTCAACCTCTCTGGGCCTCAGTTTCCTCGAGGATAAAATGGGAATGATATTGGGAGACTGAGGTGGGAGGATTGCTTGAGTTCAGGAGTTCAAGACCAGCCTGGAAAACATAGCAAGACATTATCTCTACTACAAATAAAACAAATTAGCCAGGCAGGGTGGTACATACCTCTATTCTCAGCTACTCAGAAGGCTGAGGCAGGAGGATTCTTGAGCCCAGGAGGTTGAGGCTACAGTGAGCTATGATCACACCACTAAACTCCAGCCTGGGCAAAAAAGTGAGACCCTGACTCAAAATTTTTAAAAATGGGGGTGATACTAGGACTGGGTTCATGGAGATGATGTGAGGATTAAAAAGGGAGCTCTCCTATGGTATTTTAGAACAGGACTTGGCATATAGTTAAGTATCTCAGAAAATACTCGTTGTTATTCTATTCATTCACAACAGATCTTTGGAGGACCTGCTACATGCTGGGACAGAACTTCAAACCAGAACTGAGTGGACTTGCCATGCTCCCCACGGGTCTGCCTTCTAGTCCGATTTCATTTGCAGGAAGGAGACCTCCCTTGAACAGGTGGACCACAGATACACCAAGTGCAGCCAATGCTAAGAAAACTTATACACATTGGTCATCAAACTCTATTCATACACATCTATAGCAAGGAGAGCTTTAGAAACTGTGTTAGTTTCCTAGGGGTGCCATGACAAATCGCCATGGACTGGACGGCTTCTAGCAGCAGAAACGTATTTTCTCATGGCCCTGGAGACCAGAAGTCCAAAACCAAGGTGCCAGCAGAACCACGCTTCCTCTGAAGGCTCAACAAGGTGCCAGCGGAACCATGCTTCCTCTGAAGGCTCAACAGAAGGTGATGCTGGAAACCCACTGTCGTACAGAAAGGAGAGTGAGAGGAAAGAGGGAATCTCGAGTCACGAGTCACATCCAGATGAGTCCAGACAACACTCCTTTAAACAGGGGGTCCAGGGCCTGGGGTGAGTAAACATAATTCAGGGGTCCATGAATGTGCATGGAAAAAACTCACATCATGAAACCCCAGCTGAAATAGAGCATCACAAACTGAAGCAGCAAACCTATGTGTGTCAGCAGGACCTGTGATCTTGCCTCCAAGAGAAGCACAGGTATTTTTATATCCCATTCCCATTTTTTCAGATCTCGAAATATCATTTACGCTCACCATGACCTCAGAATGATGCCTGTTTTATACCCCACTGTATCTTGGTATTTAAGCATGTTGGAAAAGCAAATTACCATATCTCAAATTTCTTTTTCCTTATATTTTGATATCTGGAGTTCAATAAAATTGGTTTCTTTTGTCATCCTCTGTATTTTACGATATGCATTTAAAAGACATTTTTCTCAGACAACTTCATCTAACTACTAAAAGGACCCGTGGCACGAAATGGGTTAAGAATCGTTGTTTTAAAGGAGGTACTCGCCCTACCCCCGCCCACCACCGTTCACTCACTTCTGGGGCACTGGAGACTTTCACGCCCACCCGTTCACTCACGCGATCACTCATTCAACAAATGTGCATTGAGCACGTGCTCTCCGTCAGGCATGGGACGAGGGCCCGGCATTTTGGAGCTTCCAGCCTAGCAGCCTAATAAAAGCAGCAGACATTTATCAACTAATCCCACCACAGAGTCCGTAATCACACACTGCAGTGAGCTCCGTGAACACAAAACTTAGGGGGCACAGGGAGCTCACACCTGGAAACTGGATGCAGTCCGGAAGAGAGATGGGAGTCCAGGAAGTAGTGTTGGAGCTGACATGCTCTGCATTCCATTCCCTAGGAGCATGCCTGTCTAAGAGTAAGGTGCATGTCCTTTTTAAAAACTTCTGCTTGAACCAAGAGGTCAATGCTGGGGTATCTGGGACTCATTCCTACCCTCTGACTCCAGGCCATCTAAGGCCAGAAGTTTTGCTCACGTGGGTTTGTTTTTGTTTCTGCTTTTTCAAACTGCCCATAGATGAGGCTTACTTGCAAGGAAGCTTAGCAGGGCCCATAAAATGCACTACTGAGTCCCAGTAAGATGTCAGCTCTAATAACAGCCCTGTCAAAAGGAAGTAGGTAGCTGGGAACATGCCATTAACCCAAATAGCACTTCTGTGAGGGCTGTTCTACCACGGATGCCATGGAAATGACAGGGACTTGGGCCAAAACCAGCCCCAGTTCACTCCCTCACCCCAGGGTGACAGCCATAGCCCAGAGACACTCAACGTGTTAGGCAGGGTTTTGTTGCAGAGAACAGAATCCACTCCAGTTCGGTGAAGCAGAGTTGTTTTTCCCAGGGGCAAAGTCCTTACAGAATCACCAGAAGGTGGAAGGAATGAGCTCTACAGGTCAACGTTCCGGAAACGACCCTGCAAGCCACATGGCAGATCCAGGGCACCAAGGGAGCTGTTTTCTCTTGTAAGATGAAGATGCCACCAGCTGAATTGGGATGTTGTCACCACAGCTGCTAGCTCCAAAATCACGCCACAACCACCATCTGGAAGCCACTGCAATAAGGCAGCCACTACAATCAAGAAAAAGCCATAATCCACAGGCCACCCCTACTGCACCAATGCCTGCGGCATCCCACCCCTTGAAGCCAGTACCACAAGGCCTGCTCTCCACTTCCCCCCAACAAACCATGAGCAGGCAGTGGGGCCTCGGTAACACCATCTCGCGAAAGCCGGGCACCTCCACGGCAGCGCTCGCCGGGAGGATGAGCAGAGGGTAGCCCTGGCTTACCTCTCCCTTCCGCATTCACATAAGTGCCCCCAGGCTGCCACACTCAATTCTGGGACTCTAGTGCCATCAGGGAAGACGCATGCCATCCTGTTGGTCCTATGGAAAGGCAAGGATGCTGGCTGAAACAAAAGACAGCCATCTAATCACTATGAGAAGACCACCTGAGAACAAACGCAACACAGGCAAATACAGAGCCAAGAGATGAAAAGAAAGAGACGAGGATCCAGTGGAACTCCCTAAGTTCCTGGATCCAACCATTCCTGACGCCAGAAACCCTAAACTTTTCCTTTATAGAAACCAAATGGGAATTTTTTTTCTTAAAGCCGTTTGACTTAAGTTTCTGTTGCCTGCAACCAAAAGATCCTGACTATGACTATAATTCAATCCCCAAGGCCAGAGAGCCTTAGCCCTATCCTTGGGAACATATGTCAGAACAAATCAGAACATCACAGAACCCCCTGGCCTGGCTACTCATCCACACCACAAAATCTCACACTCTTCCCTAACAGTTTCCAAGCCTGGGACTTCATCTCATCTTTCTTTCTCTCTCTCTTTCCCCACCCCAAAACTGAATTGTCCATCCATCACCTCCTCCAGGAAGCTTTCCCTGACCTTCCCATACCAGGCATCTCAATTCTGCCTCACCCCGCCCCTCACCATGCTCTCCCTGAACACGTTATTACCATAATAGTTACCACATTAGACTGAAACTCAGTCTCCCTCTAGAGAATGTAAATCTTTTGAGGACATCTTTCATCTTCTATTCCAGGCGCCACATCAGAGACTGGGTTGGTGTGGGGTTCTGCTGATCTTTTCTTAACAAAGGAATGAATGCATCTCCTTCAGGCCTACCATCTGCTTCACCTCCCCTGTCTCTTAACAATACCCTGATTCCCTTCTTTCTCAGCATTCTCAACACTTTTAAATACAAACACCCAGGGTTTTGAGAGGAAATAAATCAATACAGGTCTGTAAAACGTCCCATGTGGGTGAAACGTCGGTGCTGACCGCCCCACCTGTCACGGATCAACTTTTCTCAGCCTTTTCTTCCGTGCATTTCTCTGGCCTTCGGAGCTTTCCGAACAAAATGTTTCTCAAAAATTGAGCCCAGAAAACAGAAGCACCAGACTTATCAAAATAGCCATCTGAATGCACTGCAATAAACAAGCAAATACAAAATCAACACCTAATGCTCCCGGGAATTAACTTCAGCAGAAAAGCCCAAAGCTTGAAGAAAAGGGAACAGGGACAGAAAACCAAATTACACGCAGCAGAGAAAGCAAAGCCCACATCTGAGACTGCGTTTTTGTTTTTTTGGTTTTTTTTTGTTTTTTTTTTGGTTTTTTTTTTTTGAGACGGAGTCTTGCTCTGTAACCCAGGCTGGAGTGCAGTGGTGCGATCTCGGCTCACTGCAAGCTCCGCCTCCCAGGTTCACGCCATTCTCCTGCCTCAGCCTCCCAAGTAGCTGGGACCATCTGAGACTGTTTTGACAAACAGAGGCGACCACTTGAGAGAAAATATGCAATAACCTCCCAGAAATGTCCCCAACATCTTTGTCCTCAGAAGTCAGGCCCTTTAGAAAAAAAAGAGAGGAGAAGAAGAGGAAGAACTACAAAATCCAAATACAACCAAGTCTGGTTTAGAAAAATAAATAAGTGCAGCTGCTCTATGCTCCCTGGATCTTGGGCTTTTGTGACCTTCTCTGGTGACATACACTAAAGACTTGGTCTTGGGACATCGAGTCTGCTCCTGAAGTCATGGCCCCTCTAAGGAACCAGCGGAGGAGGCCATGACAGCAGAGGAACCCTGGTCTGTTCATTCAACACCATCAACCAAGCATCCACCATGTACCACAACAGCACCAAGCACAAGGGATGCCACTGCCTGCAAATATCAGTGCTGGTGCTGTGAAGTTCACCACCCAGGAGGCAAATGCAACTTTAAGTACGCCAACGTGGCCGGGCATGGTGGCTCACACCTGCAATCCCAGCACTTTGGGAGGCTGAGGCAGGCAGATCACCTGAGGCCAGGAGTTCGAGACAAGCCTAGCCAACACGGTGAAACCCCATCTCTACTAAAAATACAAAAATTAGCTGGGCGTGGTGGTGGGCGCTGGTAATCCCAGCTACTTGGGAGGCTGAGGCACGAGAATTGCTTGAACCCAGGAGGCGGAGGTTGCAATGAGCAGAGATCACGCCACTGCACTCCAGCCTGGGCAACAGAGTGAAGCCCTTCTCAAAAAAATAAAAATAAAAAAGTTTGCCAACTTATCCTGGCAAGCTATCACATCTAGGAAGGAAATGAACAGGGTGGTAGGAGAGAGAACAGGGGAGGCCTGCTTGGGCTGGGGCGGTGCAGGAAAGCCTGTCTGAAGTGAGAACACTGACGTCACAGCTAAAGGATCCAGGGTGAGCCAGTGGCAGCAGCAAAGCCACAGCCCCTTGGTGCCCCCTGGAGGTCACCTGCGGCACTGGTGACGGCCCCAGGATGCTAACAACCTCCTACCTGGAACACCTACCTCTCTCTACCTGGGCTCTCTCTCTGGCCATATTAGCATTCTAAGCCTGCTGCTGGCAGTGTCAGCAAGTCGATGCTTCTGGGTAGAACCCAAATAGAGAAGGGAGGAAGGCCAATGGATCAATATCCCAGCTCCTTCATGCCTCTTTAGGACACTCAGTGGGGCTTGAGCCCCAGCTGCCCACAGCAGTGACCTGCTCACTCACTCACACACCTGTGCTTGTCTTTCCTCCCTCTCCTGCTCCACTCCTGCTCCCGCACCATCCTGCCTGCAAGCACCTCTCCGATGCACTACAGGTACCCAAATCTTTGTCTTGGGGTCTGCTTTTGGAAAGACCTAAGTTCAGACAACCATGAAAATACGGAAAAGGAAAAAGCCTATCTAAGGCCCTAAGGGCAAAGAGCTTGGCTTTTCAAAAGACAGAGAAGCCAGGGTAAGTGGCCAGGAAAGGTGCAGGAGACAGCTTGAAGTGGTGCAGGATACATCAGGTGGGGCCAGGCTGGATGGGCTTCTGCAGCTGGCCTGGGGAACCAGGACTCTGTCCCAGGGGCAGCAGTGGGGAGGCTCTAAGGTAGCACCGTATACAGACAAGAGACATGATGCAACTGCCTCTGTAAAGGACTCCATGGGTCTCATGTGTCCATTAACGGATGGCAGATAAACTTATACCCGATAAGCAGAATGTGGTCTACCCCAACAATGGAATAGGGTTAAACTATAAAAAGGAATTGACCGGGAGCGGTGGCTCACACCTGTAATCCCAAGAATTTGGGAGGCCAAGGTATGTGGATCACTTGAGGTCATGAGTTTGAGAACAGCCTGGCTAACATGGCAAAATCCCATCTCAACTAAAAAACAAAAAAAACAAAAAAAAATAGCTGGGCGTGGTGGTATGCACCTGTAATCCCAGCTACTCAGGAGGCTGAGGCACAAGAATCACTTGAACCTGGGAGGAGGGGGTTGCAGTGAGCCAAGATCACACCACTGCACTCCACCCTGGGCAATAGAGAGAGATTCCGTCTCAAAAAAACAAAAAAACAAACAAACAAACAAAAAATTCAACTATTAAAAGGAATGAAGTGCTGGTCCGGCACAGTGGCTCATGCCTGTAATCCCAGCACTTTGGAAGGCTAAGGTGGGCGGATCACTTGAGGTCAGGAGTTCAAGACCAGCCTGGCCAACATGGTGAAATCCTGTCTCTACTAAAAATACAACATTAATCGGGCATGGTGGTGGACGCCTGTGGCCCCAGCTACTCGGGAGGCTGAGGCAGGAGGATCGCTTTAACCCAGCAGACAGAGGTTGCAGTGAGCCGAGATTGTGCCACTGCACTCCAGCCTGGACAACAGAGCAAGACTCTCTCCAAAAAAAAAAAAAAAAAAAAGGAATGAAGTGCTGATAAACATTACAACATAGATAGACCTCAAAACTGTTATGTTATGTGAAAGAAGCCAGACACAAAGGGTCACATATTTGTACGAGTCAATTTACATAAAATACCCAAACTTGGCCAATCCATAAAGACAGAGAGCGGATCAGTGATTGCTGGGGCTGGGGCAGAGGATTAGGGAGTGGCTGCTCAATGAGTATGGGGTTTCCTTTTGGGGGATGAAAGTGTTTTGGAAGTAGGTAGAGATGGTGGTTGCACAACGTTGTGAATGTATTAAGTAACACTGAATGGTTCGGTTTAAAGTAGTTAATTTTATGTTATATAAATTTCACCTCAGCTTAAAAAAAAAAAAAAATCCAGCAGCAAGAGCCTCCATGGGCCCACAGGTGGATAATCAGCCAGCTGGAAGGAAGAGGGAGAGATGACAGCAGCTGGGACAAAGGTGGGATCCATGGAGGTGAAGAGAAGTGTAACATTTGAGATATAGTTTGGAGGTTCCAAATCATAATTTGGCACTCCCAGGCTAGTCCCAGCTTTGGCAGGACATCATGTGAGAGTTTGTGGACTCTGTCTTTATTTGCTGCCTGACCTGGGTTGAACTTCCCACAAGCCCCTAATTGTAAAGGTGAGAAATGCAAATGCAGCCTCTCCCAGGGGCACCACCATCCAGAGTCCACCATGACCACCAGTGAGTGGCAGCTGCAGCACAGCTCCCTGGAACTGGGGGATCACAGTTAAGAAGGAAGCCAAACTAGCATGCAGAGGCTTAGGAATATTCACCAACCCCATGATGCTACAGGCTCTAGGAGCAGGATCAGCTGCAAAGAGTACGCTGGAAAGAGATCTGTCAGTTCAACCCCTTCCTCACAACTACATTGTTCACAATGCCCCCTCAGCTCTCCCCACACCCCATTTATCCCCACAACAGCCTGCACCCTAAGATAAAGCAACTGGAATATTAAACAAAGAGATAGGGGATAGAGGAAGAGCCTTGCCTCCCAGTGAGCAGAGAAGTCCATCTGGAGGTGTTATCATTTTAGGTGCATCCTGGTGTCTGGTGACACACAGAACCTTCTCATGAACAGCGCCAAGGACCTATCTGATCCCATCTTGAACAGAGGACATCTCTCGGATTGTGGCTCCTGAACCCCCTTCATCAGAATCACCTGTACTGCTTGCTGAAAATACAGATCCCTGAGCAAGGCTCAGAACCTGAAGGGACCGAGGGGGGTTGGTACAACATGGATCGTTGGGCCCCACTTGACTCGGCAGGTGGGGCCCGAGAATGTACATTTCTAACAGGCTTCCAGGGAGTGCTGATGTGGCCAGTGCAGGACCCCACATGGAGAACCACTGTGTAGTCTATCATGAGTTGGTTTCAGCGGGAGGTGATGGGGAAAACCTCACCTTCTCTAGTTCACAGGGCTGAGTCATTAGGTTGGGAGGAAGCGCCATGGAAAATAGGGGGTTGGGTCCTTTGCAGTGGTGTCACAGGATGGGACATTTTCAACTGGACCAACAAGAATTGTGTGATCAGGAAAAGCAAACAGTCAGGAAGTGGGGAAAGGCAAAGATACAAGAGGAGGATGCAAAAACTATGAACTTCATCACATCACACACAGCCCAGCACTATCCCTGGCCACAGCCACTTGCCCACAGACAGAATATAATCCAGGAAATATTTACAAAGACCAACTGCCTGCCAGGAGCTGTGCTATGAGAGTCCCAGGAAAAATATCTACATCCCTGACTACAGCAATCCTTTGGTGTCCAGTGGGAAAGACAAACTCTTATATACATCTTCATAATAAGAAGCCAGTAAGAGAAATTCCTATCCCCTATAAAATCAGCAAAAAATTCCATGATCAGACCACAAGCGCTCATGAAACGGCTGCTATGGGCCAGCACCATGCCAGGATCTACGGGGAGGCAGTTGAATAAGAGAGAGTCCGCTGACCTGGAGGTTCAGGCTCCAGGAAGAGGGTCCTTAGCATAAAGCATTATCAATTCAGCAGTGGCTGAGAAGCTCTGCATCCACGAGCCCAATCAAAGGGAGAAGCCCCAAGCCTACTAGTGGAAAAGTCTGTTTTGATTCAGACTAAATGGCCAAATCCTGGTCCTAGAAGATATTTTCAATTGCCTATGCCAACATCCTTCCACCCCTTTCTTGTTAAAAAGGGAACCCCAAGTTTATTTGAGGCAGCTGAAAATTTCTTTTTCTGTCCTTCCCTGCAGCTAAGCGTGGCCATTGACTATGAGTCATTGACTTCTGGTCAATGAGATATAAGTAAAAGCATGGGGTGGGACTTCTCAGAAGACAGCTTAAAAACAGTCAAAATGGCTATTGGGACATCTGCTTCCTCCAGGGCCTGCCTGGAAGGTGGAGATGATGGCCAGAACTCTGGGAGCCATCTTCAACCATGAGGTGACCATGAGGATGGAAGTCACAAGCCAAAGATGGCAGAGCAGAAACTAGAAGGATCTTGGGTCTTTTTGACATCATGGAGCCACCACATTAGAGGTGAGAGATGGAAATTAACTTCTATCCTGTATAATCCCTTATTATTTTGGTTTTCTCTGCTACACACATCCAAACCTACTTCTACATGACTGTTGAGGGACCAGTAACCACTTTGTTTCAGACACTGGGGTGAGTTAAAAATCCTAGTCCTGGCCTGGATAAGTCCCTTTTGCCAAGATTAACACACTGACCTACCTAGGGAAACAAACACCCCAAGCCAGGGACATCAGAGACACATATACAGGCCACAATGACACTCACAGTGGTATGGAATCACTGAACTGGAAAGGTCTTGAAGACCATCTGATCCAACCAACCCATTTCACAGATTAAGAAGTTGAGACTCTTGGGAAAAAAAATGATTTTCCCAACTTCTCCAGGCTAGAGCTTTTTATACCAAAGTAACTTTCATCAGAAAGATCTTCTTATTAGCTAGAAGAGTCCATGATAATACTTTTGCCAGATCTAAAAACAGAAAAGAACAACATAGCCATTTCACTGAACACCTCAATTAATTAATTGCCCAAACAAGTCAAGCTTGAAGCTTGGGTCCTTAGGAAAAACATGAGAGCTACTTACACATTTATGAGAGAGAAAAAATGCACAATGTGACTTTGTACATTTAACCCTGTCCCAATATTTATAGCACATCCCTGTCTGTCTGGCAAGCAGGTGTCAATTCTATATTTGTGCCCAGGACTTTCTCCTAATGCCAATTTATAATTCAACTAATCAGGAGATGTTTATTGGCTGGGAATTCATCAGGAAAATTCCATGATCAGGAATTCTCTATTACAGATATTTGTCTCAAAAAAAAAAAGGTAAGTGAAAAGTGATAAAAGCAAAAAATTATTTTTTTTCAAGAAGATATTCTTAGAAGAGAATATTTAAGAAATCAACTGACTGTAATATGGGACTGCCACCTCACTTTCAAACTTCTATCTTCTTCAAATGGACACACTCTACTGGAGAGCTCCAAAAAGAATTAAACAAAAGAATCTAAGCAAAGAACCATGAGATGGTGATAACACAAAGGAAAGGCAAAGATGTTCACATCAGCATTGTTTATAATGAGGAAAAAAACTAGAAACAACATAAACTCCCATCAATGGAGAGATTTTTTAAAATAAATTATAATATATGAAGACGATGACCACTACACAGCTATTACAAAGGGTAAGGTAGATCTATATATGCGTAAGTGTGTAAAGTTCTAGAATATAAACTATTTTATATCAAAGTGCAAAAAAGTATGTATACTGTGCCTTCCTTCACATAGATTTTTAAAAAACACACACACCCATACATGGACTGGTTTGTGCATATATTTTTCTAGAATTATGGAGAGGTGGTATTTTTAGAGTGAAAGACTGAGTTTTGGTGGGGGGGGGACACAAAAGAAGTTTTATTTTGTAACTTTACTATTTGAACTGTTTTTACGAAGTACATGCATTTTTTTAAAGTATTAATAGGGATCGGTACAAAGATTGTAAGCCTTTGGGTTTTTTTTTTAATTTAAAGAAAAAGATGTATAAGCAATTGCTTTCAAACTCTGTTCTGTGAAATCCTAGAATTTAAAAAATATGCCTTAGCAAGCTTCTACCCTGGTTCCAATCAGAGCGGCTGTGTTTTCTAGCCTATGTTCCTGCATAATATTTCTTAGGGGGAGAAAAGAGTTCCACCACTAAAAAATATGTTTCAAAATCCACTGGGACATGGGCAATATAAATGTGCCAGATTATTCACATCGCTTCTATTAAGACAAACATGCTCAAATACTCCTGTGTGGACCAAAGTAAGCTCTGGAGTTCCAGTTCTTAGAGCTCAATGTAGTCCAAAAACCCCACATTTCTTGGACCACAGAAGGTCACTCATGCAGTAGGTTGAACAGTGGCCCCTTCACCTCAAAACTCATGTCCGCCCAGAAAATACAGCCTTGGCAGATGTCATTAGTTAAGGTGAGGTCATACTGCATTGGGGTGGGCCTTAAATTCAATGACTGGGGTCCTTATGAGAAGAGGAGCAGGACACAGATATACACACACACACACACACACACACACACACGGAAGACAGCCACGTGAAGACAGAGGCAGAGACAGGAGCGAGGCAACTGCAACCAAGGTACGCCAAGGATTGCCAGAAGCCACCAGGAGCTGGAAGAGGCAAGGAAGGAGCCTCCCCTAGAGCCTCCGGAGGGAGCACGGCCCTACCAAAAACTTGGTTTCTGAATTCTGGCCTCCAGAATCGCAAAATAATAAATTTCTGTTTTGTTAAGCCACCAGATTTGTGGCAATTTGATATGGCAGCCATAGGAAATTAGTATAACTCACCAAAGGGACAGGTGGTGTAAACAACAGTATGGACAGGCCACGAACCAACAACCAGACCAAGAGAGATTCACCTTTATCTTCACTGTTGCAGGGGTTATTGAACTCTAGCGTGCTCAGCATCACCTGGAAGACTTGATAAAACACAGATGTGTGGCTCACGCCTGTAATCCCAGCACTTTGCGAGGCCGAGGCGGGCGGATCATGAGGTCAGGAGATCGAGACCATCCTAGCTAACAAGGTGAAACCCCGTCTCTACTGAAAAAAAAAAAAAATACACACAAAAAAACCACAAAAATTAGACGGGCGTGGTGGCAGGCGCCTGTAGTCCCAGCTACTCAGGAGGCTGAGGCAAGAGAATGGCATGAACCCAGGAGGCGGAGCTTGCAGTGAGCCGAGATTACGCCACTGCACTCCAGCCTGGGCAACAGAGCGAGACTCCGTCTCAGAAAAAATAAAAAAATGAGAAAAAAAAAACCACAGATGCCTGGGCCCCACCTGCAGAGCTTCCAGTTGCATGGGTCCAGGGCGAGGCCTGAGGACCTGCATTTCTAACGGGTCTCCAGATGCTGTCGCTGCAGTCCAGGAGCCACACTTGAAGCAGCATTGCTCCACCGCTTCACACAGAGGAGAAGCCAACACACCCCTCCCCGCAGCGCCAACCTGAGAAGCACCACCTCCTTCTCCTTAACATGTTAGCCTCACGTGTAAGGTTTTTTAACAAAAGTTTCTACAACCAGCAATTAAAAAAAGAAACTAGAGGAAATCTGCAGTGTCTCCTCTCCTCCCAAAATACCTTAGACTGTGAGGAGACATCTGTTGTTTTTGCCTGCCCGGGCTCCAGTCCTCCTTCTTCTGTTCATCTTGCCCAGCTTTCCTTTGAGGAACCATCCTCCGCCCTGTTCCCGGCCCTTGTCCTTCAGGGAGATTGGTGCCACCCCAGCATGTGACCTAAGGCTGCTCCTGCCCCGGCATTTTCTATCCTCCTGAGCACAATAATAAGTGGTTCTGGAATGGGCACATGCCCTTAGGGAGACCCTTTAGACGAAATTATGAGAGGAATGATTAATCTATCGAGCAATAGCTGTTCTCTTTCCACTGGGATTGCACAGCTAGGCGACTGGGAGCGTGCAAGGCCGGGAACATCAGCAGCCATCCTGATATCTCATGAGGAAAACCTGTGCAGAAACACAGCCAACAGAAGCCAGCAAAGCCAGGAGTCACAGAGGACATTCCCAGTGTTACTGTTTGAGCCCCTGGATTCAGCTATGCCTGAAGCTGCAACACGAGAATATCTGTGCCTTGATTTTTTCAGTGCTGAGTCAATAAATTATTTGACTATTTTTCTATAGATAGATGACAGATAAATGATAGATGACAGATAGATAGATACATTGATGCACAGGTAGGTAGATAGAATTTACTTATGTATTTAGCCAGTTACAGTGGGTTTCTCTTAATGGCAACCACAAGATTTTCAACTAGTACAGATTAAAACGTTGTGTTCTAAGAGGCAGGTAATGGAAGAGGAATGAACCTAGTGACGGTAAGGACCTTCGAGGCCAGGACTCACCGCACTGACTGAATCACAGGCACAAAATATAAGTATGCTCTAATGTAGTAAAGTGCCGAGAGTTCAAAAGCAAGTCCTGGATCAAGTGTTAAAATATTAAAGAATTCCCCAGAAAGACTTCTAGAAAATGGTGACCTTATCCATCAGCACGCATTTGGCTGAAATAACAGAAAAACCCACTAAAAGCAGCTTAAGCCATAAGGACATGCGTTATTTACTTAACGAGAAACTCGGAGGTGGGCGGTGGCCAGGCTGCTTAAGAGACTCAATTGCGTCATGAGGGACCCAGGCTTCCTTCCAGCTCCCTGTCTGCCCTCCTCGGTGTGCTGGCAAGGTCTCCCTCGCCCGCGGCACCATAGCTATGCAGCTCTAGTTGGTCAGGTCCTCAGGGTCTGCATCCAGGCAGGAAAGATGGGAAAAGAAGAAGATTTTCTCCTCCTACACTCCTCTCTTAGGGAGAGAATTAGTCAAAGAAGCCCCAGTACACAGGCTCTTCTATCTCATGGGCTAGCACCTGGTCACGTGGCCACTTCTAAACCAATCACTGGAAAACAGGGAAGTGATTGATACATCGGTTTGGACCAATCAGGATCCCTCTCTGGAGCTGGGCCCATCACCTCCTAAACAAAATGTTATTCTAGCAGCCAACAGGGGGTCGGCCGCTGTGGGTAGGCACCAGTGACGTCTGCTGCAGAGAGCATTCGATCCAACCCTCCATGCACCATGTCCCCACACGTTCCAACCACAGAATTGATCCTAACAAGCCTGAACAGGTCCAGCTCCGCCCACCAGCCCTGTGGCAGAAGCAACTGAGTTTTATCCTCCCTGTGTTTTCCAATCAATCTGGTCAAAACAGAAGCACGGCAGAAATGCTGAGGTCAGGAGAGCATCAAAACCCAAATTGTTCGACTCTTCCCCCAGATCTTTTCTGGGCCAAGAGAGTTGCTGCTGCCTTCCCACCCCAGAGGTGCTGACCTCCACAACTCTCCATTAATCAAGAGCCCAGGGCCAAATCCCTCCTCACTCGCCTACCATCTGCAATTGTTCACACACACGTGGTCCTGGAGCCCCGGGGTGCTAACGAGGGCAGCGGGGTGAAGAGCCAGAGGCCAAGGGAATTCTGGCCAGTCCGAGCTCATTGAGGCCTCACAGTCCATCTTTCTGAGGCTCGGAAACCGAGAGGCGGAAACAGGGGGTCTTCCATGTCAGTGGCTCCCAGGAACTTTGCTAATGAGGTGGCAGATTCCAGCTACTCTTGATGTCTTGATTTGGGATCCCCCAGAAGCAGATCTGAGACAATAATTAGAGTACAGGTGTTTCATTTGGAGATGATTCCAGGAAGCATCGTGTGAGGAATAGAGAAATGCAAAGAGAGAAAAAAGAAGTCAACAAAGGGTACGTTATCAAGCCAGGACAGTGCTGTGGCACAGAACACTGCAGGCAACTAGTGCCCAGTCCTGCTGAGCAACACTGGGCAACACTGGGACACAGTGTGGAGATTCACTTTGGAGTTATCCCACCCCATGGAGCTGGTCTCCTGGAGGTCATTCATTCCTGGTACTTTTGTTCAGCCCTACACACAACCAGAGCAGCTCTGATGGCCACATTGAAACTCACAGGTGTCAATCGTGGAATGCTGGACCTGCACAAGAATGGCAAGGGGGTGAGGGCAGGGAGGGAGAGCATGCTGAATCTGCCTTGGTCCCTAAGCTGCTGATTCTATGTGATCCTGAGAGAGGGGAGACACTGAGCTCAAGAGGGAACCATCCTAATAGATCTCCAAAGCACCAGCAACCCCACCCCTCTTGGACTCAAGGGAGTCTGCCCTTTGCTGCCCAGCAGGTATTTCCAACCCTACCCAGTATCCAGATCCAGTCACAAGAGCCCACAGAGCACAGTCATTAAAATGACAGGTTATGGACCCAGACCACCTGGGTCTGAATCCCAGCTCTGCCACCCTGGAGCTGTGTGTCCTTGACTAAGCTCTTCAACCTCTCTGTGCCTCATTTTCCCCATCTATAAAATGGGGATAATGAAGTGCCTTTCTCGTGGGGTTTTGTGAGGATTAAATGAGTTAATACATGTGAAGTGCTTCCTGCCACAAGACCTCAACAAATGCAGCCAGTATTAAATCCCCATGGAACCTGGCTCTCGCTGTCCCCTTTCAAGCCAGGACAGTGCTGTGGCACAGAACACTGCAGGCAACTGGGCCGCAGTCCCACTGGGCAATGCTGGGAGACAGTGCCAAAAATCACTTTGGAGTGAACCCACCCCAAGGAGCTGGTCTCCTGGAGGTCACTCACTCCTGGCACTTTTGTTCATCACTGCCTCACATACCGGGAACATCCTTAAGTGAAAATGGAATTTTCAATATTATTGCTACCTAACACCGTTACAGCACTTAACAGTTTATGACACATGTAATTATCCACTATTATAATAACCACCAGTCCCCAAGGGCCTAGAAAGCACTAGGCACAGCTAGGCGTTAAACATGCATCACCTCTAATCCTAGAGAACTCTCCCTCTAAAATGTGACATCTGGGACCTGGTGAGATTGATTTTCCCCCCAGTGCCGGCATAGCACTGGCTGAATGAATACATGAAGGAATGACCAATCCAATAAACCCTGACACGTAGATTTTACCCCACTTTACAGATGAGAAAACTGAGGACCTAGGAAGAGTGGACTTTCCCAAGGGAACCAGCAATGCTCAGATTTGAATCTATGCCTATCCCTAATTCTAAAGCTAACCTCTTACCACTGTGCCCGTGAGGCCTTCTTAATGGACTCTCCCGATTCCCCTGTCTGGAAGGAAGTAGACATGAGAACCACAAAATCTTAGGCATTTGCTGACCATTTTTATGCCTCAGTTTCCTCATCTACAAAATGGGACAGACAATAGTGCCTTTCTCAGAAGGATTGCTGTGTGAAGATTAAATGTGGGAATGTGTATATAGAGCTTAAGACACTGCTCAAGAGATGGTAGCAAGTAGGAAAGTGTCACAGCCAGTGCTCAAGAAATGTCAACTAATATTATCAGCTCCAAACCCTTAACAAAGAGGGTAAGTAGCAGGGCCAAGGTGGAGCTGGGGCTGGAAGCTGGGGTACTAACTCCCACTCAGGGCCCTTTATTTGCTCTGTCACAACTCTGTGTGACTCTGTCGTATGCAAATTTGACACCCTTAGCTGAGAGCAAGCTACTACATGGATGGGGAGTTGATGCTGCTGCTGCATTTAAATGAAAACCAAACAGGTATACTTGAAACTAGCCCACAAAGAGGTACACACAAGGACACTATCGGTATTCTTTTTTGCATAAGGCAAAGACTAGAAATAGTGCAAATGTCCATCAGAGGGTAAAATGGAATTTGTAGGTTGATAGGAAGCTAAGAGCAGAATTATTATACTAGAAAACCTAGATCCTGTCTGCTTGCTCCCCTAGGATGGTGATTTGACCATACTGTTTGTCCTGGGCCCACAGGTGGACTACATTTCCCAGCCTCCCTTGCAGCTAGGAGTGGTCATGTGACTGAGCCTGAATTAATGGAACGCAAGTAAGAAGGAGGTGCACTACTTCCAGACCTGGCGCATATATGGGAATGTGCAAATTTGTTTTCCTATATGCAGAGACCCAGCACAGAATTGCAAGCCCCGCGGAGGTAAGTGAGCTGCAAGATGAAAGAACCCTGAGTCCCCATGTGGAAGGCTTGCCTCACACTCTGATTGAACTGTTCCATGGAAAAGAAACAAACTTCTATTGGACTAAACCACTGAGATGTGGGAGTTGTTTGTTAGAGCAGTCAGCCCACTGCGATAGAGTTAAGTTCTTCCAGAAACATGATGGAAATCCAAAATATAAAAAAGGCATAGCACAGCCAGAAATGAACTTCCCACCTCTAGCAAAACTTGCCTATGTGCAAGGCTGGCTTCGTGTGTGAGTGGCCTGTGCTGTCACACAGGGACCTGATCTCAGAAAGCCCTTATCCTTGACTTAATGCTCTGCTATCGCCCTCTTGAAATTCTTGACAGTTTTCTAACCTGCATTTTCATTTCTCACTGGGCCTTACAAATGGTGCGGCTGGTCCTGCTTACGTGGCCAGTAACCTCTCACCCTGCTATATACTCTGGGAGCCCAGGGAAGTTACACCATGAATCACTGCATCTGCCCCTGCCCTGGGCAGCCACCTCACTTTTGACCAGAACTTTGTTCATCCTCAGCTGATTGATTTGGGAACTGGACCTCGCCACACTGTGGGTGTGTGAATGTGTGTGCACATGTGTGCAGGTCTGTGCCCTCCTCCCTCCACTCCATATTCCACCTGAACCACTGCATGTGGTATCCCACACCTCCACCAGAAAGGATGAGGAAGGTCTACATCTCCTAGGATACAGCAATCCCCTTTAGAAGATTCTTTAGAAGATCTCTGTTAGGAAAGAAAGAATGCAAAAAAGTGTGTGTGTGTTTGCATGTTTAGGTATTGTGGTCTTGGGATCAGGGAAGGAACAGAAAACCTGCTTTTCAACAGATACCCCTTTTAAACTGTTGGCATAGTTTTACCATGTATCTGCCTTCGATTCAAGAAAACAATTTTTTAAGTGGCCAGAAAAGGCCAGGGAAGGGAGAGGAAGAAGGCTTTCTAAAAGAAATGGCATCAGATATTCAGTTGGGGTTTTTCTTCTGCCCTTCCTCTTAAAACACATCTAAGTGCACCTCTAAGCGTCCCTTGGAGCAGCTGCCCTCAGAAGTGCTGCCCCAAGACAGGCAGGGAAGGGTCTGCCTGGGCAGCTCCAATCCCTCAGGAAGCACAAGAAGTCCTGCCTCATACAAGACAGTCACCCACCTGAGGACAATGGGATGAGTGCTTCAGCACTGCACAGTGGTCAAGGAGAGCTCTCTGTCTCCTGGAAGTCCTTAATATCAGAAAACAGTCGGCACCCTGGGAAGTCCACTTAAAGTGGACCCACTTAAAACAGAGACTGAATTTTCACGATTAAAAAAGACATGACTTTAACCTAGAATTACCCTATGACCCGGCAATTCCACTTCTAGGTATACACCAAAGAGAAATGGAAACAGGAGTACAAACAAAAACTCATACAGGGATGTTAATGGCAGCACTATTCACCATAGCCAAAGAGCAAAAACAACCCAAATGTCCATGAACCCAAATGTCTATCAACAAATGAATGGATTAAAAAATGTGGTATATCCATACAATGAAATATTATCCAGCCATAAAAGGGAATGAAGTGCTGACACATACTCCAATGGGGTTGAACCTTAAAACATTAGGCCGGGCACGGTGGTTCACGCCTGTAATCCCAGCACTTTGGGAGGCTGAGGCAGGCGGATCAACTGAGATCAGGAGTTCCAGACCAGCCTGGCCAACATGGCGAAACCCCTTCTCTACTAAAAATACAAAAATTAGCTATGTGTGGTGGCAGGCGCCTGTAATTCCAGCTATTCAGGAGGCTGAGGCAGGAGAATCACTTGAACCCAGGAGGCAGAGATTGCAGTGAACCAAGATCGCGCCACCCTAGGCAATAGAGTAAGACTCTGTCTCTGAAAAAAAAAAATATTATACAAAGTGAAAGATGCCAGACACAAAAGACCACATATTGCACAATTTCTAGTAAATGTTCAGAATAGGCAAATTTGCAGGTACAGAAAGTAGATTAATGGCTGGCGAGGGCTGGGGGTAGCGGGACAGAGAGTAACTGTTAAACGGTGTGATTTTATTTTGGGCTGATGAAAATGTTCTGGAATTAGTGGTGATGGTTGCAAAATATTTTAAATATTCTAAATGCCAATGAATTATATACTTTCAAATGTTTCATATGATGGATTTTATGTTGTGTGTATTTTACCACAAAAAAGTTAAGGCATGACTAGAAATTTTTCTTGAAAAATCAAGTAAAAATTTTACAAATAACTCCGTTGTTTTATGTTTCCCAAAATGTAAATTATAGTTGCAACTACAGGTCAATCCTTAGACTAAAGCAAGAATAAACTGTTGAAGGTAGTCATTTAATTCGTCCAAAAGATCATTAAGAGCAGGATGCAATCTCCTTTCCTTCTCATTTGACTTCTGTAACATGATCATAAAAAGTGCATTTTTGCTAAAATATCTCAAGGCATCATCAACTTCCTCAAGGTCATCTCTTACTCTTTTGATATTCAGATCACTTTATTTTGAAGCATCTGTTAGTTTCGTCGATTTCCTTTTCTTCCAGCACTAAGTGCCCTAGCTGAGAGAGTTCCTCATTGGTCAGTGGTTTTGCTGTGGTTCTGGCAATTTGCCAATATCACTTTCATCGACTTCCTGAAATCCTACATTTCTTGCAAGATTTGCAATTTCACTTTATGATCTGCACTGAATTTACAGTTCATTATGTAATGTATTGAATCTACAGTTCCTGCCTGATCCTTCAAAGAAAGAATAGTGAAAAAAATGGGATGAGTGAGAACAGACACAATCAATATTTTACCCTAGACCATTGAGTTCTCCAATGGGGGCAATCTTGCCCCCCAGGGACATTTGTCAATGTCTAGAGACATTTTTGGTTGTCACACTGCAGGGTGGGTGGTACTACTGGCATCTAGCTGATGGAAGGGCCAGGGATGGTGCTGAACATCCTACAATTCCCAGGACAGCCCCACAATCAAAGATTATCCAGCTCAAAATGTAAATAATGCCAAGGCTAAGAACCCTTGGTCTAGAGGGATGTTGAGTGGGAAGTAAATTTAGAATAGAAATTGTCAGTTCATTGGCAAGTATTTTCATGTTTGGACATTTAATTCCCAGGCAAATACCTGAAGCAGTTCCAAGAACAAATGTTCAGAAAGTGAAAATCCCCCATATTGCTGTATGGAGTCCCTATATTTATGGAGAGCCTGGTTTGTGCAATTGTTTCCTTAGTCGCCTTGGCTGCCAGGATACCCAAGGCCAAATTTACGATCTCCTGGCATACATTTCTGGTGCTGACCCACCCCAGCATTATAGTAACTATGCAATTCTCCCTTATTTTCCTTTTGTCTTAATCATTTTAATCTTATTATACTGATTTATTTCTGTTTGCTGCCTTGAGTCCTTGAGGGAAGAAAACAGAGATAAAAATAAGCAACAAACACATAGCTTAAACTATATAGCAAATAAGGCAGAGAAACTTATTGTCCCCTGGGAGTCACAAACACCCACTGCTCCCTTTCCCACCTTTCTAATAAAGGTGATGTGGGGCTGTTATCTCACCTTCTTCCTGAAATACTTGGGCCTTGACAGCAATCCAGTTTTTCTTATGCAAAGGCTCAAAGGGAAGATTTTACAAGGGTCTACAGCAAGCCAGTTTCATCACCTTGGGAGACTGCAGCAGCCCTCTATTTCTGAACTGCAGTCCTGGGGCTCCACAACCGCTCCATGAGCAGGCGTCATCTTACCAGCCTCACTGGATTGCCCCAACCACGCTAGTTGGGCTCCAGCCCACAAATACAGGAAAGCTACTCCTCCTTCCAATCTCCCTTCCCACAAGTTGTCCAAGTTATACCAGACCTTCAAGGCCCCACGCAAGTCACACCTCCTCCAGGAAGCCTTCCCTGAATTCCACATGAATGTCCCTTCTCTGAATGTCTCCTGTTCCTACAGGGATGAATTACACCCTCTGTTTAATCACTTTGTTTTAGGTAGGCCAGTTATCTCCAAGGCCATTTCAAGACCTTCCCAGCTCCCAAGCATTCTTTCTTTTACAGGCTTCCACTGTACTAAACATATTGAAATGTTCCTACGACCTGCCTTACATAAAATTATGAGTTGGGAAAAACTGTGGTTGTTTGAACATTTGTTTTGATATTACCATTTTCTTTTCAGATCTTAGAACCAATAACTTTTTCAGATCTCAAACATTTTTCGGGGGCCTGGATATAGTCATGAGCCCTAGGCACTGTGCCCACAGAACCCAGTGGAGAAAATAACCACTCATTTCTCCGACTAGACGGGAAGCTTTTGAAGACGAGGGGCAAGTGTTATCCACTCTGAATCCTCATGCACTGAGTAGAGAACAAAGTAAGTGCTCACAGAACATTATTCCATTAGTATTTACTGAGCACCTACTATCTGCCAGGCAGCATTCTAGGTCCTGGGTATATATCTATGAACTAGACAGATGAGGTCACTGCTCTCATAAAGCTGACATCCTACTGTAAAACACAGATGAACAGATAATGATATGTCACATCAGCTGGACAGAAATGCTATGAAAACAAATGAAGCAGGAAATGAGTGCTGAGCGCTACTGTAGGCGGGGTGCTCAGGGACAGCCCCTCTAAAATGATGACATGTGGCTAAAGTCATGAACTGAGGGTATGAGCCACGCACACATTGGGCAAGAGTGTTCCAAACAGAATTGCACGTGCAAAGGCCCTGGGGCAAATGGGTGCTGGGCCTCTCTGGGACAACAGGAGGCCAGTGGCTGACAAAGAGTGAGTAAGGCAGGAGAGGCCTTGTGGGCCAAGCTCAGGACTGTGGGTTTTTACTCTGAGCGAGCTGGGAGCCGTGGAAGGGTTTGGAGCAGAGGAGGGATGTGAACTGATTTAGCAGCTTAAGAGGTACACGCTCCTACGATCTGGGAAACAGACACAGCAGGACGAGGGTAGAGGCAGGAAGATCACCTAAGAGGCTGCCGCAGCCCCAGGACCTGCTGATTGACTGCCTGACCACAGAGCGTCAACACCAGGAGCTCCGTGGTGCCTGCCTCCCACTGTGAGAAAACCCAAGCCTGATCAGCTTCTCACTCCAGACCTCTTGGAAATGCCGACAGAGAAGGGCCTGAATCGCTATCGTCACTTTCTCCAAGGCTGGCAGGATGCCCAGATCAAATCAATACAGAATACACAAGCATTTAATCTGCACTTGTTTAAGCAGCGGCTGAGCCTCCAAGAAACAGCATTATCTTGAAAGCTTGTTAAAGGTTTGCAGCCAAACAAAATCCCGTAGACTTTGTTACGTGTCTCCAGGCGGTGAGGCTGGGTCGCCCCTGGTTCTCACAGATGTGGTTTGGGGCAAGAACAACCTCAGCCCAGACACAAGGTGGCTTGAGGAAGGAAGGAGGCCCCTTCCCAAACCCTGATGAGAAATACCTCCATTGACCAAGATGTGGTTTTCAGTGTGCTACAAAACAGTGCATGCAATATGCTACTCTTGCTATAAGAAAAGTGGAGAAAATAAAAACATGTATTAGTAGTTGCTTGTATATTATATAAACAAACTCTAGAAGAATCCACAAGAGGTGAACTTTAAAAGGTCACCTTGTGGAGCTCAGGGGATGGGACAGAAAAGGTTGAATGCCTACTTCATAGGGCTGTCATGAAAATCAAATGAGTCCGTGTGTGTAAATACTTACGGCAAATACTGACACACAGCAGGCTTCCAAAAATGTTAGCTGTCGCTATTGATGAGATGTAAAAGGGGGTCCCTCAGCAAAGGGGGCCGTCAGGGGAAGGCTGCTGGGGGACCCCTGGGGGAAACAGTGGCTCCTTCAGATACACAGATCCTAGGGTGCCCACTGAATGGATCCAGTGCCACTGAGGCACCTGTGAAAGGGATTGTTATTGATTATGCCAGGTGTAAACCAGGGCTGGCTGGTAAAATCAGGACCTAAGCCCCTAATGTCTTCTGTCACAGACCAGTCTCAGCTAGGGCTCTTGGAATTGTTCGAAACCAAAGTGGACCTGATGGAAGGAGATGGGCAGCCCAGAGCCTGGCGGGGAGGGTTGGAGGACCAGGTCTTGAGAAAGACCAGGTCCTTCCCACACACACAACAGAGGTGTGAAGAGGACCCCCGATCCAGCTCTGGGGATCCAGGCAGCCTCATCACACCTTTATTGTGCCTAGGGGAAGGACAGTTCCCCCAAGATGCCAGGTGAGCACAAACAGCTGCCCACTCCAGGCACACTTCAGTTGATTTTTCACATCGTTAAGCAACCTTCTGATTAATAGGAAGAAATCTAATTGAGATACGACTTCCTAGTCAGAATGCACTAGGTCCCCCAGATGCTCTCCTTGGGCTTCAAGGAAGATAATAGAATTCTGCAGAGACCATCTCGAGCTGTCGGTGTCATCCAGAATCTTCATCCAAACCCTGGGAATGCATTTCTGCATCTCTGCCACGTGGCCCTGAGATGCCACCAGAAACCTCGCCATCATGGCTATACATTTAAGGGGAAAAAAGTGCAACTTATTGCAACACTCCAGCAATATATCTTGAGCAATGGATGACTAATCTAGAGGCTCAGGACCTCTCACCACAGATGGCTCTCATTTTTTAAAATTGAGGTGAAATTCACATGGCATAAAATTAACTATTTTAAAGGGTACAAGTCAGTGGCATTTAGTATATTCACATTGTTGTGCAAACACCACCTTTATCTAGTTTCAAAACATTTTCATCACCCCAAAAGGAGACCCTGTATCCATTAAGTGCTCGCTCCCTATTTCCCTCCCATTCATGGGCAGGTTTTTGTTTGGGCACCTGTTTCCAGTTCTTTTGAATATAAACCTAGGAATAGAATAGCTGGGTAATTCCAATAAAAAAAAAAAAAAAAAAAAACAGCTTCAACAAGAAAGATGTCCCTCCCTCTCTCCTACCCATCCCAAGTACTTTTATCTTGCAGATTAGAGAATTTATCAGCCTCAAGTTCATGGTGGGATCCTGGGTGGCCCAATCAAAGGAGCTGATGGGAACAGTTCACACTGACCTTTTTGTACTCATAATCTTGATCCACAACCAAATCCGAGTCACAACCGACAATGCAGAATACAGCCAGGGTGGGGGTTTCTTCCCTCCTACCCCAGAATGCCATGTCGTGGGCGTTTGAGATTTTTAGATTTCATTTCTGCACTGGAAATCTAGAAGCCAGATACAAAACATTACAATTTCACAGCAAAGAAAAATAGCTCTGGAAGCTCTCGGTCACAAGGACAAAGAGACAAAAATCTATGGAAAATACTAAAATAGGCCCTTTTTTCTCATTTTAAGGGGAAAGGACGATTGAGAGCTTGCCTTTTTTTCTTTTAAAATATTTTTATTATATAATTTAAGTTAAAAAATGCACATGGCATGAAATTCGAAGAATACAAAAGCACACCATACAACATTATCACCTCCCATCCCTTGTCCCCCAGGCAATCCATTACCCTCCCAGAAGGTACCCAACTCCCCCAGTCTTATAGGACTCCTTAGGGTGTTGCTCCACCTATTTGCAAACATATACATGTGTATTGTTCTCTTGTCCACACTTGGCAGTACTAACTCCCTACATCTTGCTTTATGCATTAAAAGCACATCTTACAGTTCCATCTCCCTTAAAATTGGCCCGCCTCATTTTTTAACAGCTGCAAAATATTTCCCTGCATGGATATGTCATAATTTGCTTAATCAGTTTAGGCTATCCTCAAATCTCTCCTCTTACGAACAACTGCTGCAGTCATTATTAAGACATTTTGCACACGTGGAAATTTATCTGTGTGATAAACATCTCAGTGCGCAATTGCTGGGTTCAAGGCATGGACGTTTTAATTTTGATACATAATGCCTGTCAGTGCATTTAGAATTAAAGGAAGGAAGGCCAGGCGTGGTAGCTCACACCTGTAATTCCAGCACTTTGGGAGGCCAAGGAGGGAAGATCACTTGAGGCCAGGAGTTTGAGACCGGCCTGGGCAACATGGTGAGACCCCCATCTCTACATAAAAAAACATTGTTTTAATTAGCCAAGCATGGTGGTGCCTGCCTGTAGTCCCAGCTACTCGGGAGGCTGAGGCGGGAGGATCGCCTAAGCCTGGAAGGTCAAGGCTGCAATGAACTGAGATTGTGCCACTGCACTCCAGCCTGGGCAGCAGAGCAAGACCCTGTCTCAAAACAAACAAACAAAGAATTAAGCGAAGGAGTATATAGGCAAAAGAGAACACTTTCTACATCTATACCCCATCCCAGGCCCTGAAACTCAGAATGACCTAAAAGTACTGGTACCCCAATATATAAGATGGGAAACTGAGGCTCAGAGAGGAGAGTGAGTGACCCAGCCATGTACCCGGCCCCCAGCCTGGCCTCTCTTCCCCACCCTCCTGCCTAGCTGCCACTGAGGTATGGCCTGCAGCTGGCTCTCTGCCTCCCAGCCCATGAACTCCAAGTGCCCTGAATCTGTTGATTTACGGTTCTGCTTTGATACCCATATTAATCACCATAACTTTTAATTGAGCTAACACAAGCATCGTATGTTGCTAATTACACAATGCAGATGAAAAACTCTTCCAGATGAATTTAACTGCTTAGTCCAATCAGACTGGCAAGTTGAGTTTTAATTACAAGCCAGTGCATACAGGGAAGGCATCTGCGCGGCCGAGTGGCTCAGGGCCTGACGGCTCCAGCTTGTGAAGCGCCAAGATCGCAGCCAGTGGCCACAGCATCCTGCCCAGCCACGCAGGAGGCATGCGGATAATGGAGGAGCTGCTCGATGCCTCCGGCCAGCTTGCTGCCTCCGTGGACCCACCCGAGCCCCTGGGTCCAGACATCTGTGGAGTCTCTGGCAGGAAGAAGGATCTCCAAGTCCCCACGGCTGCACTCCCCAACCATTCCAGCTCAGAAAAGGAATCACTGACTCCTTTTCTCAGGAACTAATCAAAGGCCTGTTATCAGTGACCTTTTCTTGAACATCCTTTAACATCCTGTCAATTTGCCCACACTCACAGAGCAGAGAGAATCAGGCCACGATAACGGAGTAATTCCAAGGGCAATGCCAGGCTGAAAAGACATCTCAGCACTGATTTTCTCAACAAAGACACAAAGAAGGCCTCCAAGGCTGAGGGCTGGAGAATAAAGCTTAGAGGAAGAGAGGTGTTACAAAATGAAGTTTTGTGTTCACCTCCCCAAGCCACATGTGAAAGCCCCAATGCCCAAGGTGACTATATTTGAAGGTCAGGCCTTAATGGAGGTAATTAAGGTCACATGAGGTCATAAGGGTGGGACCCTGATCCAACAGGACTGGTGTTCTTTTAAGAGGAGACATGAGAGAGCTTCTCCCCTGCTTCAAGCCTCCCCACCCACCCTCTACCTTTAGGACACAGAGAGGAGGCTGCCATCTGCAAGCCAGGAAGGGAGCCCTCACCAAAAACTGACCTTGCTAGCACCCTGACCTTGAACTTCCAGCCTCCAGAACTGTAAGAAAAGAAATTTCTGTTGTTTAAACCACTCTGTGTGGTATTTTCTTATGGCAGCCCAAACTAATACAGGAGGCAGATGGAATCAAGGCCTCCAGGGATGCCCAAGTTCAGAGGCCAAAGAGCAGAGAGATTCTTAAGAAGGGGCAGATAAAGATGGCTGTGGTAAGCAGAATAATGGTGCCCAAAGATGTGCATGTCCTAATCCCTAGAACACTGCCCTCCTGGCAATAGAGACTGTGATCAAGTTAAGGCTCTTGAGCTGGGGAGATTACCTTCTGTTATCCAGGTGGACCCAGTGTAAGGGTCTTTATAAGAAAGAGGGCCAGTGCAGTGGCTCACGCCTGTAATACCAGCACTTTGGGAGGCCAAGGCGGGTGGATCACCTGAGGTCTGGAGTTCAAGACCAGCCTGGGCAACATGGTGAAACCCCATCTCTACTAAAAATACAAAAATCCTCTAGGCGTGGTGGCGCATGCCTGTAATCCCAGCTACTCGGGAGGCTGCGGCAGGAGAATCACTTGAGCCTGGGAGGTGGAGGTTGTGGTGAGCTGAGATTGTGCCATTGCACTCCAGCCTGGGCAACAGAGCGAGACTCCATCTCAAAAAAAGAAAAAAAAGAAAAGAGGCAGGAGAGTTGGAGTCAGAGAAAATGCAAGGGTGGAAGCAGAGGTCAGAGACAAAGAGAACATACTATGCTGCTGGCTTTGAAGATGAAGAAGGGGCCACAAACCAAGGAATGCAGGTACCCACTAGAAGGTAGTAAAAGCAAGAAAAAAGAGATTCTCCCGTAGAAACTCCAGAAGGAATGCAGCCTGCTGACACCCTGATTTTAGCTGGGTGACACCCATTTCTGACTTTTGACCTCCAGAAGTTTCAGATAATAAATTTGTGTCATTTGAAGCCCCTATGTTGCAGCAGCCACAGGAAATTAAGGTAGTGGCAAATGTCTCCTTCATATCTATAGAAATCCTGGCAGGAAAAAGAATTTGCCCTCAATGATGGTTCGAAGGAAGAGATTTCAATGACGGGTCTATATACAGAAGTGGAGGAGCATCAGGGGAGTGGCAGGGTAGGTGTAGCACCAAGAGGCTGGCAATAGGGGGAAGCTGTTACTTCTTGAGCCTCAAGGGACAAGGAGAGAGTGGTGTTATGGAGCCAGTGAGGGCTGCAGCTGGGAGAAGAGGCTTCCTCATTAGAACAGAAGTCTCAGAGGGAGGCGAAGCCCCAGGCAGAAATGTGGAGACCGAGCACAGAGGAGCAGGGAAGCAATGCCCTCAGTCTCTTTTCCAACCCTCTCATTTCCAGCCGGGTCTCTCATTGTCCAAATCCATCTGGAAGTTGAAGGGCAGGGAAGTCCAGATGTTGCAGCCCTTGTGGGTCAGCTTCCGGGGAACAGAAAAGGGCAAGGAAGGGTGGAGAATAAATCTGGGAGAGGGCAACTGGGAAATATCCAGCTCATCTTCTTTTTGGCACCAGCCTGACTGCTAGAGTGGGCACGTGTTGTTTGGGCCTGACAGCAGCCATTCTCCCTTCCCCTGGAAACCATGCCCTGCCTTTCTCCTTTGGAGGCCTCCTGTCCACTCTCTATAACGTGGTCCAGCCAGAGGGATCCCTTCCCTCCCTGCTCCAGGAGAAGGCACATGACCTAGGCTTGGCCCGAGTCACAATGATTGGGCCAAGGATTGTCACGTGACCTACTGCTAGCCAGTGAGAGTCAGAACTGCCATTTCTGTGAGAACCATCAGGAAAGAGGTGTTCTCTTCCTGCTGGGCTGCTCAGCTGGTGGGATATGAGGTCTACCCAACAGCCGTGCTTTAGAAGAAGCTGCCCTGAGAATGGAGCCACTATAGAAGAAACTAGTGCTGAGAGACAGAGGGAGGCTGGGTCTTGATGATGGCAATTAAGGCCCTGGGTCAGCCACATCAGAAGCCTAGGAGGACTTTCCAGATGCATAAATCAAAAGATGTTTTCTTTCAGCTATGCCAGTTTGACTTGGGTTTTTGTCATTTGCAACTGAAGGAGTCCTAACACCTCCTCCTGAAGCTAACCCTAATGGCTCCTGCTCCCGATTCAGACCTCCACAGAAGCACTCCTTGCACTGTATTGGAATTATTTATCTGTCTATCCCCCCAGTAGACTGAGAGCTCACTGACGAAGGGGTACTATTGTTCTCTCTATCCCCCAAACTTATGTGCCCTGGCACACAAAAAGCATCAATAAATATTCGAATGACTAAATCCATCCATTTGGATAGATTGATAAATGAATGAGTTATCCTAAAGACAGATTTGGTGGCAACCTAGCATCTGCCATTTTTGTAAAGTAGATTCTAACCTGGCACTGGCCACAAGGAACCTCCCTTGATGCTAGGAGTACAGGTGGATGAATAAGCAAGGTAGTCATGATCTATACTTACAGAGATCACACTCTATCTAGAGCAAGGGACGCTAGATCATGTACAGGTAAACCCTCTATCCAGGCAACAAGGGAGACTCATTCAGATAGTGATAAGTGCTAGACAGAAAAATCACACAGTAATTTATAGAGAAGGTCTAGGCTGGAGAAGCCATCACTGAATCAGAAGCCAGAGAGTGACCAGTTAGAAGCCATTTGACTAAAAATGAAAGAATCTTTTACGGGCTCAGAACTCCGGGCTCAAAATTCTGATAGCTTTCCAGTTGGCTTCCCATTAGAACCATATATGGAGCTTTTAAAAATTACCCAGGTATACCAGAAAGAATGAAAACAGGTGCTCAAACAAATACTTGTACACAAATGTTCTCAGCAGTGCTATTCACAATATCCAAAAGGTGGAAGCAACCCAAACACCCACTAACAGATGAACGGATAAACAAAAGGTGGCATATCCGATAGACAATGGAAGATGATTCAACCATAAAAAGGAGCATAGCACTGACACAGGCTACAACGTGGATGAACCTTAAAACCACTGTGCAAGTGAAAGAAGCCAGACCCAAAAGGGTGCATATTTTAAGACTGCATTTGTATTAAATAGCCAGAACCAGCACATCCATAGAATAGAAAGTAGAAGCGTATTTGCCAGGGGTTGAAGGCAGTAGGGAGTGACCGCTAGTGGGTACGGGACTTCCATTTGGGAGGATGAAAATGCTCTGGAACCAAACAGAGGTGGTGTTTGTGCAACACTATAAATGTACCAAATGCCACGGACTTGTACACTTTAAAATGGTTGTGTGTTGTGTGAACTTATCCTCGGTTTTTAGAAAAACTTAAAAAAAAAAATGAAGTGAAACAGTTAGACCCTGTCGATGATAGGTTATATAACCCTTTGTTTTTGTATTTTGGCTTGTACAAAAAAATATTGAGGCATTAAACAGGATTCTAAGTATGTGAAAGAGGGCTGGGCATGGTGGCTCACACCTATAATCCCAACACTTTGGGAGATCGAGGTGGGAGGATCACTTGAGCCCAGGAATTTCTTTTTTTTTAGACGGAGTTTCGCTCTTGTCGCCCAGATTGGGGTGCAATGGCTCAATCTCGGCTCACTGCAACCTCCACCTCCCGGATTCAAGTGATTCTCCTGCCTCAGCCTTCTGAGTAGCTGGGATTATGGGTGCCCACCACCACACCTGGCTAATTTTTTGTATTTTTAGTAGAGACAGGGTTTCACCACGCTGGCCAGGCTGGTCTCAAACTCCTGACCTCAGATGATCCACCCGCCTCGGCCTCCCAAAGTGCTGGTATTACAAGCATGAGCCACCACGCCCGGCCAAGCCCAGGAATTTGAGACCAGACTGTGCAATATAGCAAGACCCTGTCTCTACAAAAAATATATATATTAATTAATTTATTAATATGTGAGCGACTAAACAGGAAAAGTACCCAGGTCACATCCCTAGAGGTTCAGTAGGTCTAGATCCTGCCTGGGCACCAGTATCTTAAAGGTTCTCCATGCCCAAAAATGATTCTACCAGGGAGCCAGAGTGGAGAAATTCCGCACTGGGATAGGAAGCCCTGCCATCGAAAGCAGAACACAAAGCAAAGCCCACCAAATGTCAGGACCCAAGCTGCCGGCAATCAGCCTCACATCTGTCCGGAGTCAGACTGAAAAACTACCTATGGCAGAAGGCTGCCATGGTCCCTGAAGAGGGAAGAAAGGTGACCAAATCCACACATTCTGGATCCTGTTCAAACCAACAAATGATTTGTAGGTTCATTTGTGTCTCCCTTCCAAGCCATTAGTGCCCATCAGTGAATGCCCAGCTGGTGCAATTCACAAGGGTGTTTACACGCCCTGAGACCTGCTCTGCCCACAGGGAGCTGAGCTTGCTCAATTCCCCAGACAAGATGGTTAAAGGCAGGGTCAGAGGTGGCTGGCATGGGAAAAAGAGAGGGCATCCTTCACTCATCCTTGCCAGCGAGAAGCCAGGAAGAGAAGGCATTTATTATATTTGGTGACAGAGAAAGCCAGACTGAGTGCTAAGGAGGTGAACCGTGTGCAGCGGGTGGAAGGAATGAGGGCGGTCGCAATGTGCATGCTGCCTTCTATTTTTAGTCTTTATTTTTTGGATCCCCTGGTTTCCCACCCTACTCCTCACTGAGTCCTCCCACCAGAACTCAGCCTCCAGGCCACTGTTCCAACATTCTATGCCCTGGAGATGGTGCAGAAAACAGGCAGCAGACAGCTGGTCTGCTCGGAGCAGCCTCGCTCCCCCTCAGTGGGCTGTGCCCCAGGAAGCCCACAGGGTTGGAGGCTGACTTTGGGGAGGTAGCAAGGAAGAGGAAGATAACATGATAGAAAGATGACTGGGGAACACATATTTGGGGCAGGAGACAGTTTAAATTCTTAACTCCAGACCCATAAACCCAGCTGCATACCCAACAACTCCATGGGAAACAAATATCTCAAATTGAACCTGCCCAACCTGGAGTTTCCAATCACAGTCGAGCCTGTTCCACCCAGAGACACCCCAGCTCAGCTGGTGGCAACTCCATTTTAAGGTTTTGGCTTAAGCCAAAACCTCACAGATATCCCTGGACTCCCCTCTTTCTTTCATACTCCACATCTAAACCATGAAAAAATAATCCCCTTGTTTTCACATTTTTTTTTTTTGAGATGGAGTCTCACTGTTGCCCAGGCTGGAGTGCAATGGCACAAGCTCAGATCACTGCAACCTCTGTCACCTGGGCACAAGTGATTCTCCTGTACTTTCTCTTTTGAGACAGGGTTTCGTTCTGTCACCCAGGCTAGAGTGCAGTGGCACCATCAGAGCTCACTGCAGCCTTGATTTCCTGGGGTCAAGTGGTCCTCCTGCCTCAGCCTCCCAAGTAGCTGGGACTACAGGCACATGCCACCATGCCCAGCTAATTGTTTTATCTTTTGTAAAGACAGGATCCACTATGTTGCCCAGGCTGGCCTCAAACTCCTGGACTCAAGCGATCTGCCCACCTCGGCCTCCCAAAGTGCTGGAATTACAGGCATGAGCCACCACACCAGCCCTCTATTTTCAAAATATAGCTAGTATCTTCCCTGTCCCCTCCACCTCCCCTGCCACCCCAAGCTCCCATGACTGCTCACCAGACGACAGCAGTAGCTTCCTTCCTGCCCCGCCCCCCACCTCACACTACCCACATGAGTCTGCCTCCTGTACCACAACAGGGAGAACCTTTTAAAATGGAAATTGGTCCAGTCACTTCACTGCTGAAACCCTCCAAAGCATCCCCATTTTAATCAGGGCAAAAGTTCAAAGCCCTGCCATGGCCCACGGCACCATGTGATCACCCTCATCGGCAGTCCACATCCCCTCCCTCTGCTCTGGCCCCCACAGCAGCTCTGCTGCTCCTCTAACACACCTGATGGCTTCTGCCCCAGGACCTTTGCACTCGCTCCTTCCCGCAGATAGCCCTGCAATTTGCCCCTTTAAGTTCCCTGGATCTCTGTTCAAACATTACCTTCCTGCCCAGGTCTCCTCAGACCACCCAATCTATGACAGCATCTCCCTACCCCACACCCAACCTCACTTCTTGCTTTATTTTTCTCCACAGCATTTACTGCTTTGAACATGCTGAATATTTTAGTGACCTATCTAGCTTCTCATCTGCCTCCCCGATCTGACTGTCCACCCTGCAAGAGCTGAGATTTTTGTTGGCCTTGTTCATTTATACATCCCCAGAGTCTGGATGCTGCCTGACACAGAGGAGACTCCATTGCATTAATACCTGTTGAATGAATGAATGAATGACCAAGCGAATGAGCAGGCACCTACGAGACTCACAGGACAAGGCGAGGAAGACACTCTGGCCATCTAACAGTATTTATCTCCAGTGAAGGAGAAAAGAAATCAGGATTGGGGAACAATTTCATGTTCCACAAGGAGAGACTATACCGGTACAACTGGTGTCATTGTGTTCTTTAATAAAATTAGTAACCCTTGCATTCCATCAGATAACAAAGGAAACTCATGGAACAAAGAAGGGCCACCACACAAAAAGAGCAGCCTGTCTGAGCCACTCAGACTCCACATCTGCCAAAGAGGTGCCTGTGATCTGGGCCAATGGCCGGTGGGTTGGAGAGACAAGGAACGAGTGTCTCCATGCTCCCAAGCGTGACCAGCACCACAGCAGCCAGGAACAAAGGAAACGGGGTGGCAGGGTCCCTGCCGTCAGTCCCTCAAGCAAAGCAGGGCTGACTGAGCCAACACCCTTCTCCCCTGAGGTGACCAGGACAGAAAGGGGGCCAAACCCCTTCCCCCAGTCGAGCACTGTCCCAGTGACCAGCCACTCTGCTGCCACTGCTAGCGTCTGCTGTCCCAGGCTGGGACAAAGGTACACAGCAAGCCCACTGCACCATCCCCTGGGGCGGTCCATCCGCGAGCCTCTGCCCCACTTAGAGATGTGAGCCTCACCCAGCAGGCCAGGCTCCCCAACATTCATTTACAGAAAGAGAGCGGCCCTCGTGTGCACCCAGGCTCAGGCTGGCCAGAGGCTTCCCCTTTTCTTTTTCTTCCCTTTAATCCCCAAGCCTCTCACCACCACCTGCTGGCTCCCGCTTCCCAGGCAAGAGCCACATCAGAGTACAATCCCTTCCCCTCCATGCGGGAGCTCCCTTCTGATTTCCCAAACATAATCTGCCTCCTGTAAATCAATAACCCCGGGCTCAGTTGACATTCGAGTGGCCGCAGCACTCAGAGGGGACGCAGCACTCAGAGGGGACACAGCTACAGAGCCCCTGCCCGAGGCCTGAGCACCCTCTGCACCTAGGAGGGTGCCTGTGGTGACGGCATGAAGGGGCACACGAGGGCAGCCACTTCTATGGCAGCCAAGAACCCTGTCCCTTTGGACCCTGGACACAAAGCTGAAATGGGCTTCATGGAACCCAGGAAGAGGAAACCTGTTTACCACAGGGCTGTGGAAGGGGCCTTCCTTTCTACCACGCGGCCATCTCAGCAAGAAACAGACCCCCACCAAAGGCCTTGCAGGGGGTTCCCCACTGCTCTTAGATCAAATCCCAATCCCTTATCCATACAGTGGAAGACGATTCCACTACAAAACACTATGCGGTCCGGACACATGCAATAGCAGAGATAAACCTCGAAATGTTATGCTATGAGAAAGAAGCCAGACACAGATGGCCACATGCTATGTGATACCATGTATATGAAGTGTCCACAGCAGGCAAATCTGGAGAGACACAAAGCAGATGGGTGGTTTCCAGGGCCTGGAGGAATGGGGGTGGGGAGTGGCTACCTGCAAGGTACAGGGTTTCTTTTTGGGGTGATGAAAACGTTTTGTAACTAGCTAAAGGTGATGACTGCACAACACTGTGAATGAACTAAATGCCCTTGAATGTACACTTTGAAATGGTTGTTATGTAAATCTAAGCTCAATAAATTGTCCTCTTTAAAGTTGAACTCTTTCCCTTAGTCCACATGGCCCTGCCCACCTTCCCCAACTCTGTCTACTGCCATCCCTCCATTCATTGCCTAACTGATACTAGTTACACCAGACATGCCAGGTGAGCTACCAGGGAGATGTGGGTTCAAGCTCTGGCTCTGTGTGATCTGTGTACCTCAGTTTCCCCAACTGTTCAATGAAGAAGTTGGATTAACTGAGGCGTGGGGAATGCAAATTCAAATACCTAGACCCACATTGTCCAACACAGTAGCCATTAGCTAGCCACGGGTAGCCATTTAAATTTACTTAACTTTAAATATATATTAATTAAATTGAAATGAAATGAAAAATTCAGTTCCCTAGTGGGATGTTATTCAGTCTTAAAAAGGGAGGAAATTCTAGCACATGCTACACATGAGTGAACCTCGAAGATACAATGTTAAGTGAAATAAGCTCGTCACAAAAGGACAAATACTGTATGATTCTACTTATATTCAAATGAATAGAGACAGAAAGATGGTGGAGGCCTGGGGAAATGGAGAAGGGAGAAACGGGAGTTACTGATTAATGGGTATGGGGTTTCCATTTTGCAAAATGAAAAAGTTCCAGAGATGGATGGCGGCGATGGTTGGATAACAGTGAGAATGTGCTCGATGCCACAGAACTGTACACTTAAAAATTGTTAAGATGGTAAATTTTGTTATGTATGTTTAATGCAATTAAAAAAACCCAGTTCCTCAGACACAGTGGTCACATTTCAGCGCTCCACATCAACATGTGGCTGGCGGATACCATATTGAACAGTGCAGCTAGAGAAGATCTCCATCACTGTAGAATGTATCCAATAGCACCGGTCTGGAGGCTTCCAACAGGCAACAGAAATTAGTGACCATTCTTAATGGAATGTAAGCTCCCTGACAGCAGGGGCTACAATGCCAGCACCAACAAGCATGCCTGGCACATAGCAGGTGTTCAACTAAATGCCAGTGGAGTGAACTGGGGCTGTGTCTAAAGGGAGCAGCCTCCACTCCCTGCAGTCCATAGTCACTCCCTGGGAAGAGGACCCAGTGCTACCGGCCCCACTGCTGTTTCAACGAGAAGCCAAAAATCCAGATTTTCATATTAAATCTTCTAGCTCTTAAATATTGGCTCAAAAGTTATTAAAGCACTGGGCTGGCCAAACAGATATGCCCTGGGCTGTATGTGCCACGAGATGCTGGTTGATAACCAGTGGTACAGGAGTTGGTAAACGTTCCTTCCACCGAATGCATCAGGAGCCAGGGCTCACAGACCTGCACAGAGAAACAGGCGGGGCTCTTACTCCAAACACCTCCCCCAGGAGCCTCTGCGAGAAGCATGGGAGGAACGAGCCAATTGCATTTTCACCACTGTTAAATATGTGCTCAGCACAGAAACAATGCGTCCAAGCCCCAGGTGAAATTAATATTCTAATTCAAGTTTCTCACATTGATGAAGGTAGCTGGCTGCCACCAGCTCAGAATGCTAACAACTCGAAATGAATCCCCTGTAGAGGAGCAGAGCGAATGAATGAAGTGGAAGTGGGAGGCAGGTGGCTCTGAGGAAGGGAAGTCTGGGTCCCAAAGCCACCACAAGGACAAGACACAAGGCAACCGAGCAATGGGCTAGTGGCTCTTCCCAAGCCACTGAGCAGAGGAAGACTAAACACCCACACCAAGCACGCTGTCCAGGAGCCAGACCAGAGACTGTGAGGACCTCGTTTATATCAATCAGACCAGGGGCAGTAGTTCACTCCTGTAATCCCGACACTTTGGGAGGCCGAGGTGGGTGGATCACTTGAGACCAGGAGTTCAAGACCAGCCTGGCCAACATGGTGAAACCCTGTCTCTACTAAAACTACAAAAATTAGCCAGGCATGGAGGCACGTGCCTGTAATCCAGCTACCCAGGAGGCGGAGGCAGGAGAATCATGTGAACCCGGGAGGCGGAGGTTGCAGTGAGCTGAGATTGCACCACTGCACTCCAGCCTGCGCTACATAGTGAGACTCTGTCTCAAAACAAACAAACAAACAAACAAAAAATCATAGGCCCCCAAGCCACAGCACCAGGAAAGGGGCATCTGGTGCCTCTGAGGAAGACCAAAGGAATACCATCCCACCAGAAAAAACTAAGCGAAAAAAGCTAAGGGAGCAAGGCCATGGGACCACTGTCTCCTAGCTGTGGGGTCGGGCAGTCCCACCCTCTATCCCACCACTCACAGCCTTTCTGAAGAATCCAGGAGCTAAGAAGCTCCTTCTTCCCCACCCCACCACTCCCCAGACCAGATTCAGGAGGGTTAGAGGCATTTTCGGTGACTTAATGATTAACCCTTACTGAGGGTCCCGCCTGCTGCAATCTTTCTCCAAATAATTTGCGATGGCTTGAAAGCGTGTCTACAAATCCTTTGACGTTCCTCTGATCAAAGGGTGGAGCCAAATTCCCCTCCCCTGGATTATGGGCTGGCTGCTAATGAGTAAAATGCGACGGACGTGGTTTCCAAGGCTGGGTCATAAAAGGCCATACAGCTGCCAGCTGGCTCTGTCTTGAGACACTCACACTGAAGCCCACAGAAGTTGGGCTGCTCTGAAGCTGCCAGGCTGGAGAGACCACATGGAGACAGACAGAGAGGCCCAGCAGCCCCGGCCATGCCCGCCCCAGCTGCTCTGGTCAAGTCACACCCTCCCTCAGCCTCAGGCTCCTTGTCTACAGGGTTGCTGAAAGGATTCATGAGATGCTCCACATAAAGGGCTGAACACCCTGCCTGGCACGTGGTACCCTCACTGAAAGGATTCACAAGATACTCTACACAAAGGGCTAAGGACAGTCCCTGACACATGGAGCCCTCATTGAAAGGATTCACGAGATATTTCATATTAAGAAAGGGCTGAGCACCCTGCCTGACACACGGAGCTCTCATTGAAAGAATTCATGAGATGCTCCACATAAAGGGCTAAGCAGAGTGCCTGGGTACATGGAGCCCTCACCAAAAGGATTCACAAGATATTCCACACAAAGGGCTAAGCACCCTGCCTGGCACACGGAGCCCTCATTGAAAGGACTCATGAGATACTCCACACAAAGGGCTAAGCACAGTGCCTGGTTAATGGAGCCCTCACTGAAAGGATTCATGAGATACTCCACATAAAGAGCTAAGCACAGTGCCTGGTACACGGAGCCCTCATTGAAAGGATTCATGAGATACTCCACACAAAGGGCTAAGCACAGTGCCTGGTTAATGGAGCCCTCGCTGAAAGGATTCATGAGATACTCCACATAAAGAGCTAAGCACAGTGCCTGGTACACGGAGCCCTCATTGAAAGGATTCATGAGATACTCCACACAAAGGGCTGAGCACCCTGCCTGGCACATGGAGCCCTCATTGAAAGGATTCATGAGATACTCCACATAAAGAGCTAAGCACAGTGCCTGGTACACGGAGCCCTCATTGAAAGGATTCATGAGATACTCCACATAAAGAGCTAAGCACAGTGCCTGGTACACGGAGCCCTCATTGAAAGGATTCATGAGATACTCCACATAAAGAGCTAAGCACAGTGCCTGGTACACGGAGCCCTCATTGAAAGGATTCATGAGATACTCCACATAAAGAGCTAAGCACAGTGCCTGGTACACGGAGCCCTCATTGAAAGGATTCATGAGATACTCCACATAAAGAGCTAAGCACAGTGCCTGGTACACGGAGCCCTCATTGAAAGGATTCATGAGATACTCCACATAAAGAGCTAAGCACAGTGCCTGGTACACGGAGCCTTCATTGAAAGGATTCATGAGATACTCCACATAAAGAGCTAAGCACAGTGCCTGGTACACGGAGCCCTCATTGAAAGGATTCATGAGATGCTCCACATAAAGGACTAAGCAGAGTGCCTGGGTACATGGAGCCCTCACCAAAAGGATTCACGAGATATTCCACACAAAGGGCTAAGCACCCTGCCTGGCACACGGAGCCCTCATTGAAAGGATTCATGAGATACTCCACATAAAGAGCTAAGCACAGTGCCTGGTACACGGAGCCCTCACTGAAAGGATTCATGAGATACTCCACATAAAGAGCTAAGCACAGTGCCTGGTACATGGAGCCCTCATTGAAAGGATTCACGAGATACTCTACATAAGGGGCTGAGCACAGTGCCTGGCACAGGGAGCCCTCATTGAAAGATGGCTGCAGTGATAATGATTACTGCCATTTAGTGAATCCAGCAAGTCCACTGACCTAACCGCTCCATCTCAGCCCTAGGTAGGCTGCTTTGGGCATCTGTTATTCCTTTAAGGTTCTCTATACTTCTCAGCCCTTTTTATTCCAATCCCCTGTTATACACAGGAGTTGATAGTTCTTTATATTAAAGTTTCCCTGTTCAAAGTACTCTGTGGAGGTCAGCATATATACTGGAATTTCTCACAGGTCAGCAGATATGGCTACAGCATGCACCAGGGTTTTGCCCTATAGATAGTGTATACTCCATCCATGTCTGCCAACCTATGAGAAATTCTAGTATATATGATACATCCCAATTTTACAAGGGAAGAGGAAAAAATTATACTTTACATCATGTATTAATGAAAAATATTTTAAAGTGCTTTATGGAGAAAACATTTTTTATATATTGGCAGCCAATAGATCATGAGTTCTGGATAGGCAGTAAAATTCTACTAACTCTAGAAAAAAAATTATAAAATCCTATCAGTAAAAATGAATATGCTGGTGTCAGGTAAATGTTTGTATATGTCAAGATGGTCACAGAAGTAACCAATTAACATATAAAATGTTAAAGATATTGGTAAGCTCTACCTCTGATCAGCTCTGTTGCTTGTGATGTGTCATTTCTATGAAGAAGATCCTCTCAAAGCTGTGAAATTCACACTTTCACTGAGATTTCTGTGTGCAGCTGTGCACTGCCTCTAGGGGGTAGCATCAACAATATTTTTGTCTTTGACATTCAGCTTTCCAACCATAAGCCAGGTGCAGTCGATAGAGATAATTTTTGAAACATTTTTGATAGCAGGGGAAGGGATGGGGACAAGGAAGGGCCTCTTGTACCAGTAATTACTGGCAGATGGCTTCCACTCTGTGTCTCACAGCATTCTAGGCACTGGAAGTAAAGCAGGGAAGGAAATAAAAAAATATTCATGCAACTTTGCCCCTGATGAGCTCAGTATAGAGGCAGACGTAAGCTTCTGCACATTCTCCAACCTAGATTTCAGTCAAGCCAAAGCCTTTCAAAGGAGAAGACAGTGCCAGGCAACGGGATCTGAGAAGCCTTCATGGGACTTCACCAGGACTCTCTGGTTGCAAGTGAAAGAAACCCAATTAAGAAAAAGAAATGTGTTGGATCACGTACTGGGGAAGTTCATGATCAAGTTCATATCAGAAACAGCTACTTTGGGGCACTCAAATATGGTCACCAGGAAACTCTCCCTCACTCCCCCTGCACTCCAGGTTTTTCTCCATCCTGCTTCATTCTCAGGCAGTTCCATAATGGTAGATAGCTTCTAGGACAGCCTCCAAAGATCTGGCCTCATGGTGTTCACAGTCTTGTGTAGCCCTCCTTGTGTAACTTCCCTCTAACTGATAGAATGGCTCAACATTGAAGGGACATCACTTCTGTGATCAGAGATTGTTACTCACTGTCTCTGATGAAGCAACCTGCCATATGGAGAGGGCCCCAGGGACAGGAACTGAGAGCAGCCTCTGGCCAACTGTCAGCAAGGGACTGTGGCCCTCAGGGCAAAAGCCCACAAAAACGGAATCCTACCAACCACCATGTGAGCACAGCAGCAGATCATTCCCCAGTCCAGCTTTCAGATGAGACCCAAACCTTAGCTAACACCTCGACTGCAGCCTTGTGAGAGCTTCTGGGGCAGAGGACGGACCTCTGGCAGAGGACCTGGGGCTGTCCCTGGATTCCTGGCCCACAGGAACTGTGAGATAACACATGTGTGCTGCTTTAAGCTGTTAGTCTGCAGTCATTTATTTCACAGCAGTAATGACTTACCTCTAGGCTCACATCCTAACAGATTGGCATCTGCAACAGAAAAGGAAGACTTCTTCCCCAGCGCTTTCAACAAACATCCCAGGGCTGGCCCTCATTGGCCCAGCTTAGGCCATGTGCTCAACCCTGATCCAATCCCTGAGGCCTGAGAGATGGGACGTTCTGATTGGTTGTGTGCAAGTCATGAACTGGCCCATGGGAGGGGGAGGAGAAAGTTTACCAACACCCAAGCCACAGGGATTTACAGCAAGGGAGAAATGGTCCCCCAAAAGAAAATGAGGGTGTGACACCAGGGTGAGGAAGCAGACAAGCTCTATCATATGACAGAATCTGAATACGAAATAATGTGGGAGAAGAGATGAGCAACACCACAGAGACGACCACCAGGGCACATAGTAGGTGTTCACTGAACTCACCGACTGGCAAAGCAGACCAAAGCAGTTGCTGACATTTGTTAAACACTGATGTGATGTCAAGCTTAACTACGTTAAGTTTTTCTTACACAATATCTCCCTTAATCCTCACAACATCTCAAGGGGTAGGAGTTCCTCTTCTCCCCATTCACAGATGAAAATGCTATGGCACAGAGACATTAAGTAATTCACCCAGGGTCACAGAGCTAGCCAGTGGTGGAGCTGGGATTCAAACCCAGGCAGCCTGCTGCCTAAGTTCATGCCCTTAATTTCAGTGATGTACTTCAGTTAGCAAGCATAAGCAGCTAGCAGAGGGGCAAACAGTATATAACGAAGCAGTGAGCGATATAAAGCTGACAGGAAGTGCTGTAGTAGTTCATTCCCTCACCCAAACACTTATTTAAATCTTTCGTGAAGAAAGAAAGGGAGTAAGAGGAGTAAGGAAAACTTGAAGGACAAGAAATATTGAGAAAGAAATTCTAGCACCTTTCTCCCTCATACTGTGCTCTCTGCTACAGTGTGAGAGAAGCAGAATTTAGTCACCCTTGTGAAATGACCTGAGATGACAGGCAAATTGATCAAATAGAAGATGAGGCTGCTTCGGAGCCTGTGTAAATGATGCCAGTGCAAACAGCAAGGCCGACACCTCCTCCCCCAATACTTTTCCCCCTGAAATATGCAGACCCTCTCAGCAGCTCAGCCCATACATTTAAGAGAGAAACACTTAACTGGGCTGGGCATGGGGGGTGGTGGGTGGAGAGAGAAAAAAAAATCAAAGAAATAAAATTTCCATCATAAATTCATAGTGCTTTTTAGACAGTTTTCCATTAGAAACAAATGTGTTTGTGCTAAGTGCTACAGAGGCATAGACCAGAGAACTTAGACGGTGCTCCTATTCTAAGATCAAAGCTCCTAGAATCTGGAGAAATGCCATGAGTAGATGGGCTGGCATTCCAAGACCTCTGAGAATTGTCCACAGCCAGAACCACCAGGCACAGAAACTTGGGAAGCACTGGCTGGGTCCTGCCCTCAAGAAGCTACTCTTGGGCAAGAGGTCTGGATTCTAAGAACAAGTCCCCCTTCTTCCACCATCTCCCAACTGCCCCTAGGCTCGACATTTCTCTGTTAACTCAATCTCCTCAGATGTCAGTTCTTTCTTCTGCCATCACGCAATCATACCCTCACTTTCCTTAAATGTCTAGAGATCTTCAGTGGGTGCTGATCCCTACCCAGTATTCCTGGTGGGTGGGATAGACATTTGCAAATCTTTCTGAACTCCCTTTCTATGCCTGAGGAATCCCCCATCTCATGAGGCAGAGGAAATTCACTAGCTACACCTTGCTATATGCGTGCCATGGAATACTAGCCAGCAATTCAAAAAAAATGAGGTAGTTCTGTATGTACCTGGAAGATGGAGATGAATACTGAAGAGACAAGGGGTATATGTATAAAAACAAACTTAAAACAATGGGATACTATAGACTTCCTACAGGAAAAAATACACAGCAAACCAACAATTGATTACCTCTTGAGAGAATATGAAATTGGTCAAAAAGGACTTCAGGCTTATCTATAATACTTCTAAAACCATTTTTATATATTTGAAAGAGATACATTTATGCATTCAGCAAATTGCTTTTATTTTCCTCCTGGCACCCAGAAAAACGACATGTCCCCAGCCCCCACCTTAGAAGGCAGAATGAAATCACACACACACGAACTCTATTAAGACAAGTGTGGTTGTAACACTGGTGGTTCAAGTCCTTTCTCCAAATGCAATCCTACTTCCTGCCGAGGGATTTACCACAAACTAACAACTTTGTGCCCGGTATCCATTCTTTCCTTCTTCCATGGTAACAGAAACCCGGATTTTTAGCAACCTAAGATAAAGACTGAATTTCTCAGGTTCTCTTGCAGCAAGATGTAGCCATGTGACTCAGTCTTCACCAATGAGATACATGAGGCAGCACCATGGGGCTGCTTCTAGGACTCTTCCTTAAATGACAGTTGATGTGTATCCTCTGCCCTTTTTTTAATCTATACCTTCATCCTGGTGCCTGGGATGGAGATGAGATGGCTGCACCTGTAGCTGTCATTTTGAGCCATGAGGACAAAAATCACAACCTTGAAATGGTAAAAAGGAGGGAGAGTCCATAAGTACTTCATGGAACAGATTCAACTTAACAGTCCTGGGCTACATAACTTCAAAATCTTATTGGAAACTTCTGCTTTTTAAGCCACCACTATTTTAAGTCTCTTCACTCACTGATGAACCCAATCTGAACAGATATGCACAGTACATCAAATCTAGGCTTCCTTGTTCCCCCAGAGATGCCCCAAGCATCATCCTTAATGTGTCACTTGAGCTCACTGTATCACAGCCCCCCAGAACCTACAAACCATGGCAGCAAACTCAGAGAGTTTCCACCTGCTCCAACAGGGACCCAGGAACCCTAAGAGCTGGACTCACAACTTAAATATCAGCATTACCGTAGCTAAGATATCCAACGCATTCTTGGTTTCCTCCCCCTCTCTCTCTCCCCTCCTTTTCCATCAGCCCTGCAAGCATCACCCCTTCATTCCCTCATTGAGGTCAGTAAGGTTAACCACTGGCGTGGGTCCCCACACCTTCCTGCACACTTGTAAAATTATGCAAAAGTGCATACGATGCCGTGTATGTGCCAGTTTCAGGGGCAGCAAACAGCAGTGATTAAGAGCCAAACTCCATCACTACCACTGTGTGCTGCCTCTGAAACAGCACACACACCTGCTTCATGGCAATCCTCTTATTTATACAATATAGAATTCCCAGAAGTGGGATTGCTGGGTCAAAGACCAGATGCTACTCTAATCCATATTGGCAGATTATCTTCCAAGTATTCGTCCTCAACCAAAGCAACCAAAATATGTGTGAAGTCACTGGGCTGGGGTTTCAGAGGTCACACACACAATAAAGAAGCCGGAGGAGCTTTGGAAGCAGCTCAAAGGGCAGCCTCCAGGGGCAGGAGGGAGGCAGCATCAGCTCCTTTCCTGGCATAGGGACCCCAGAGGCATCAATCACATGTGAGTGCTCTCCAGACCTGCCGGTTCTCACCACCCTACTTGGTGGTCTGCAGTAGTAGTTTTTCTTCCTTCTGATGCAAGCATCCATATTTTCCTTTGGGAAATAACCTCTGCTCCTCTCTGGCAACGTGGTTCTAATTCCAGTTCCAGAAATGAGCTTCGGACTTAAGTATGGTCGATCAGATTCCATCCCCACAGTCCCAGTCCCTGGCTGAGGGGTCAGCACATGACCCAAATTACTCCAGTAAAAGTCAGTCCTGGGGTTCTTGCTAGGATGACTAGGAAAGAAACATTCTATTTCCGCTGGTTGGAGGACAGGCTGGAGCCAACTGTGGCCAGCTTTGCCATCAGAAGGGGGGAGGCTGTCTGAGAATTAAGTCAACACAGAGAGAAAAAGAACTAAGAGACCAAGTGGCAGACAGAGCAGAAGACCCCATTAGGAGAGTGTTAAGCCCCTGGACCCAGCCATACCTGAAGCCATTTCCCTCTTAAATTTCCCAGCTCCAAGGATGCCTACATTCCCATTTTTGTCCCTTACAACTATGAGAATTCAGACTAAAATAGTGACATACCCTTGCATTGGCACATCATCTCCATTGCAGCATCACATTGGAAACTTAAAATATCATAAGCCTGGGTGTCACAGATTAAACATAAAGAAGGCTATATCCATCTTTTAACCCAATATGAAGAAACACAAGGTTATAAGAGATCTATGGATTGGAATCACACTGAGTATAAAATCACTGATCAGTTCCCTCCACAGCCTCCCTACAAGGGGTCTTCTGTGCTGTGAGCCACTGAGCTTTGCCTACAGAGTAAAAAATATCTCACACACACATGTGCTACTATTTTTTAAATGTTACATAAATCTACTGTAATTACCAAAACCTACTCATTCAAAAGCATTACTAAGTTGATGGCAACTTTCGATCAATCTGTTTTTCTTTTTCCACTGAGAGTTACCAAACCCACAATTCTCATACCGAGGAGCTGGATAATTTTTTCTGACATTAAAAATGATGGCTTGTTTTTGAACACTGTCAGTGTCCTATAAACATACATTCACAGAGCATTCCCTACTTGAACATTTAAGGCAAATTTTGTCTTTAAAAGGACCAGACCAGAGAGCAGACAGGTTATTTAGGCTTTGCAAGCCATATGATACCTGTCACAACTACTTAATTCTGTCACTGTTGTAGAGAAGTAGTTGTAGACAATATGTAAACAAATAGGCACCGCTGTGTTCCAATAAAACTTTATTTAAAAAACAAGTAGAGGGCCAAATTTGGTCCGTGGCCTATGGCTTGCTGATGCCTGGATTAAAGGGTACAGAAAATAACAAGCAACAAGTCAGGAGCCGAGGCCGCCTAAGGGTCAAACAGAATTTACACATCTCTAAAATGTCCTGGAAGTTGATGGAGGAAGTAAAATTTGATTGACACAGACCTTTTCACATACACCTCTACTAAATAAAACAAAAACACCTGTACCAGCAAATGAACAATAAACTGTGCCAGAATCATCACATCATGAACAGAGGAAGAATTTTTTTCTTTTAATCTTAGCGATTTCCATGGACACACAGAGGGGAACAACACACACTGGGGCCTACAGGAGGGTGCAGGGTGGGAGGCGGGAGAGAATCAGGAAAAAATAACTAATGGATACTAGGTTTAATACTTAGGTGATAAAATAATCTGTACAGCAAACCCCCACGACACAAGTTTACCTACATAACAAACCTGCACATGTACCCCTGAACTTAAAATAAAAGTTAATTAAAAACAAAAATCTTAGTGATTTCAGCAGGAAAAATGAATACCAAACTGAGTCTGACAGACCACAAGTCAAATCCTAACTCTGCTCTTTCCAGCTGTGTTTCTCCTGGGGCAAGCAGCATAACTGAGCCCTGGTCGCGTCAAGCATCATTATTAAGATCATCAGCATTATACTAACAATATTCATCATTGCCACTCTTTACTGAGCACTTACTATGTGCCAGTAAACATTCCACAACTATCATCTCATGACCCCTCTTAACTTCATTCTCCTTAATGATGTTTTGTTTCTTTTTGTGACGGAGTCTTGCTCTGTCACCCACGCTGGAGTGCAGTGGCATGATCTCGGCTCACTGCAACTCTGCCTCCCAGGCTCAAGCAATTCCCCTGCCTCAGCCTCCTGAGTAGCTGGGGCCACAGGCATGTACCACCATGCCCAGCTAATTTTTTGTATTTTCAGTAGCGATGGGGTTTCGCTATGTTGGCCAGGTTGGTCTTGAATTCCTGGCCTAATGTGATCCACCCACCTCGGCCTCCCAAAGTGCTGGGATTACAGGCATGAGCCGCCGTGCCCAGCCATTAATGATGTAAAAATATCTCCATCTTACAGATGCAAAAATGCAGGCCATCCTCCACTGGGACTCTTGGGAAGATCAAACAAAAGGCAAAGGCCCAACTCACGGATGAAGTTCTGTTGTTCTGTTTGTTAATTTCATCACTAAGAAATATTGATTTGGTCCCAATTCCAAGTACAGTAATGAGCACATAGTAGACACTCAATAAATATCTACTAAATGAACCCAATTCATCAGCAAATCTTGTGGCTCAAATTTCAGAATACACCCCACATCTCACTACTTCTCACCTCCTCTGCAGCAACCACTCAGTCCAAGCAGCCATTGTCACTTGCCTGGACTACTGCAGTAGCCCCTCAGGGCTTCTGCTCCTGTGAGTCAAAGCAGATCCCTCCTCGGCTCTAACCTGCCAACAGCTCCCATCTCACTCAGAGTAAAACTCAAAGTTCTAACCAAAGACTAGTTTGGTTAGAACTTTCACTGCCCTGGCCTCCTTTCCTCCTGCTGTTCTCTCACTCGTTCAGCCCAAAGAGTGAGGGAACAGCTCTCACTGGCCTCCCTTCTGTCCCTCGACCCTGCCAAGCACATTCCCACCTCAGGGCCTTTACACCTGCTGTTCCCTCTGCCTGGAACACTCTTCCCAAGATAGCCACCTGGCCTCCTCCCTTACCCCTTTAGGTCTTTGTTCAGATGCCACCTTCCTGACTCTGCTGTATAAAACTGCAAACCTGGCCAGGTGCGGTGGCTCACGTCTGTAATACAGCAATTTGGGAGGCCAAGGTGGGTGGATTGCCTGAGGTCAGGAGTTCGAGACCAGCCTGGGCAAACACAGTGAAACCCCGTCTCTACTAAAAATACAAAAATTAGCCAGCCATGGTGGTGAGCGCCTGTAATCACTGCTACTTGGGAGGCTGAGGCAGGAGAATCACTTGAACCCGGGAGGCAGAGGTTGCAGTGAGCCAAGATCACTCCACTGCACTCCAGCCTGGGCAACAAGAGTAAAACTCCATCTCAAAAAAAAAAAAAAAAAAAAACCCGCAAACCCTCCTCCCCAGCGCTCCATCTCTGCTCGCCCACTCCATTTCTCCACAGCACAGACCACCAGGTAATGAACGGTGTGTTTAGTTATTTATTGTGTTCAGTATCCGTCTCTCTCCACCTTAATGCTAACCACAAAGACAGGGTTTTTTGCCTGTCTTTTTCCTGCTGATATCCCCAGCACCACGGACAGGGGCTGGCACAGTGCAGGTGCACAGTAAAAATGTCTCGGAGAAGACAAAGGCAGGAAGGCAGGAAGGATGCAAATTGGAGGGAGTCTCCAGGAACAAGGCCAGCTACAGCGAGTTCAGAGCCCATTTTACAGAAAGGGAAACTGAGTCTCAGGTCAAGAGGCGAGGCCAACACTGCCCAGAATTCCCAATTTCTTGAGAAAAAACAGAAACCTGTATAGTAATATTGACAGCTCCCAATTTTTAAATGTCGGCAACTAATAAGAAAAGTCTGCAGGCCAGATATGGCCCAGAGGCAGCCAGCAGCCCTCCACCAGCCTGGAAAAGTTATGATTCGCTGCTGCTTAGAGACAAGTTTTCTAGCAAAATAACATTTTCCATCTACACCATGCCTCCCCCTTCCCTTCCCTTGCCCAACCTAGAGACTCGCAAAAAACAGGTTCCCCTCCCACCCGGCCCTCCCACCTCTGCCATCTCTCTGCCCAGGTGCCCCCCAACCCCACTGACCTGGCCCCCTCTGCTCGCCAGGAATGCTAGCAGCCTGCAGCAGCAGATGGCACAACTACAGAAAGGAAAAATACCAAGCCAAAGACATAAATACGTCGGCAGAGTACACAACACGGAGAGGACCCAGCAAACAAAGAGCCGCAGACTCCGGGAGCCAGGAGATGAGGTGCTGCCAGCCCCACTTCCAGAGTTCCAAAAACAAAGCCAAGACCCCTTGGAAGGCCCGGGGGAGTCACCCCAGGAGTGCCGGCTGCAGCCACGGCAGTATTTTCATGTGTCCATTTGCTGTGATGTGTTGAGAGCCCCGGCAGGAGGCATTCAGGACACAAAGCAGACATCTGAGGCATGATTTACTGAGTCACCCCTCCCGGGCACTGCATCCCGGACTCGGAGGCGTGGCCACAATGAGTAAGACCCCCCCACCAACGGGTTAATTCAGACCAGGCTCGGAGCACCGAGCAACTCTATCACCCTCAGTAATAAAATACAGCAAATCAAATTGGACTGTATTGATTTTTTATGTAACTATTTTAGGGCCGAAGCATAAGGAGAGGGTATTGATCAGTTAAGAGTCAGGTGTCAGGAAAGGGAGACAGGAGCACCCTGGCTGCAGAACCAGCTGATTTTGCCAAGGGAAGGCACTGGAATTCAACTCCAAAGAACCCAGGCTTCTTTCTCTCCTGCCCCCAGCCGGCAGAGAATGGGCATTGAGAGTCCATTCTGCCCTGAATGGGAAGATGGAAAGCCACACAGCTGGTGGAGCAGGAAAGCGATGACCAGCTCCTCTGAGCTCCTCTGCTTCATTTCTCTCCCCATGGCACTTGACATTGAAGTTCAGATTTCTTTGTCCACTGCTTCACTGTTGTCTTGCTCTGCAAGAATGACAGAGTGTGGGATTTGTCTCTTTTGTTCCCTGCTGTGTCCCAAGTGCTTAGCCCCGATTTATACCTCTGTTCAATGAATGAATGAATGAGCTGGTTGCCATTTCTTGAGCACTTGCTGTGTGCCAGGCACTCTGCAAAGAACCGTGCAAGGATTCACATGCCTTCTGCCTGGAACCCCCTTCTCTCAGTTGGCTCTTTCTGGTCATTAAGGTCTCAAATTAGAAAACTGCCACCTCCTCTAAGAAGTCTTCCTGGATCGCACAGTCACTCTTCATCATATCGCCTTGCATTGACCATGAAAAACACAAATTAATGTCTGGGATTTTCCTGTGGGTGTATTTATGAGCTTCTTATTTGTCTCCTCATCATCACCCAACCTGCCCTAGAACACAAGCCCTGGAGATCACAGGCACCCAGGCCTGAGGGCAGGGAAATTGAGGCAAAACTCCAGGACAAGAAGGCACCATCAGGGCAGAAGTCATGAGCTCTGGGGAGGAGACCCTACCTTGCCATTCATGGATTGACTTATCTTGAGTCAGTCCCTAGGTTCCTCTGAGCCTCAGTGTCCCCATCTGAGGACACATCCTACCCCTCACTCAACAGTTGCCCAAGAATCCCATGAAATCCTGAAGTGAGAAACCACTTGGCAGACGGCTGATGGTTCATGATTCTTCTCTTTGCAGCTGTGATGGTTGCATGTGTCCCCAGTCAGCCCTTCCTTTCTTGCCTCCTTTCCTGTCCTGGGACTCGTGCCCTGTGCTAACAGCCTCAGGGCTGTTAGGCTGTTGTTGTTAGCACAACAATGGCATCAGCACGCCGTTGTTGTTTACAAACCTCTTTCTTGCTGAACCACCCAGCCTTGTAATGAGAACAGCCAGGGAGAATTTCGGCGCCCATTTTACAGATGGGAAAACTGAGTCTCACAGAGGCCAAGGGGCTAAACCAGTATTCCAAGATCTCCCAATTTATTGAGCAAAGACAGAAACTGGATTGTGACACTGACATCTCTGAATTTGTAAATCCTGGTGACTAACAAGAGAAGTTTGCAGCCATCCGCCTTCCAGGGGCCTTCCACATCTGCTGTTTCCACAAACGCCAAGTCCCTCCTGCCGAAGCAGGCCGGGGCTCCCGAATGAGGAGGTGGACTTTAGAAGGGACAGGTTTCAGCCAGGCATGGTGGCTCAACACCTATAATCCCAGCACTTTGAGAGGCCAAGGCAAGAGAATGTCTTCAGCCCGGGAGTCTGAGGCTGCAGTGTGCTATGACTGAGCCAATGCACTCCAGCCTGGAAACAGAGCAAGACCTCATTTCTAAAATAAATGGGGGTTGGGGGAGGGGAAAATTCTCCAAACTCTGTTTCTCACAAAAAACCCAACTCTCCCCTTGACTCAAGACACATCCCTTAATCCCTTGGGTGCAAATCAGCCTCAAAATCCAATAAATTGCACCAAAACTTCAGTGCCCATGAACTGAATGTAGTAGCTAAGAGAACCAACTCTGGGACAGACACACCAGGGTTCACACTTGCACCCCATCACTTATTGGCTGTGTGACTTTGCAAACCTCACATTGCCTCTCTGGGCCTCAGTTTGCGTATCTGTAAAATGGGACAAACAGAAGTCCCTACCCCATTAGGGTTGTTGAAGAATCCGTGAAATAAAATCTAACGAAGGGCTAAGAACACACAGTGTGCCCAACAGCAGGGTTAGTTATTGTGTTACTACTAATTCTGAGGTACATGATTCTTCTCTTTGCAGCTGTGATGGCTGCAGCACGTGTCCCCAATCAGCCCTTCCTTTCTTGCCTCCTTTCCTGTCCTGGGACTCATGCCCTGTGCTAACAGCCTCACGCATCAGCACACCATTGTTATTTATGAACCTCTTTCTTGCTGAAGTCCCCAGCCTTGTAATGAGAACAGCCAGGGAGAATTTTGGGGCCCATTTTACAGATGGGAAAACTGAGTCTCACAGTGGCCAAGGGGATAAACCAGTATTCCAGTGCATGAGACCAAAATTCGGCCTGCCAAAGTCTTGCCCTTCAACATAGCCATCTAATCACTCAGGGGCACAGAATCTGAAAGGACTCCCAGTTGCCTACAGAGTTGACTCTGATGTGTTTGATTTCTACGGCTCTAAGCCTTAGTTTGCGTTAATACATTTATTTGTTGCAAAGAGAGAGGGAACAGAAAGGAAGTGAAAGACTCGGCAAAGGCTAGCACATCAAAGGAGCTTAACGACTACCCACCACCTGGGAGTATAAGCCTGGCTGGTTCAGAGGCCGGGCCACACCATTCCGCACAAGGCTAGAGAGTGAAATTTGGTTGCGTGAGGTGCTGGGTAAGACACAGACCAGTGCCTGGGCTGGGATCCTAATCCTGTGTGACCTCAGCCAAGTTACTTAGCATCTCTGGACCTCCAGATCCTCCCTTGTAAACTAGGAATAATGAGAGTGTCCACTTGCCAGAGTGGTGAGCATCCCATCAAGTTCATGCAGGGAAAGGCCTGGATGGTGCCTGCAGCACAGGAAGAAGCACCTGCTTTCATCACCACCCCTTCCCCATCACCATCACCATCACCACCACCACCCCTTCCCCATCACCATCACCACCCCTTCCCCGTCACTGTCACCATCACCACCACCACCCCTTCCCTGTCACCATCACCACCCCTTTCCCGTCACTGTCACCATCACCACCACCCCTTCCCCATCACCATCGCCACCCCTTCCCCATCACCATCACCACCCCTTCCCCACCACCACCACCACCCCTTCCCCGTCACCATCACCACCCCTTCCCATCACCATCACCACCCCTTCCCCATCACCATCACCATCACCACCACCACCCCTTCCCCATCACCACCCCTTCCCCGTCACCATCACCACCCCTTCCCCATCACCACCACCACCCCTTCCCCATCACCATCACCACCCCTTCCCCATCACCATCACCACCCCTTCCCCATCACCACCCTTCCCCATCACCATCACCACCCCTTCCCCATCACCATCACCACCCCTTCCCATCAACATCACCACCCCTTCCCATCACCACCCTTCCCCATCACCATCACCACCCCTTGCCATCACCATCACCACCCCTTCCCCATCACCATCACCACCCCTTCCCCATCACCACCCCTTCCCCATCACCATCGCCACCCCTTCCCCATCACCATCACCATCACTATCACCATCACCACCCCTTCCCCATCATCACCATCATCACCCCTTCCCTATCACCATCACTATCACCATCACCATCACCATCACCACCCCTTCCCCATCACCATCACCACCCCTTCCCATCACCATCACCACCCCTTCCCACCACCACCCCTTTCCCATCCCCATCACCACCCCTTCCCATCACCATCACCACCTCTTCCCATCACCACCCCTTTCCCATCCCCATCACCACCCCTTTCCCATCACCATCACCACTAAGACTTGCTCTCTAACTTTCGGATTTGACACTGGCTGTCTTGGCCAGGCCAGGCGGCTGTCATTCTCATGACCTTGGGATCCTTGTATGGAGTCACAGTTCCCTAAAGGACTGTATGGTAGAACTCCTCTACCAGAAGAGCTCCCAGGTACAGGGTTAGAAAGTCATAGGTGAGGAGTTAAGGAGAGGGGAGCCCAGGCCTCCAATTCACTGTGTGACCCTGAACAGGCGGTCCCTGTGCCCAAGTCTCCTTCCCATCTGCCGGGGGCTGCTGAAGGAGGGGCTCTGAGGCACCCTCTTGCTCTAGAAGTCAACCCACCTACTCTGCTGAAGAGTTGGCAGCACCCCCGTCACCCACGGTACCAGGGTGCCTCCATCTCGCCACAGTGATTGCTGAGTCCCATGGCTTCAGGGGAAATGGACCCCCTCCATCCCCATTCAAATTGAGACACAGAAGAGAAGAAAGGAGCCACCCAGCCACATAGAGCTGGGAGACGCATCTGGGAACAAGGCCCCTGAAAGGGCTTTGCCGGCCCAGAGACCACCCCCACCCCAGACTCCCAGCCAACAAATGAGGGTTTTCTTTTGCTCCCTTGGATCAAGGCAACCACCGTGCTCATTGTTGGCTCTGAGTGCAGTAGCTCATGCAGAAGCCCCACGCCTCCCCAACTCCCTGCATCCGGTGGGAGGAGAGGGGATGAAATGATTTACTCTGGGAACCTCCACTGTGCAGCCATTAAATCACTGGAGAAGGCGACGACATTTGCATACCACTCCCCACCACTTCCCAATGCCACCTCTCTGAAGGGCAGCGCCACACACAGGCACCCCCCCCATCACTATTGTAATGAGAAATATACCACATGCCACACCAAGGTGCCAGGCAGGAGGAAGAGAGCCTCTGCCCTGAAAGCCAAAGCTCCCCCCTGCCACTCAATGTGGCCCCTCTGTCGTGGGGCAGGTGGGGGTGCTCCACCCACCCTGATTTCATAGACCCTAGACCCCCGTGCATAATGAGTCAACGAAGCAAGATTCGTTCATTTTCCTCAGCAGGGACTGTAACTGCACCGCTAATTTGCAAAGCCACAGCATGTACAAAAGTGGCTCGAATAATAGGGGCCCCCTAGTCGCTAAGCTGGGGGATTTGTGCTGACTCTTACCAAGTACAGTTCCATATGTTTAAGCACTTGCAAGGCTGAAAGAAGTACACCCACCCTACTCTTTACCATGGCAGCTACCCACGCAGGAAGGGGGGTGGGGGACAAAGAAGCCAGTCCCTGCGTGTGTGTGATGGGAGACAGTGTGCGCATCTTTGCCTCTGAACTCTTCCAGCCCCTCTTCCAGAGCCTCAGCCAAAGGGGGTCGGTAAACCATGGCAGAAATCACCCAGAAAATCCAACCAGCCCTGAAGGAAGCTCTGGTTAATTCCTCTGAACCTCTCAAAACCAAGTGTAGGCAGCTAAGTATCTTTCAGGAATTTCTTTTTTTCTTTTTTTTTTTTTTTTTTTTTGCCATCCCTCCTAACTAGTGCTAAATATAGAGTTATCAAACTGTCGTCTCTTTATGTCCCTGGTAGGGACCAGTTAAAGACTTGCATGTGCTTCCAGGGACGGGGCGATGGCACTGGGGGCTCTGCCCGGACGGCATTTGTCGGAACGAGCTGCCCTGCTGAGACTCTCCCAAAGAACAGCAGGGGAGCAGGCAAAGAGCCGGCCAGCAGCAGGTTTCAGTGGGAGCTCACCTTCCCTCCCAACATGGGGCCTTCCAGAGCCAGGCACAGGCTCTTCTGTTGCTGGGGGAGAGGGCGGGGGACGGGGGTGGGGGGGTGGTAGGGGGACCATCCTATTCTCTTACAAAGCATTATGCAGGCAGCTTCTCTGAGAGACTTCCGATATTCACTTATAAGCACATCCAGGCAAATGCTGACCCCCGTGGAGAAACAAAATAGAGACAAAACTGCAATTTTCAAGTCCGAGGGACTGCACTTTTGCAAACAGGTCCCAGGGCTTCAGCTAAGAGAAAACAGCCTCGGCCCCAGCAGCAGCCCCTCTCGTGGACCGCAGAGGAATGCCGAAAGCAAAACAGCTATCATAGCTGCTCCTTAGCCAAGCAGGCAAGATTCATCCACGTTAAGCCCAATGCCATTCTCTAGGCTGAACCAAAGCCGAACGCTGACGGAGATCTCCAATAGAAGGTTTTCTTCAAGTCGAAGGTGTTGGTAAATATTTTGGGTCACTTAAGGGCATCTCAAAGGAAGCCGACACTGACTTTTTCCATGCAAATAAAATACATCGAACATCAAGTTGACATGCCAGGTTTGCTCCTAACTGCAACCTTACCAAGACAGTGAAAGCCGAAAAGTTATAGTTGTATTTTTCTACTGCATTCTGCCTGTCTGTGCGATTTGTTTGTTAAGGAAATGGGGAGAGATTTTCTAAAGCAAAAGCTACCTGTTCCCAAATCATGGGTCTTGATTTTAAAAGGTTTGGAGAACTGAGATTTCAAAAGCACATGAAGGCTGCTCGTGACTGTTCCCGGGGTTCATCTGAGCCTTTAGGATTTTCTCCACTGCTTGCATGGGGTGGGGGGAGGGGAGGAATTGTCATTTTAGGATACGCTTTCTATAGAACCAACATGTAGCCACACCAAGGTGGGTAGAAAGCTTTCCAAACTCCAGCGAAGACAGACAATACCTGACTATTTTGCTTTTCCCACTCACTAGGATTGGGCGACAGCTGAGCTGGTTCAGCAGGGAGTCCAGCTCCCCGGTGCCCAGGCAATGGCTCTGGACAGCACCGCGTTCCAGGCTCCCCGGCGCGTCCTGGACTGCTTGGCCGCGGCTACCCTCTCCCGCCCGCCTTGGGGTCAGGGCGCTGGAGTAGACCGCGTTTGCAGGAGGCGCGCAGCGGGCTGCTCTTTGGCCAAGAGGAGGCCATTTGGCGAGGGTGGGTAGCTTGGGGAGGGCAGTGTGAAAGCAGGGGAGGGCCGCGGGGCGTGGGGAGGGGCTGCGGACAAGCCAGACAGCGCCGGCCGAGACATCTCCGGGGCCCGCAGGTGTCCCGGGAACGCACCACTGTGCGACCGCGGGCAGCAAGACACTGGAGAAGGGCTGCGTCGACGCCCCCGCCCAGCAAAACCCCTGGAGGAACTGGGACCTGGGGGGGATTTGGCCCAAGGCAGGGCGGGGAGGGGGCTCGATTCCTGCAGTCGCGTCCCCACCCGCCTCGAGAGGCTGAGTGCCCCGGTCTGTGGCCCCCGTGCGTCCCGAAAGGATCCGCAAGGAAGCTAAGGGTTTGGGGGAGAAGGCAGGCGGGCTCTCCCCAGGCGCTAGGCAAAGGGGAACGCGCCGGGGGCTCCTGGGTTCCCAGGGTCTCCCCAGGTCTGTCCAAGTCCGGGAGATGCGCGCTGCCAGGGACTTGAGAAGGAGGTAGCCGCCCGTTCACCCAACTTTGTGCGCCTCGGCCGGGGTCGGGGATGGGGTCCGGGGACGCGTTACCTGGGCACTGGAGCGCAGTCAGCGCCAGCAGGAGCCCGAGCGGCGGCGCCCGGCCCGGGGGCGGCATGGTCCTCGGCGCGCGGTGGGTGCGGCGCGGGGCTGCTCCTCTCGCGCGCCCGGCCCGGCCCGCGGCTCCCGGAGCAGCCCCCGGCGGCTACGCCCGGGCGCCGGGCATGGCTCGCTCCCAGCGCGCCGCTCCTCCCCAGACGCATGCGCCGGCGCTGGCGGCGCTTCCTCGGCTGCGCCTCTGCGCGCTCTCCTGGGCTCGGCCGTGCGTGGCTGGGGAGCTGGGGCGGCCGAGGCTCAGCGCCCCGCGCCCTGGCCGGCTGCCCCGCAGTTGGCCCGAGTTGCGCGGCCCCCGCCGCCGCCGCCGCCGCGGCTCCTGCGCCCCAGCGCCCGTCCCATCCCGGTCGCGCCGCCGCCGCCGCCGCCGCCTCTGCCATCGCCATCTGCCGGCCGCCCCTCGAGCCAGCGAGAGAGTGAGCGAGCGAGCGAGCGCCGGGGGGAGGAGGAGGAGGAGGAGGAGTAGGAGGAGGAGGAGGAGGAGAGGAGCGGAGGGCGGGGCCGCGGCCGGGGGAGGGGCCGCCCGGGAGCCGGGGCACAGGCGGCAGCCCGGCCAGTAGGCGGCGGGACGCGCCACTGCTCGGCGGTTCGGGGGAGGGCGCCCGGCCGGGAGGCTCCGGGAGCCCGCCGGGGGTCGCGGGCGCTCGCGGGTACAGGGGCTGCGGGAGGGGTGCGCAATGCAGAGAGGGGATGCCCAGCTAGATCCGGCGTCTTGGGGCGCAGCGGTAGGAGTTGCCAAGGTCGAGGGGTGAGGAGGCCAGCGGAGGGTCACCGGGATGGGGCAGCGACCTCTGGAGAGGTGGTGTCTGCCGGGGCCAGAGACTGCAAGACTGAGCGCGGACAGGAGGTCCCGGGTTAAATGTGGCACAGCTAGGGAGTGCCTGTGGGAGAGGGGAGAGGAGAGAGGGGAGGGCCTCCGGGAGGCCGAGGCTGTGTGCAGAGCCTCTGCACGGCACCGGGATGGGGGCTAGGGGTGCGCAGGCTGGGTGCGGTGACCTGAAACACAGCGAAGGCGGCCTGGGGATGGCCACCCGGGTGAGGCAGGGTCCCTTATTTACCCAGGCTAGAGGATGCGCCTTCCCATTTCGCGCAGGCCCTAGGAGCACGCGGAGGCAGCCAGGAGTTCTCCTGGGAAGGGCAGATTCCCTGGCGGTCCCGGGAATGAGTTCCCAGCGCAGGGTCAGGCAGTGACGGAGCGGAGGTGTTGCGCAGGGCCGGGTACTAGGTGGTCGAATTCTTCCATCCAGGGGCAGGGACGCAGCCAGAGTGCGGAGGGAGGTCACAGGTCACACGGAGCCCCAGTACCTATTATCCCAGAAACCACTGATCCTCCTGGGCGCCCCACCCCCAACCAGGGCAAAGCCACGGGGGGCTAAGCCGAATGAATGAGTCATGCTGGGAGCATGTGGGGGAGCCTCCAGCAGCGCTCAGATGCCTTCAAGCTTCCCCACCACGCTGGGAGGACAGGGGATATGGGGGGTTGCCCACCTGGGAGGGTGGCTTGGAGTCCTGGCTCCGCCCCAGCCCCCACCACACCAGCCACTTGCTCTGCCATCTCAGTTTTCCATGAAAAAGTGGGTCAAACTCTTTGAAAATGGTCAATAAGGCAGCGTGGGGTGATGAAAAGACAGATTTGGGGAAGGCTCTGGAGTCATGGAGTCTTGGCTGAGAATCCCAGCTCTGCCGCTCCTTAGCTGTGCAAGCTGGGGCGAGTCCCTTATTCCTCCCTGAGCCTCAGTTTTCTCATCTGAGAGATGGAAGGCATTGCACATCACCTGGTGTCCCCAATAACACATACAAAGCCCCTGACCTAGGAAGTCGGAACTCATTTAAAGGAGTCAGTGTCAACATTATCATTCTCATCATCATGGCCATTATTATGATAGATCTGATTTTCCTCTGCGGGCCCAGAGCTCACATCAGAAGGACAATCCTCCCCACTCCCGGCTGCCAAGAGGGGATGGGGGACAGGGCACCTGCTTGATTAGTACAGACAAGCTCATTAGCAGAGGCAGCACTCAGTTCTTCCTAGATAAAAGAAGGAAGAAAGCCAGGGGCAGGTGGTGAGTCTCCAGCCCAGGTTAATTAGGAGACGTAAAGGGATTTTCCCGTGGCTGTTAATCGGCTTCCTTTACAAGGGGCCCATGCCCAGGCCAAGCCCCCTTTGGGCTCCCTGGCAAGGCCTGCAATGTGTGGAGAGCCATACAACAGGCTGGACGACGGGATTGGGGGTCTCCTCGGGCTTAGGGTGGCCTTGCGAGGGGCCCATCTGTCCCCTTTCTGTGACCCTTTCCCCAGATAAGAGGATGATCCTGGAGACGTGGTCAGGACTCTCTTAGGGTCCTCTGTGCCCGGCTGCCCCCAACACCTCTTTCCTGTTCACTTGTTCATAAGCATCTGCAGAGCTGAGCACCTACTGTGTGCCGGCCTCTGCAGGGGATGGTGAAGCAGAAATGAATGGACGACAGCAGGGGAGAGCCACAGCAGGAGTGACCGCGGGGTGCTGGTGCCAAGGTGAACCGTGTGTTTGACCAGGAAGCAGGTCAGTGAGGCTGGGAGACTGTGGCCAAAGATAAAAGTCATTTTCTGGCAGGGTAAGGGGTCATTCTGTGGCTTTAGTGGCGGTGCTTGGAGAGGGTTGTGAATCAGTCCAGCAAGTCCCCAAGCCAGTGGTCACACAGTCCCAGGTGTGATGGCAGATGGCAGTTGCCTTCCCCCCAACCCCACACTCAGGACTACCTGGTCATACTCCAAGAAAGCACCTTTCAGTGGGGAAGGGCACTTCCCCATTAAAATATGCTGATGGTGGTTGAGCCAGACGCTGAAGAGAGGAATCTCCTTTTGAGGGTAGCTTTTCCATGCCCCAGCTGTGTGACTCTGGACAAGCCCCTAATCCTCTCTGAGCTCATACGTGGGGTAGGGATGAGAATTCCAGCCTGGCTCAGCCTGTCTTGTGGTTGGATGAGGATTTCTGCATATTAACCATGCCCCTAAGCCTGTATCTCTAAAGGGGGTGTTTCTGGAGGAAATAAGCAGGGGAAAAAAGCCTCCCTGGATTCTGAAGGGCGGGGGGGAATCTGAGAGGCTGGCGGCAGTAACGAGGAGACCCCAGGGCTGAGCGGAATTCTCCTCTCACTCCTACCTAGACTCTCGCCCCCAGCCTGCTGGCCTCATAGCCTGGGCAGGACCGTAAGAATTACACAGCCTACAATCTCCCCCTAAGTATAGATGGGATACTGAGTCCAGGAATTGTCCTTCTCCTGGATCTGTAAGTGTGGGGAGGCCGACTCGACTAACAGCCAGCCTCGAGCCCCAGCATAGCCATGCAAGGCTTCCTCAGGCCGCACCACCCCCTGCACAGCAAGAGACTGCCTCCAGCACGGATTGCTCCCGGTCCGTCCCCGCACCCCAGTTCTGCTGCAGCTCAGCCCACGCGCCCGCCGGGCTACCGGCGAAGAGCAACATTGCCATCTCGTGGCTGAAACTGGAACTGCAGGTCTGGAGGGCGCTGCAGAAGGAAGGTCAGGGTGGGGGTGCGGGTAGGGGTGAGATGGAGGCGAATAGGCAGAGAGGTTTCCCCACCTCAGCCAACTGGCAGCGGCAATAACAGACCCCTTTGCCCTTGAACGCCAACACGCAGGCAGCTGCTGCCGTGGTGACCACCCGTTGAAATTCTTTGCAAAGCCTGGGACTGTTTGTTGTCCATTGCACACATCGATGTTTCTGGCATGTTCAGGGAACACAGAATTGACTTAGATTGCATTTGCACCACAGGTGAGTGGTAGGGGAAAGGGGCCTCTCAAAATAGAAGCCAAGCTCACTTATACAGGTAATCAAGGATTTACTAAGAATAAAGAATTTCAAGAAATCAGTTACTTGCACACCTGGACATATGGACCCATGATGGAAGGAAGGAGCCTCTTTATGGCAACTTGCAGTCATCCATATCACTCTCTGTCCCCTCCCCTGCTTTGTTCTTCTTCGTAACAGTGGCTACCACCCAGCATCATATGTACAGAGAGTGGCCCAATCAGTCCTGGTTATATTAATGTATGAATGAAAGGAGCTCAGGGCTGGACAGTACAGTAAGCACTGAGCCCTGGGATGTGAGCCCATGAACACTCAGACCAGGAAGGACTTGACTTCCCTTCCAGGTCCACTCCCAACTGGGAGGAGGCCACAGGGGAGAAATGGCTTTCTGGTGTGTTTGAGCAGAAAGCACCTTGAAGAGCTCTGACCCCTGGCTTCCCAGGATAAAATGATTCCTGGACCGGCAGGGGCTGGGAAGGGTGTGAGGTGGCAGCCAGGGGTGAAGGCACCATCGGGATGGGATTTTGGAGCAAGTGTAAAGTGTGCTAGAGCAGAACAAGACTAATAACAAATAATAATGATAATAATAAATAATGATGCATCATTGAATACATACCAGACACTGCTCGAAGCAGTTTGCACGTGTGTTGGTTTTTAATGGTGGTAAAATGCACATAACATGAAATTTACCATTTTAATCACTTTAAAGTGTACAATTCAGTGGCACTTAGTACATTCGCAGTGCTATGCAACCATCACCACTCTCCAGTTCCAGAACTTTTTCATCACCCAACCAGAAACCTGGTACCCAATCACTCCCCATTCTCCCCTCCCTTCCACCCTTAGCACCCACCAGACTACTTTCTGTCTCTATGAATTTGACTGCTCCACTAACTAATTTAAGTGGGATCATACAGTGTGTGATCTTTTGTGTCTGGCTTCTTTCACTCAGCATCGTGTCTTCAAGGTTCATCGACGTCGTACCCTGTCAAAGCTTCACTCCTTTTTATGGCTGACTAATATTCCACTGCGTGGGTAGAACATGTTTGTTTGTCCATCATCTGTTGATGAACATTTGGGTTGCTGTCTACCTTGGAAACACTATTATGAATAGTGCTGCTGTAAACATTCATGTATAATTTTCTGTTAGAACACCTGTTTTCAATTCTTTCGGGCTTGCGTGTTTTGATTCATTTAATCCCATAACCATTTTATTGGCTGAGAAAACTGGAGCACAGAAAGATGAAGCAATTTTTCCATGGCTGCACTGTCAGCCAGCAAATGGCAGAATCATGTTTAACCCCAAGCAGTCCAACCCCAGTGTCTGTTAACCAAGATGGATGAGTTAAGCCAACCATCCCTTCTCCACCCACCATGCCTCAGCACAACCCAAGACCCCCAGGAACTAGAAGCAGCCCTGTCTCCCTTCCCAAGAGGCTCCCTATTTGTTTGAGTGGCAACATGCCCAGCCCTGGGGACGGGGTCAGAATCCTAACAGGTCTCAGCCTACCACATTCCCTCAAGCCAGGGACGGTTCTGGAAGAGGCAAGGGGGTCAGAGTGACCAATGAGATGTAAAGAGGAGCTGGAGGAGGACCACTTTCCTTGATCAAACAAGAGAGACAAAGTTCCTTTTTGCCCTCTTCCCTCTTCCTTCTTGGCAGCTTGTTGAGTACAAGTGTGATGGGAAGGGCCCTGGCAGCCTCTTGTGCCCATGAGGCACCACAGTGCCCACTGATGGCTACTGGTGGGAGAGTGGAAAGACAGATCCTGGCAACATCCTGGAGCCAATGTGTCACCCCAGAAGTGCAGTCCCAAGGCCAGGGGCACTCACTGAGCTGATATTCTGCATTGAGCTCATAAACTGCATTGTTTAAACACTGCTATTTGGACATCCGTTACTTTCAGCAAAAAGCAGCCTAATTAAGAAAGGTGGTGTTTTAGTCAGAGTCTCCAGAAAGACAGAGAACCTATAAGTCCCAGCACTTTGGGAGGCCAAGGTGGGCAGATCACCTGAGGTCAAGAGTTCGAGACCACCCTGGACAACATGGTGAAACCCTGTCTCTACCAAAAATAAAAATAATTTTTTTAAAAAAAGATATACAGAACGAAAGCTATGCAAAGGGATTTATTAGGGGTATCAGCTCACTTGATTGTGGAGGTGAAAAAGTCTCATAAGAGGCCATCCACAAGTGGGAGACTGAGGGAAGCCAGTGATGGGGCTCAGTCCCAATCCGAAAGCCTCAGAACCAAGGAAGCCAGTGGTGTAACTCTCAGTCCAAGCTGAAGGCCTGAGAGTTTGCAGGGTTGGGGGCTGGTGTAAGTTCCAGAGTCCAAAAGCCAGAGAACCTGGAGTTCGATGTCAAGGTCAGGAGAAGGAGGGCAACCCAGATGCAGAAGAGAGCACGCATTCACCCTCCCTCTACCTTTTTACTGCATCTGGACCCCCGCCAGCAGAGGAGCTTCCGTACTCAGGTCACAGACTCACATCCAGTCCCCTCCAAAAACACCCTCACAAGCGCACCTGGGACAGCCCAATCATCCTAATCAAATACCAAACCACCTGGGCTTCCCTTTCAGCAGAAGAGGGACAACCCCACTCCCTGCAGGAGCATTGAGGATAAATAGTGCTTTCCCAGCTATCTGGGCACCCCTTAATCCAGGCAAGTTGACAGCCAAATCAACCATCACGGTGGGTTCAGGAAAAGCCCCAAGTGGACTGTTATATGCATTTATCCCATCAACAAAATAGCCTGAGACCTTAAGTCAAATGGTTAAAAAAAAAAAAAGTAGAAAATTCTATTTCTTTTAAACTGACTTTGTGAGAGTTATATTGTTATTATTAGTTCTCTGATGTGGCATAACTCAGTATTTTTCAAATTCTTTGTTCCTCGCAGAAACTCAAAGATACAAATATTCAAAAAGCAAAACTGCCACCTTTAAAAGATAAACACTTCTAATATTTTAATGTATTTCTCCAGTCCCTTTCCTATGCATACTCGACATAGTTTTTTTAATTAAAAATGGGTTCACATGATATGTACTGTTTTAAATTGCTCTTCATATGTAATTATATATTGTGAACATCTTTCCATGGCATTTAAATGTTTTTCCATATGATAATTTTAATGATGTTGCACAGTCCTATCATTGGATATGCTGTAATTTGTTTAACCAATTTTTATGATGCCAAACATTTGAAGTCATTTACAATTTTTCACTGTTAAAAAGCAACAGTCTTATTCCTGCACCATTATACATGTGCAAGATGAGTTCTTCGGGATGTATTCCTAAAAATGCATTGTAAAATGAAAAGATACGCAGTTTAGAAATTTCACATTAACTGGCTCTCCGAAAACTTATGCTGATTCGAATTCCTGTGAATGTACGGCAGTGCCATTTGCTCAAATCTTTATTCAAGGTCTACAAACTCAACCTGGTTAATTGACTCATTTTAAACCTACACTCTCTGTGTTATGCAACTATTAAAAGATTAAAACTTCAGGTATTCATTCTATATCAAGAATTGGTAAATATCAAGATAATTCAATAAAATTTAGAAAATCAGTGAAATCATCACTAGTTGTAATTTTACCATTACCTATTACATTTTTTTTTTTTTTGAGACGGAGTCTTGCTCTGTCACCCAGACTGTAGTAAAGTGGTGCGATCTTGGCTCACTGCAACCTCCACCTCCTGAATTCAAGCAATTCTCTTGCCTCAGCCTCCCGAGTAGCTGGGACTACAGGCATGCACCACCACACCTGGCTAATTTTTGTATTTTTAGTAGAGATGGTGTTTCGTCATGTTGGCCAGGCTGGTCTCGAACTCCTGACCTCAGGTGATCTGCCTGCCTCAGCCTCCCAAGGTGCTGGGATTACAGGCGTGAGCCACCGCACCCAGCCTTATTACACTACTTTTAGGTCCACTACCCCTTGTTAAAAATCTGGAGATCTGTCCAGATGTGAAGGGCCATAATTATTCCATTGTTGAGAAAATGGGTGGGTTGTCACATCTGCATAGCTCTTTCTCTTGACCACATTTGCCTTTGTATGCTTACAAATATTTTTGATTTCTCTTGCAAATTACATTTATTCTTTAGTCCTTTGGGAGAGCTTCCTGTGGGAAAATTGGAGCACATTTAGAACCACACTAGGATTAATGTTAATTAGGGTTGCAAAGCACTACAGCTCCATGGAGGTACAGGAAGTGATCCCTTCGGCACGGACAGGATGGAGTGGAATTACAGAAATGTCATGGGGAGGTGAGACGGCTGCTTGATGGATGTGGTCCTGCACGTCCTCTCTGAGGGCCTGCCTTGGAGTTGCCTGGCTCGCCAAGTCACTACATTTAGCCTACAAGGAGCCAAGAGTTTTCTTCTTGTCTGGAGCCACAGGGCTCAGAATAGTGTTCTATTTTTATGATGACAACAAAACCTAAGTCAAAAGGGATTTATTGACTCACATACTCAAAGTCTCCGTGGCTTCAGGCTTGGCTGGTTCCAGGGGCTCAACAAACTCAGGATTTAATCTCAGCAGGAAAGTGGCAGGAAAGGAATATTATTGGCCACAGTGAGGTCACATGCCTATGCCTGGACTAATCACTGTGCCCAAGGGGACGGACTATGGTAATTGCCCAGGCCTGAGTTACATGTGCAACCTTGGGGCTGGGAGGGAGATGAGCCCCATCTGAACCACACAGCCTGAGAGTGGGGAAGGGTGGCCCTCCCAAAATGCAAGTCCTAGAGCTCAGTAAACCCTAATTTTGTTGTTGTTGGGTTTCTTTTTTTGTTTTGTTTTGTTTTGAGACAGGTCTCACTCTGTTGCCCAGGCTGGAGTGTAGTGATGCGATCTCAGCTCACTGCAACCTCCAGCTCCTGGGTTCAAGCAATTCTCCTGCCTCAGTCTCCCGAGTAGCTAGGACTACAGGTGCCTGCCACCACGCCCAGCTAATTTGTGTATTTTTAGTAGAGACGGGGTTTCACCATGTTGGCCAGGCTGGTCTCAAACTCCTGACCTCAAGTGATTAACTTGCCTTGGCCTCCCAAAGTGTTGTAAAAAACAACAACAACGACAACAACAACAAGGTCTCACTCAGTTGCCCAGGCTGGAATGCAACAATGCAATCATAGTTCACTGCAGCCTCAACCTACTGGAATCAAGTGATCCTCCCACCCCAGTGTCCCAAGTAGCTGGGATGATGGGCATGAACCACCTCACCCAGCTGATGAATTTTCTTCCAGCGTGTCCAGATCTCGTCGTTATGCTTCCCTGGCTTAGAGGAGGAAACCCCACTATTATCAGTGCAGGTGTCCCACTGTGAATATTCTCTAACACCTAACAAAATGACTATAATCATTTTGTCCTACTGTTTATTAAGATCTTCCAAGGTGACAAACCCATTAACCATCCCAGGAACACTGAGGGAAGTATTTTATCCCCGTTTTACAGATGAGAAAACTGAGGCTCTAGGGTTTAATCAGTTTGCCCCAGGTCATCCAAATGGCAGAGTTAGGATTTGAACTGAGACCTAGCTGTCCCCAGGGCCCTCTCTGAGCCACCACAGTGCTCTTCCTCTGTCTCTTGAGAAGGGGATTCCAGATGCCAAGACCCAGAGCCAACTACAGAGGGACACAGCACTGTCACTGGGTGACAGTCACCCCTCAGGAGCTGCCCTTGCAGGAGCTGTATCCATGGTGTGGCCCACACCGTTGTTCACCACTGAGTATTATGTAACTTCCTCCATCCATGTTGAAAGCAAACAGGGAATAACAACCAGGCTATTAGAGCTGATGATGGAACCTCAGGAACAGAATCGGATTGGCTGGGAAAGCCAGGACCTGCTGAAAACACTGGGATCCCTGCCATGAAAATTCATGTGCATTAAAGATGCCAAGGTGCTCAGGTCTGCATCAGCCCCCAGGCAGACCTCACATCTGTTCTGGAACGAGGGACACCACTGCATTTATTAAACACAACTGTTGAAGTCCCCCTGGGTACAGCATCCTAGAAACCACACCATCTATATTTCATTGTGATCATCACCTTGACATTTGTAAATTCATAATGTATAATGAACTAACCTGAAATGGAAATCTCTTATTAATTGCATAAAACAGAGAGTCTATATTAAAGATGAATAAATAAAACAAGATTGAGTTTGTAGACCTCAAATAAACTGGCCATGAAAAGAGCCTTTGTCCACGTGACTCCTTGGGATTTGAGGACTGGGCTGGTCGCTGAGATGGCTCTTGGAGAGGCCAGTGGCTTCCCTCATCGAGGAGGTCGTGCAGGCAGGTGCAAGGGCTCCCACCAAGATTGTGGATGCTGTTAGGTGTGACGCCTTTTGCTGATTTCTGCTGCAGATTTCAGAAACACGAGTGAGTCTCTGAGCTGGACATGCTTGCATTGCCTGAATTCCCAAGGTACATTGAGATGCTCTGGACACTCAAGGACATGCACGCCCCTGGACGCAGCATTGTGTGACATCTCTCAGAGGCCAGCTCCCGCCTCTGCTAACCGTCAGCATCGTCTCAGGGTCTCCCTAGTATGCACCATCACCGGGTTCCTGGGCTGGATGGAAAGGCACCTAGAGCTTTCCTCTACCCTCTGTCTTCCTTTCATGGCCATTGCAAAGGAAGAACATCAGAGTCACATCACACGTGACTTCTTTCCTTTCTAGTCACAAGTCCTGAGAGAATTCAGACAAGAGCGAGGTAACTGAGGCAGCAGACAGAAACTCCAGGCCGAGGAGCCCTGGCGTCTAGAAAGTAGGCAGGGTTGTTCTATGTAACCTTGAGTTTGTGGACAGGAGGGATGACAAGAAGGGAGAGTTGCTGGGCAGAGGCTCAGGAGCAGTGGGAGGGGAAAATGGAGAGACACTACCATCTAGTTCTACTAAAGGATGAGAGAACACTGTATCTGCCAGCTGTGGCCACAGTGATGCTGTGTAACAGACCAACAGGAAATTCAGTGGCTTCCACAATGACTTATTCTTGCTCACACATCTGCAGTTTGGCTGAGGATCCACTGATCCATGCCAGGCTCAGCTGGGCTTTTCTATGAGCTGTGCATTGGTTCCAGTGTCCAAGTGTTTCTCCTTCTCTTTGGGCCAGCAGATGAGCCAGGGCAGGGTCATCTCAAGGCAATGATGGAAACACAATAGGGCAAGCCCAACCACACAACCAGATTTCAAGGGTGTGCTTGCATCATGTCTGCTAATATCCCATTGGCCAAAGCATGTCACATGGGCAAGTGCAAAGCCAAGGTGAAGAAGGACATTCTGCCCTTAGTAGGAAAAATGGCAATATCACATGGCAAAGAGTGTGAATACAGAGCAAGATGAAGAATTGGGAACAACAGCACAGTCTACCAGAAACATATCCATACCATCCCTTGCAAATCACCACCAAGGCTGCAGCAGCTAGGACTTGGTTTAGCTATCAGTAACCAAAAAAAAAAAAAGGCTTAAACAAGATGTAACTTTGTTTCTTTCAAATTCTTAAAGTCCAGAGGTGGCCAGTATAAAGCAGGTATGATGCTGCATGGTGTCAGGAACCCAGATTCCTTCTATTTTGTTGCCTCCAGTTCCCAAGTCACTTTATAGTCCAAAGTGGCTGCTGAGCTCCAGCCATCACATTCAGATGCCAGCAACCAGGAAAGCAAGTAGAGAAGAGCACAGTTTCTCCATTTAAAAACACTTCCTGGGAGGGTAACACACACACTTTCATTTCATCCCATAGATCAGAACTTAGAACACGGTCACATTACACAGCAAGGAAGGCTGAGAGATGTACCTTTCTTTATTCTGGGTGGCCAGTTAGCATTAGGTTTCTGTTCGTATGCAAAAAGGAGAAGGGAGATTGGGAGAAAACAATCTTTGTCACAAAGGCCAGTAAGTAGGGCTGCCCCCTGCCAAACCTGCCTCTTGGCCATTGCATCAATTAAAACACTTTGGTTTGCAAGTAAAAGAAGGCCCGTGAAGGGAGGCTGTGTGAAGACAGGAATTTATTACATGAGTCCAGGGCTGCTTCACCAAACCCAAGGGCATGGGCACAGCCGGGTCTCTGGAGTGAGCTGGAAGCCAGGAATGGCTTTGTAAGAAGCACAGAAAGCCCCGTTCTGCTTCTCCAGTCTTCCCGCTGGATGCAGATGGGCATTCTTTAAGTCTCCATCAATGTGGCAAAGAAAACGGCCAGCAAGAGGCCAGAGTTAGCCACCCCTCTGGTCAAGAGAAGGCTGAGGCTGCCATCCCTTGGTCCTGGGGAGGCCACTGGAGGGGACATTCGTTCCTGACTGGCCAGTGGCATCCTCCTTATCTCTGTATCAGAGCTAAATCCCTTTGGAGAATCACCTCCCTCGGGGCTCCCTGCACGCTCCTAGCCAGGGGTGGGCATGCAGCCAGGTCAGACCCATGAGACTCTCCCTTTCAAACACATCCATTGTAAGCAGGGATGCAGGAATAGGGCAGGAGGAGCAAGCTCACCTGGTACCACCCACTTCCAGCCTGGCTCTCCGTTTTACAGATGAGTTTTACAGCAGGTCTCCTGCTGACTCCGTGAGCCTCCCCATAGCTTGCCACCATTATCCACAGTTTGATTTCTGTCACTTGCAACCAAATTATCCTGTCTGGCACGGATTACTCCAGCCTCCCTGGGCCAGGTATGCTGGGGACAGGGTCGCTGCTCCAACAGTTTCTGCGGTGACCACAGGATGGGGGAGGAGGAGGCAGAAAAGTCAATGGATGTCACATAGATGTCCCTCTCCATGTCCTTTGATACTGCCTCTTGGGAAGCCTTGGGGTGAAGGGGAAACAGCACAGGCTCCCAGGTCAGAAACTATCACAGTTCAAATCCCAGCTCTGCCACTCACTGGCTGTGTGATCTCAGGCAGGCAGCTCAGCCTCTCTGAGCCTCAGTTTCACCATTTATACAATGGGGTTGGTGATGGCTGTTATGTCTTGAGTTGGGCTGAGGCTTGGAATATGTCCACAGATAAAGTGCTTGGCACATACTAGGTACTGGGTAAGGAGCAGCCATTATTAACTTACTGGGTTTTACAGTGGGGGGCAAGGGATACCCACACAGGAATTTGCTTTGGGCCTTACCCTTCCCCCACCAGCCCACCCCCCCCACTCCCACTGCACTCCGTCCTCTAAGGCATGGGTCAGCAAAGTTTTCCGTAAAGGGTGAGACAATAGGAAATAGTTTAGGCTTTGCAAACCATACAACATCTCTGTTGTAGATTCTTCTCTTTTTTTCCATTTAAACGTACAAAAACCATTCTTAGCTCAAGGGCCTTTACAGAAACTGGGGATGGGCTGGACTTGGCCCATGAACTGGAATCTGCTGGCCCCTGCCTAAGAAACAGCTCTGCTCATCCCAAAATAACACCTCCAAGCAAATCTGTGAGAGCTCCCTGGACGTTATGGAGCAGCAAGCACAGCATGGAGAACAGAGAAAACCAGGGGGTCTGCCATCAGTCACGCCCTGGGGTATGGGTCTGCCATCGGTCACGCCCTGGGGTATGGGTCTGCCATCAGTCACGCCCTGGGGTATGGGTCTGCCATCAGTCACCCTCTGGGGTATGGGTCTGCCATCAGTCACCCTCTGGGGTATGGGTCTGCCGTCAGTCACACCCTGGGGCGTGGGTCTGCCACCCAGTCACCCACCTGGGGCGTGGGTCTGCCATCAGTCACCCCCAAGGGCATGAGTCTACCATCTGGTCACCCCCAGGGGTGTGGGTCTGCCATCAGTCACCCCCAGGGACGTGGGTCTGCCATCCAGTCACCACCAGGGGCATCTCAGATGTACCTGTTCCTTCTTCAGAACCAAGCAAGGGGCCTCTCAGAACACAACTAAAAATAACTGATTGGTGCAGCCCCTATCCTGTGCAAGACACTGCCCGTGAATGATTTCACCAAATCAAGATATGCTGGATCTATCCCCATTCTGCAAATGAGGAAGGTGAGGCCCAGACAGGTCAAGTAACTGGACTAAGATCACACAGCTAACAAGTGTCAGAACCAAGATTTGAACGCCAAGCAGTCTTTCTACTCCCATCCTTGTTTTCTCCTATCTTTGTGATTTACAGGACAAACTCACCTTCCATCCCTAGATGTGGATGCTCTGAACCTGACACTGGCCACGGGCTGACCCTGAGGTCAGGGCTGCTTGGCTACTGCCACCACCGAGTGCCCACCAGCCCCTGGGGCCCCCTTGGACTGGGCCAGGAGCCCCCTCTCCCTATTGAAGCAAGGCCTAATTTCCAGAGCTCTTCGGGAGATCTCATGCAGCTAAAAGGAGAGGCTGTAAACACTAAATATAACTGCTTGAAGCAGCGCTGACAGCTCCTTGCAGAACAGGGCCCTGATTATATAACGAGGCTGCCTGGGGAAGGGAGACTTGTGCCTGCTCAGGTTTTTCCAAAAGAAAAAAGAAAAATCAGATAAAGAAAGTTAAAACTGTTCTCCTTAAACCTCATTCATTCATTCCCTGGACAGAAACTTATTACGCCCTGACTGTGAGCCAGGCACTATCACAGGCACTGGGGATGTGACAGCGGATCTCACACACAAAATTCCCTGTGCTTGTGAAGCCGCCAGCCTAGTGCAGGGAGACAGACCATAACCAAATAAATAAGTAAACTACGGAGCAGGGTGGGTGAAAACAACTGCAAAGTCAAACAGGCAAAGAGTATTTTTAGAGTGGAAGGGGATGATTTTAAGCAGGGAAGGGAGTCTGCAAAGATGACATTTGAGCAAATGCAGAGAGTGAGAGAAGGGGCCACTCAGGGGTCTACAGGGAGAGGCTCTCGGGCAGTGGGAGCAGAAAGTGCAAAAGCCCTAAGGTGGGACCATGCACCCATTACAGAGGCACAACTGAAGACCCATGGCCAGAAGAAGAGCGCTCCCAGCAACCGTAAGACAAAAGTTGTAGCCACCAACAAGCAGGTGTGGTTGGGCTGGCTGGGGTATGGAAATGGCTCTCATGGGGAAGAAGAATGAGCACTGATTCATTCCTACTTTCTTCCGTAGGCAGAGTTCTAGGGCAGCCCCTAAGATTCCTGCCCTGTCTAATCCCCAGGGGGCTGTGAATATGATGAATTTTACACCTGTAATTAGGTTGTCATAGGGTGCAGTTGACCCTGAGAAAGGGAAATTAGCCTGAGTGACCCCTTAAAAGAGACTGGACTCTTTCTGAAGTCAGCAATTTGAGGTGTGAGAGATTCAAATTGAGGGAGATTCTCTGCTGCTGGCTTTGAAGATGGGGGAGGCCAAGGAGGAGACATGTGGGGGCCTGTAGGAGCTAAAAGCAGCCCTGGCAGACAGCCAGCAAGGAAATGGGGACCCCAGTATGACCACCACAGAAACTCAACCCCCACATGACACAACTACACGAGCTTAGCAGAGGGTCCCAAGCTCCAGATGAGGACACAGCCCAGCCAACCCCTTAATTACAGCCTCGTGAGACCCTGAGCAGAACACCCTGCCAATGCCATGCCTGGACTCCCTATCTACAGAACTGGGAACTCATAAGTGGGTTTTGTTTTCAGCTGCTAAGTTTGGAGTAACTTGTTACATAGCAACAGAAAACAAATACATATTCATTAAATATCTTTGAGCACCTACTATATGCCAGGCCGTGTTAGGTGCTGGAGACATAGCCATGAGCAAGACAGACAAGACTCCTTCTACATGGAGCTTACATTCAAATTAGGAAAATGGACAATGGGCAAGAAATACACAATGGACACAATAATTCACAAGATAATGTGAGAGGGAGGTAATGCCAGGACAATGGCCTAACAGGCTGTTTCTTTTTCCTTTTAGGGTCTTGCTCTGTCACCCAGGCTGGAGTGCAGTGGCGTGATCATAGCTCCCTGCAGCCTTGAACTCCAGGCTCACGTGATCCTTCCACCTCAAACTCCCAAGTAGCTGGGACTATAGGTGTATGTCACCACTCCCCCCTAATTTTTTTTATTTTTTGCAGAGACAGGGTTTTGCCATCTTGCCCGGGCTGGTCTGGAACTCCTGGGTTCAAGTGATCTGCCCACCTCAGCCTCCCAAAGTGCTGGGATTACAGGTATGAGCCACCATGCCTGGCCAATGGGTTAAGTTTCAATGGCCCAAGCCAACAAACCAGCCCCAGCAGACAGAATCTTTAACCCAATCGCCTCTCCAAAGCCCTGTGTCATTTGCCCCACCCATCTCCAACCTCATCTCCTGTTGTTCTGTCCTCTCTCTTTGTGCTGGAGCCTCCTGGATATCCTTCTCTTCCCCAAACATACTATGCTGTTCCCACATCAGGGCCTTTGCACTCGCTGTTCCCTCTGCCCAGAACACCCTTCCCCCAGATCGCTGCATGGCTAGCTTCCTCTCACCTTTAAGGCTTCTCCTGAAATACTGCCTCCTCTGAGACCTTGTCTGACCACCCCATTTAAAGAAGACCTCCCACCCATGAAGCTAGTGATCTACCATGTTTTACTGTCTTTATAGCATGTGTCATTCTCCTAAGTTATTTGATTTATTAATTCACTTGATGGCTTATTTCCTCCCCTGGAATACAAGCTCTACTGCTGCAGAAACTGTCTTTTCATCACTATTTCCCTGAGACTAGAACAGTTCCTGGCCCAGCACAGACACTCAGGAAATATCTGTTGACTGAATGACTGGAAAATTCCTTTGATCAGCCAGTGGTTGTTTTTATTTCTTCCATGGGGAATAAAAAAAGCACTGAAAAAAGGAATAATTCATAGAAAAATGAAAATCCTAAGCAATAGTGAGACATCCATTTGCATAATGACAAGCATCTGATTTTTAATATAATTCCACCTCCGAAGTGAAATGTTCGCTATTCAGATGCAGCCAGGCCCCATGAAAGGGCTCAGATACACAGGAGCAGCAGTTACAAGGGTGGGAGTCAAAATCCTCCAGCGGCTGCTTCCCCGCCATCCCAACAGTCTCAGCTGCTGCCATCTAGAACTTGCCAGCTATTCCCGACACTGTCAGCTGTCTAATCCAACACCCGTTCCCAACTTCTTTCTTTCTCCCTTGCCTCCTCGCTCTAGAAGGGGTGGGAAAGCTAAATACCCCCTGCCGCAGACTCTCTTGCAGTTCTACTTCTGTCCCGTGAGATGAAATAAAACAGTCTGGAGATCATCTGGGGATCTCTGCTGCTGGCTCTGAAGATGGAGGAGCCCAATGAGAAGACACGTAGGGGGCCTCTAGGAGCTAAAAGCAGCCCTGGCAGACAGCCAGCAAGGCTACCTAAAAAAAGAACAGCGGTGCCTGACCAGGACCTATCCCTTTTTCCTGCTTAAATGTAGCCTTGATGGCTGGAGTCACAGCAATCATTTTGTGACCATGAGGAGAAGGGCAAGAGAATCACAGAGATTTTTGGTCCTTATGTCACTAAGCAGCTTTATCATTACCCATAAATAACCACCTCTAGAATTCTTGGTATATGAGAAAAATAAATCCTAACTACTCCACAGTGGTGGGGTTTCCTGGTGTTTGCAAGCAAAAACATTTCTTGCTAATATGCTGACTGTATGGGTACAAACAGCTTCGCTTAAGTGAATGAAAACTGTCTTTTGCCCAAAGCAATTGCATACCCATTATCCAACCTCATCATGGCAATATCCCCTGAGAGTTTGCATGGGCAGACTTTATATCCCCCACGTTAGGCAAAAAATCTGAGATTCAGAGAGATTAAGTGACCTGCCCCAGCATCACACCATGCAATGAAACTTGAAACTCAGAACTAAAACCTGGGCCAGGCACAGGCATTCACGCCTGTTATCCCGGCACTTTGGGAGGCCAAGGTGGGAGGAAAACTTGAGCCCAGGAATTCAAGACCAGTCTGGACAATATAGTGAGACCCCATCTTTACAAAAAATATATAAAAATTAGCTGGGCATGATGGTGCATGCTTGTGGTCCCAGCTACCTATGAGGCTGAGGCAGAAGGATCACTTGAGCCCAAGAGGTTAAGGCTGCTGTGAGCTATATCATGCCACTGCACCCCAGCCTGGGTGGCAGAGCAAGATTTCGTCTCAATAAATAAATAAATACTAAAACCTGGACTTCCAAATTTCCAATGCAACTTACAGAGAGACAAGAACCCATAATATAAAACAAGATCCCTGGGGCAGCTCTAATAAACCTAAAAAGAAAAACTTTCGTTGTAAATTTCTGCTTTAGGCTAAGAGAAAACTGTCATAACCCACTTAGAAACCCAGGACCCAAGTATTCCAGTCTCGAAGTAGTGTTGTGGTCAATGAACACTGTCCCTCAGCCAAAAGGGAACTCCAACGTAACTTACGGTCCTTATTTGCATTTTTTTTTTTTTTTGAGATGGGGTCTTGCTCTGTCGCCCAGGCTAGAGTGCAGTGGTGCGATCTTGACTCACTGCAACCTCCGCCTCCCGGGTTCACGCCATTCTCCTGCCTTAGCCTCCCGAGTAGCTGGGACCAAAGGCGCCTGCCACCATGCCCGGCTAATTTTTTGTATTTTTAGTAGAGACGGGGTTTCACTGTGTTAGCCAGGATGGTCTCGATCTCCTGACCTCGTGATCCGCCCGCCTCGGCCTCCCAAAGTGCTGGGATTACAGGCCTGAGCCACCGCGCCCGGCCCCTTATTTGCATTTCTTGAATGCTATAAAGGCAACACATGGTCCACAGAAATATTTCTTAAAATTCTCCTCCCCTCCCTGATCCATGTCCTTCACACTCCATACCTCCTCTAATTTCTCCAAACTCTCCCCAAACCTCTCCTCCCAGCCTCTTGGGTCCTTCTTCCTGTTCCACTTGTCAATTTATTGTCACTCGGCTCCAAACCCATCCTTCTTTGCCATGTTTGGTGATCCTGGAGCTGACCCCTGGAAACATTTCTCCTTTGCCAGCTGGTAGAATGTTCGGCTTTGTCCGTAGAAGGCATGGGTTACACTGTGCAGCTATACAGCAGGAGAGCCAATCCACTCTGGGTTCCTGTCCTCCTCTCCTACTGCAAGCAGCTCTTCTACCAGCAGCTCTCAGGCCAGCTTCTGTGACCCTCTCAGGCCATGCTCTCCTCACTTGGTGGCCATTTCCACAGTAGCCTTGAGGGACCCTCAGCTACACTGTCCCCACCCAGTGGCCACTTCTGCAGGAGCTCCAGCCATCCCCTCAGGCCATCCTCGCCCCACCCAGCAAGCAGCTTCAACCAACCACCTTTGACTCTGCCCTTGAACCATGCTCTCCCCACCTGGTGGGCATTTCTTAGAGAACAGCTGTGGCCACTCACATGCTCTGGCAATAGCAGATGGTGTATATGGACTAGCTGCAGGCTTCGTCGTCTGACAGTGTCCTCATCCAGCAAACTGCATGTTCTTGTAGTAGCTACATTCTCTTCGGAGAGGGCTGGTTCTTGGTCTCAGGGACTAGAATAGTTCTATATTCTTCACTTTCCATTTCCCCTCAGTCTAGAGGGAGTAATAACTTTTTTTTTTTTTTGAGACAGAGTCTCCCTCTGTTGCCCAGGCTAGAGCGCAGTGGTACAATCTCGGCTCACCGAAACCTCTGCCTCCCAGGTTCAAGCGATTCTCCTGCCTCAACCCCCCGAGTAGCTGGGACTACAGGCATGTGCCACCATACTCAGCTAGTTTTCATATTTTTAGTAGAGACGGGGTTTCACCATGTTGGCCAGGCTGGTCTCGAACTCCTGACCTTGTGATCCACCCGCCTCGGCCTCCCAAAGTGTTGGGATTGCAGGTGTGAGCCACCACACCTGGCAGTAGTAACTTTTTTATACCTAATATTTCTAGACCCCTTAGAGTCCTCTTTGACTCCATTAGTAAGTTAAGCACATCTTACTAGTTAATAATTCTTTTTTTGTTGTCTTGTCTTTTGTGTGTGTGTGTGTGTGTGTGTGTATGTGTGTGTGACAGTCTCTCTTTGTCACACAGGCTGGAGTGCAATGGTGCTATCTCGGCTCGCTGCAATCTCCGCCTCCCAGGTTCAAGCAATTCTCCTGCCTCAGCCTCCCCAGTAGCTGGGACTACAGACAGGTGCCACTACGCCCAGCTAATTTTTGTATTTTTAGTAGAGACGAGGTTTTGCCATGCTGGCCAGGCTGGTCTCAAACTCCTGACCTCAGGTGATTCACCTGCCTCGGCCTCCCAAAGTGCTGGGATTACAGGTGTGAGCCACCACACCTAGCCCTGTCGTCTTTTTTTTTTTTTTTTTTTTGAGACAGGGTCTTGCTCTGTCACCCAGGCTGGAGTGCAGTGGTGCTATCATAACTAACTGCATCCTCAGTCTCCTAGGCTCAAGCGATTCTCCCACCTCAGATTCCCAAGTATCTGAGACTACAGGCACGCATCACCATGCCCAACTGTTTTTTTATTTTTTGTAGAGACCCAAGCTGGTCTCAAACTCCTGGCTTCAAGTGATCCTCCCGCCTTGGCCTCCCAAAGTGCTGGGATTACATGTGTGAGCCACCATGCCCAGCAATAATTCTATATATTGGACTGTCCCAGTTCAAATTACCAATGTAGAATCAGTCAGGGTCTCCTGATTGGACCCTGGCTGATACAGAACTAGTTAAGAAAGTGGTTCTAGATACATACAGACCTCCAGGAGTGGGAGTTGGAGACTCGTCATGCCTTTGGAGTTGAGTGCCATGCTGGGATTTTGACCATGTGAAATGGGACACCAGTGACCCATAGCATGCAGTGCCATCACAGCGAATCAGCCACACCATCACCTGTGGTTGATTCTGACAAAGTGCTGACTGAAGCACATGCCTTGGGAAGGTAGGTGGCTGAGGCACTTGACATGATGCCCGTGACGATGCCCTCAAGGGCTGCAGTGTGGGATGGATGCTTCTGTGTGCACTGGAGCATCTACAGGAAAATAAAATAGAATCTCAGGTCCCTTAACTCATATCAAAGCACAGTCCTAGGGCCAAAGAGCTTCCCCGATGCCCTCAGTGAAAATTCTTATTTATTGTAGCCTGGCTTATTTACATTAGCCAGGGCTAGTGCTACTGAAAATAAAAAACACAATTGAATTGTGTGGGTTATGGAATTACACTAGGTGGATTCACAGCCTCACCACACTTCTCATGTGAAAGGTAGGACATTAAGGCCAGGCGCAGTGGCTCAGGCCTGTAAACCCAGCACTTTGGGAGACCAAGGCAGGTGGATCACCTGAGGTCAGGAGTTTGAGACCAGCCTGGCCAACATGGCGAAACCCCATCTCTACTAAAAATACAAAATTTAGCCAGGTGTGGTGGTGGGTGCCTGTAATCCCAGCTACTTGGGAGGCTGAGGCAGGAGAATCGCTTGAACCTGGGAGGCAGAGGTTGCAATGAGCCGAGATCATGCCATTGCACTCTAATCTAGGCCATAGAGCAAGACTCCATCTCAAAAAAAAAAAAAAAAGGTAGGACATTAAAAGGGATGCTGAAGCTTAGAATGGGGACATCTGGTGGGACTCAGATGAAACTGAGAATCTTGAACCCACAAGTCACTCTGAGCCTCTGTTGCCAAAGGAAGGAGCTTGCTCTGTTGTGTCTAAGGAGACTAGCTGTCCTTTTCTTGAAAACTGTATGACAATCTCACGTGAGGAGATGCCCATTCTCCTTCAGACCCACCACAACTACTACCTGTTGGCACCAGACTCATAAGTAGAATCTTAGATTTTTAGTACCCACTATGGCCTCAAATGAGATAGCTTTTACACCAAGAGAACTGCACGATTTTGCCAATATATATTGGCAGAAACCTAAGGAGTATGTGAGGGTGTCAGACCAAGGCAGGCAGAAGAACAGGAGCAGACTGAACTCACTGACCGAGGTGCACTAAGATTTTGGATATCATGGGTTAGTTTCCTTAGCTGGAGGTGGCTCTCAAAGCTTACTTGGTTGGTGGCTGGAACTAGGACTCCATGGTGGCCTAAGTTTAGTGAGCAGAGATGCCAGAGCTACCCTGGCATGCTATGGAGGAGGGAGTCCAAAGGCTTAGGGAGATTGGAGTGTTGAAAGGATTTACCATGGCAACCTGCACACCCACCCACCAACTACATCCCCCAGGAGACCCCAGAAAATGCTTTCTCTATGAAGGAGCTGAGAAATACATTCATGGGGGGAACACCTGCATCCTTAGAAGGTCTGTGGCTTTCTCCTTTATAGGCTAGGTATGATGGATCGGGGGTGTGCCCACCATTGATATGAGCTCCCAAGAGCAGAAGCCAAGAGGCAGTGCCCAACCTCCAGACGCAGTGCGAGCATACCCGCCATAAAGGACCGCACGACATGCCTGTGGTCAGCAAGCCCTGGCCTGTAGGAGGTTTGGCAAAGACTAACTGTCCCAAGATCCCTGCGACTGAAACAGATGAGAAGCCCGCCAGAGTATTGCTTGGGGACTCATTTCACAACAAAGGGAGTGGAGCAATGGGTTCAGGCCCATAGAATTAACCTCAAGGAGAAGGAAAAGAGTCAGAGGCACAGACGACAGGAGAGGCAAGAAACCAGCAGCCCCAGAGAAAGCAGCAAAGAGACAGCAGGTACTGTTGACTGTCCAGTTCCCAGGAGGCCAAGCTGTGTGTCCTGCCCTGGGGCCCCGTGTGAGACCCTGATAACCTCATGAGGCTGGGTGGTATCATGTGGGCTTTGTATTCTTTCCCCCTGTCTAGCAGATAATAGATCTGTGATTACTGGCTCAGGGCAGGGATGTGACTTTCACAAAAGCAGATACAAAAGCCTTTAAGTTTCATCCTTCTGTTTCTCTTTCTTTTTCTTTTTTTTTTTTTTTTGAAATAGAGTTTTGCTGTGTTGCCCAGGCTGGAGTGCAGTGGTGCGATCTCAGCTCACTGCAACCTCCACCTCCCTGGTTCAAGCAATTCTCCTGCCTCAGCCTCCTGGGTAGCTGGGATTACAGGCATGTACCACCACGCCCAGTTAATTTTTGTATTTTAGTAGAGACAGGTTTTCACCATGTTGGCCAGGCTGGTCTCGAACTCCTGACCTCAAATGATCCACCCGCCTCGGCACCCCAAAGTGCTGGGATTACAGGTGTGAGCCACCACGCTCAGCTTCCTTTTTTCTTTTTTCTTTTCTTTTTTTTTTTTTTGAGATGGAGTCTCACTCTGTTGCCCAGGCTGGAGTGAAGTGGCACGATCTCAGCTCACTGCAACCTCCGCCTCCCAGGTTCACGCCATTCTCCTGCCTCAGCCTCCCGAGTAGCTGGGACTACAGGCACCCGCCACCATGCGCGGCTTTTTTTATATTTTTAGTAGAGACGGGGTTTGACCATGTTAGCCAGGATGGTCTCGATCTCCTGACCTCATGATCTGCCCGCCTCGGCCCTGCAAAGTGCTGGGATTACAGGCGTGAGCCACCGCACCCAGCCTTCTTCTTTTTGTTTTTCAAAGACCCTAGCTCTTAGGTTCTGGAATCATAAAATGAAATGTCCATGGGAATCAGGCTAACTGCCGTATGTGAGTGAAATGGGGCCGGTGCAGGGCAATAGGGAGTGGACTAGACTGCAGTAAACTGGAGAGTGAACGCTCTGCTTCAAGACGTTCCAATTTAATCTTTTAAATACAACACTAGGGAACAGGTATAGGACTCCAGATTGACTGGGATTTTTTGAAATCACGGAGGAATCAGGGCTCAAAATAGAAATAAATCTGAGTGGTAGAAAAAGGAACGGGAATTGCTGCGGTAGACACCTGTCTTGTGTGTCCCCCTCCGTACGTTTGGAGAATCCCCCACTGTCTGAGTCTTCATGAGACACAGCAGCTGCCTCGCACAATAAATGCCAAATAATTTTAAAATAATAATGGTAGGCCGGGCACGGTAGCTCACGCCTGTAATCCCAGCACTTTGGGAGCCCAAGGCGGGCGGATCACGAGGTCAAGAGATCGAGACCATCCTAGCCAACATGGCGAAACCCTGTCTCTACTAAAAATACAAAAATTAGCTGGGCGTGGTGGCACCGCCTATAGTCCCAGCTACTCCAGAGGCTGAGGCAGGAGAATCGCTTGAACCCAGGAGGCGGAGGTTGCAGTGAGCCGAGAGCATGCCACTGCACTCCAGCCTGGCGACAGAGCGAGACTCCATCTCAAAATAATAATAATAATAATAATAATAATGGTAATAGCTAAAATTTAAAATGCTTACTCATCACCTCTTCTACACGCTTCACATATATTCTGTTATTTAGTTCACATAGCCCCCTCCCCCCACAGAGGTAGGCATGACTACACTATCCCCGTTTTGTAGATGAGCAAGCCGAGGCATGCATGGCGTCCAGGCTCACACAGATATGTGGCAGAGCCTGGATTCAAACCCAGTCTGGCTCCAGCATCCACGCACTTAATGCCTTGCCACCCCTCCAATGAGGGTATTAGCTTGTGACAGAGCTCGGCCAACCAGACTTGGAATCTGGAGCAATTGATCTGAAGAAGCAGAGACAGGGAGAAGCTATTCCGGTGTCAGCAACAATGTCGAATATCCAGGGACAGCAGGGCGGCGGTGATGATCAGCTCTGATGTTCTCTGGCTCTGTCGCCCATTGCCCGGCAGCAGTGGTAGCGACGGCCTCATCAGGCGAATTCCGTGGCATGCTTCCCTTTGTCTGCACGTCTTCTTTGGAGTCTATTTTTGCAGTTTCTCAACAACTCTGCGAGCTCTCCAGGTGTTGTTTCAATCAATTCCTTTTCCACTTGAGTCAGCTGGAGTCCGCCTTTGTTGCTCACACCCAGGTATCCCAACTGATGGGTCCCATTTGATGCACACCTGTGTCTGTGAACCCAGATCTGTGGCTGTGGCACTTACAATAAGCTCCCTTGTGACTCGAGCTTCTGTGGGAGGGATTCTGGTCTTTGCAGCTCTCCAGCCCTGGATTCGAATAACCCTGACTTTCCAAACTCTGAAGCCACACCAGGAGGGGAACAAGGCTGCAGGTCTACCCAGCCCTAGTACAATCACATCTGTTCAGGTGACAGTGGCCAGGACTGCTGCAGATAGTGCCATTATGGCCAGGTATTGAGCTGACCCAGATGAGGGTTTTCTTTTTTTTATCACATTTCACCATTATTAAGAATTAGCTCTGTGTCATTAGCACACCACGCTATCAACTCAAATCCATCCTACCATCTGGAAGAGGCTCACACGAACAGCATGGAGCCCAGATGGATGCTGTTAGGAGAGCTGTGAGCAGAGATCAACAGAGAGGGAGGGAGGGAGAGACAGAGAAAGACAGAGCAGACACAGAGAGAAATAGAGACAGACAGAAATAGAGAGACAGAGAGAGAGAAATAGAAAAACAAAGAGAAACAGGGAAAGAAAGGGAGAGACATAGAAAGAGGGGAAGGGAGAAAAAGACAAAGAGATAGTGAGAAATAGAGACAGCAATAGAAAAACAGAGAGAGACTTATAGAAAAGGGAAATCAGGAGGAGAATGGCGTGAACCCAGGAGGCGGAGCTTGCAGTGAGCCGAGATCATGCCACTGCACTCCAACCTGGGCGACAGAGCAAGACTCTGTCTCAAAAAAAAAAAAAAAAAAGAAAAGAAAAAGAAAAGGGAAATCAAAGAGGAGAGAGAGATAGACAGAGAGAGACAGAGAAGAGTGAGAAAGAGAAACAGAGGAAAGGGGGAGAGAGAGACAAAAAGACAACGAAAGAGATTGAGAGTGAGCAAGAGAGAGTTGTAAGGAGAGAAACTGAGTAGCAAGGACTGTAAGAGAGACAGACAGTGTCGAGGACACCCCGTGACAAGGAGAGATGGGATGTGTCAGGGCACCCTGGGACAAAGTTCCTGGGACAGATAAAGCCACGGCTGTGCTTCCCTCTCTCCCAGCCACCATGCCCAGCCTTGCAAAGGAAGGCGGGGCCCTCCTATTAAGGTGTCAAAGGTGAACAAGAATGAGGAACAACGCAAATGTCCATTAATAAGGGAGGGGCATAAATTACACAAGATTCATACAATGGAATACTATACAGAAACTGAATTTTAAAATATTGTTTTTAAAAAACCAAAAAAACAAAAGTTTAAAGGAAGAACTCTCCCTTGGGAGATGTGTTAGTCTATTCAGGACGCCACAACAAAATGCCTTAGTGGGTCGTTTATAAGCAATAGAAATTTATCGCTCACAGTTCTGGAGGCTGGGCAGTCCAAGGTCAATGTGCCAGCAGATTCCATGAGGGCCCACCCTCTGCATCACATGTGGCCCCTTCTTGCATCATCTTCGCTTGTTGGAAGGGGTGAACAAGCTCCCTTGGGCCTCCTTTATGAGGGCACTAATCCCAATCATGACAGTGGGGCCCTCATGACCTCGTCAGCTCCCAAAGGCCCCACCTCTTACTATCCCCAAGGTAGGGATTAGGTTTCCACATATGAATCTTCAGACCATAGCAGGAGACAACAGTCCTAATTATGCACAATTTGCTTCAACAGCTTCCCCTGCTCCTTCCTCAGCTTGGCATTTCTGGCGGGTGACCTAAGACAACAGAAGGGTGTCACTAAATCACATTTGGGGCTGTCACCATGGTTTCCAGAGGAGCCTCTGTGAAGCACATGTTTCCGCCTCCCTCATTGGAAGCTGGCCTTGAATCGGGGGCCTTTGGAGGAAGGCAGAAGGTTCTAGTGCAAGGAGGTGAACCCCTTTCCCTCTCACCTCCCCCCATCCCCATCCCTACCCACCCCCCAACACACACACACACACGGCCATGGCTGGGACAGTTAGCAAGTCCTTCCTCCAGCCTGGTCAGACCCAGAGCAGGAAGAGCGCTGTGACAGAGTCCCCTCCCAGAGCCATGCCTCAGCAGGCTATTCCCAGGCTGCTCACAAAGGCCCCATGAAGAACCAGGGCAGGAATCCATTTGCCATGTGCCCCCATTTTCTAGACACGGACACTGAGTCCCAAAAGGTGATGTGACAAGCTGGCTAAGAGCCAGGCCTTCTGCATTCACAGCCTGCCAAGGGGGCCAAGGCGGAGCCACAGTTTCTGCCTGCACAGCAGCCGTTCCCTTCCCTGCTGAGAGGAGGAGGCAGCTCTCCTTTGGTGAACTACAAAGGGATGTTGTTGAAAAGGGATGCTCCCGACCATGAGTGGTCACATGACCCAAGCCTAGCCAATCAGATTCACAGGGAGGGTTTGGGACAAGCTGGGTACCCTAATTTCCACCAATGAGAGTCAGGCCTGGGAGTTTTGCTGGAACCCTTGGTTCTGAGAAGGCCAGCTTCTTGAAAAATGCCCCTGGAGTGTTCTTGGGTTGCTGAAAAGCAGGCCCTGAGAGGAGGCCAGGAGGACAAGGGATATTGGGGGTGATTCCTGTGAAAGATAAAAGGTGGAGGAAGCAGAACTGGGAAGAAAAGCCTTCAGCCCCTGACATGAATCTGACGGCAGCTATCACAGCGAGGTCCGGTAAATTTATATTTATATTTATATTTATGTTTATATTTATAATATTATGAGATATAATACTCATCATCTAAAACATTTTGAGTACCATACTTAAACGTTTTCGTTTTTCCAGACTTGACCTTTGTACATCAAAGGAGGCTTCTTTACACCCCGCACAGCTTGGAAGGAGTCAGTGAGCAGAACTAGGCCCAGCCGCTGCCTTTGGTTTGTCTTCCTCTGAAGGAAAAATACGCCAGCAAAGACAACGTTCTATAACCCCGTTTGAGTGTCTCATTACAATTACATAATGATAATTGCCAGCTTTGTGTTCCATTTGGCAACTTGTTGAAGTAATTGAACAAAGTATAACTAATGAACACTTATAATGAAGTTCATAATTAGGTCCTTGAAACACTTGATATAAAAAAAATTTTCAGATTCTTTTTTTAAAAAAGCTGTACTCAAGTGAGGTGAAGTGAGGCAGACCCAGGAACTGGAGAAAGCTATGAATGGTTCCTCTGGTTTGAAAGGAAGAAAGCCCTGCAAATCATTACCCAGGTAACAGCACTGGACTCCTAGAGCCGATACACTAACTTGAAGGAGATGGTGGATGTGAGTGGCTAACGCGACGCTTGGCAGGCAGTAGGTGAACAAGAAATACTTGTTCCTTCCCTCCTGTTGGGCAGGAAGTTCACTGAGGGTAGACAGTGCTATCCATTACTGTCTATATTCTGTGGGGCCTTGTCTGGGAGACTGACACCCGGAGGTTCTTAGAAAGTGTAGCTAAAAAGAGAATATTGAACCTGCTGCTTCCTGAAGACCTTCTTCCCTGCCACTCAAGATGAACAATAATAGAGGAACCACAGGTCCCACACTCAGATCAGCAAGAGTAGAGCAGACTCTGCAGCTGGCAACCCAACAGCCATTCCCACAATCGAGGTAAAAAATTCAATACCTAAATAGTAACTTCACAGTGGCGAGGCCTGGAAGCCCCACCTTACCCAAGCAACCAAAGTTAACATCCCCAATAATGGGACTAATGAGCATTAGTCCCATTATTGGGACTCTGATGTGTGGCCTCTGATATGACCTACCAAGAAGGCCTCAGCACCACCTCCACACAGTCCTGCCAAAAGTTCATAACTGAATCCAAACATCAGGAGCCATCAGACCACCCAATGGGAAGAGCATGCTGCAAAGTCACTGGCCTGTCCTCTCGAAAACATCAAAGTCATGGAAGGCAAAGAAAGTCCCAGGAAGTTCTTCTGATTCACGGAGAATAAGGAGATGTTTCAATAGAGTGCACTGTGTGATCTGGGCCTTTATTCTGCTATAAAGGACCTTTTTTTTGTTTTCTTTTTTTGAGACGGAGTCTCTCTCTGTTGCCCAGGCTGCAGTGCAGGGCCGCCGTCTCGCCTCACTGCAAGCTCCACCTCCTGGGTTCACGCCATTCTCCTGCCTCAGCCTCCCGAGTAGCTGGGACTACAGGCGCCCGCCACCACGCCTGCTAATTTTTTGTATTTTTAGTAAAGACAGGGTTTCACCATGTTAGCCAGGATGGTCTCGATCTCCTGACCTCGTGATCCGCCCGCCTCGGCCTCCCAAAGTGCTGGGATTACAGGCGTGAGCCACCGTGCCCGGCCAAAGGACATTATTAAGACAATGGGCAGGATCTGAAAAAGGTTAGTAGATTAGATAATAGAAGTTTCCATGTTAATTTCCTGATGATTGTGCTATGGCTATGTAAGAGAATATCCTCATTTTTAGGAATTCACAATGGAGTATTTAGGGACAAAGGGACATTGTGTCTGCAGTTGACTCAAACCATTCAGAAAAAAAAACACATACGTGTGTATGTATGCACATGTGTGTATGTAGGGAGAGAAAAAGATTAAACAAACGTCACATGATGCCAACACTTTGGCAGTTTGAGTGAAGAATATCTAGAACTGTTTATGTTATTATTGAAACTTTTCTTAATTTGAAATTATGTCAAAACACAAAAAGGAAAGGAAAGGAATACAGATACCTGCTTCCCAGTTTCCCCTAGAGCTAGTGGTGGCCAAGAGACACAGTTCTAGCCAATGAAATGGAGGAGAAGGCTGCTGAGGATCTTTCTGGGGATAAATTTTCCTCTGGTAAAATAAGAATGGGCTTCAAAGAGAATTCTCACTGCACTGGCCGCCTCATTGCTTTAAGTATGTGAGGATGTGGTGCCGGGGCTGCAGCAGCCATCTTGTGACCATGAGGAAAAGGCCAAGAAACTCACAAAGCTTTCCCCATGTACGAGTTTCCTTGATACTGTTGCCCCACTTATGAGGTTACATAGGATCATTCAATTCCTGTAATCCTTCAATCCCATTCATCATTCCAGGCCCAATGTCAGAACCTGTATCACTCAGGACCAGGTGGACAGGGCAGCTCCCATGTCAAACATTACCAAAGGGAAAAGAGAGCTTTGGAGACTCTTACATCAGCAATTAAGTGCTGTGGCCTAGAAATGACACGTCCCTTCCACTCACAACTCATTGGCCTTCATAGAACACAGGGCCTAGCCTTGATTCCACAATTCTTATTCTTGAGGGGTCTGCATGCCTAAGTTTTGCCCCTTTTCCTCAACTATAAATTCCTCATGGTAAGTTTTTAAAGATACTGATGCCTAGACTTTTCCCCAAACTATTCAAATCATCAGCTGAAGTCAGGAGTCTGAGACAAGCCTGGGCAACATGGTGAGACCCCGTCTTGACTAAAAACACAAAAATTAGCCAGGCATGTTGGTGCGTGCCTGTAATCCCAGCTACTCGGGAGACTGAGGCATAAGAATCACTTGAACCTGGGAGGCAGAGGGTTGCAGTGAGCCAATATCGCAGCACTGCACTCCAGCCTGAGCGACAAAGTGAGGCTCTGCCTAAAAAATAAAAAAAAATCAGAATCCCTGGGAGTAGGGCCTGGAAATCGGTATTTTACAATTCAGGTATAACATACATTTATAGTCCATAGCAAAAATTTTAACTATACATCTCAAATATTTTTATTACAGTAAAATATACATAACATAAAACTTGCCACTTTACCCATTTTTAAGTGTACGGTTCAGTGGCATTAAGTACATTCACAGTGTTACGCAAAAGTCACCACCATCCATTTCTAGAACCTTTTCATCATCCTAAACAAAAACTATGTACCCATTAAACATGCTCTCCCCATTCCTTCTCCCTCCCCGTCCCTGAATAAGCTCTGGTCTACTTTCTGTCCCTATGAATTTGACTATTCTAGGTACTTCATAGAAATGGAATCATACAGTATTTGTCATTTTGTGACTGATGTTCTGTCACTTACGATAATGTGTTCAAAGTTCATGTACACTATAGTGTCAGAACTTCATTCCTTTTCACATAATATTATGAAATAATATTCATTCCTTTTCATATAATATTATGAAATAAAATGTGTTCTATCCCTACAATAGAATATTATTCAGCCATAAAAAGGAATGAAGTTCTTCTATCTTCTACAATATTCTATTGCAGGGATAGAACACATTTTGTTTATCATTCATCAGTGACAAAAGCTTGGGCTGTCTCTGCCTTTTGGTGATTGTGAATAACGCTGCTACAAACATTAGCATACAAGCATCTGTTTGTGTCCTGGCTTTCAGTTCTTTTGGGTATATACCTAGAAGTGCAATTCCTGGCTCACTGGGTAATTATAAGTTTAACTTTTTGAGGAACCACCAGCGTGTTTCCACAGCAGCTGCCCCAATTTACATTCCCACCAGCAAGACACCAGGGTTCCAGTTTCTCCACACCCTCACCAAAGCCCAGCTGTTTGGTACACATATATGAACTCAAGTAACCACCACGTGGATAAAGACATCTAACATTTCCTGCACCCCAGAAGGTACCCTCATGAGAACTGGTATTGTTGCAAGCTCCCCAGCAGCCAGGGTCAAGAACCATGCCCTAAACTTTTAGTGGTTCTATCTCTGGCAAGGCTGGCTAACTCTCTACCTAAAAATAAACCTCGAGTCTGAAGATGGAACATTAAAAATGACACTGTCACCTTGACAGAGTGGCTAATAATGCCCCAGCGGGCAGGAGCCCATCAATCATGGGCCGCTGCCTTCTGTTTGGAGAGCTGAGGAAGACGCCAAGATGGAAAGGAGGGATGCAGCACAGGACAAGCCTGGGTGGCTGCCTGGGCACGGAAATCCCAGCCCACACCTCCCCAGGCCTCTCCCCAAACTGGGAACAAGAAATCTAGCAGCCAGACAGAAGTGCTGCCTTCCCTGAATTCAATTTGCAAGGTCAATCATGTAAGAACCCAGGCCTAATAGAATTGTCACATCTGTGTCACGGTCATTTACAACGCACTCTTGCCGCGTCTGAACATGAAAGCAATTATGTGATACATACTTTGGCAAGAACCTGAGGTTCCCATCAAGGGGGAGAGAAACACTGTCAAGTCAGGTTATTTAAAGAAAGAAAGAACGAAAAGAAGGAAAGCCACAAAGACACATTCATTAAGAAAATTTGAAAATTTCCACTTCCCTAGAAATCACATAAGAAGACTTAAGAGTCAGAATCCTTTTGAAAGCTCCATTGTCTTAAGAGTATAAATAGCATCTTTTTAGAAACACACAATTTCAATCAAGCTGGAATAATGGGAAGTACCATTCATGGAACGTTGTCTTTTAAAATTTCATGACACATGAAATGATTCTCACTCCAAATCTAATTAGAGGCTCAAGCATATGAGAGTTTGTGACGTCAAAGCGCTTGGAAAACGTACATGTAATTGATCTTCTTCACTGGGGTATGATTTCTTTTAATCAATCTAGATATTCAGGAAGTACCCAAAGAAAGGACCACGAGAAACAGGGTTATCAAAAGAGGGAGTTCTCTATCCTTCTTGGGAGCTCTTTCCAAAAGGGCTGGCCCTAGCCCATGGGATCTTGGGCAAGTTCCTTTAACTTGAGCCTTATTCCCCATCTTCAAAATAGGGATAATGATGACACCTACCTCCTAGGGTTATAGTCAGGATCGTGGCCCCGGAACAGTGCCAAGCATATGGTATGTACTTGAGCAATGTTAGCTATTATTGGCACCAAGTGGCTAAGCCCTAACGGCTCAGCAGAACCCAGCCCAAAGCCCACACAATTGTGACTCCAGCCCCTGAAGCCAGTGGTCTCGGGCCCTGTTGCAAAAGGACAGATCGGCAGACGACACAATAGGAGCCATATCCTTCAGCCACCAGACAGCCCAGGCTGACAAAAAACTTTAGCAACAGGCACAGAGGGGACCCAGGAGTCATTACCAAAACTGCATTTCCCTCCACCCCAGCCTGGGTGAGACATGAGCGCCCACCACCTCCCTCTTCAAATGCCTTCTTTCAAGTGCCAGTTCCCACCAGCAGTCCTTCAGCACTGCTTGCCTGCAGGCCAGGGACTCCTGCCCCAGGCCACTCAAGGTTTCCATCCTACCTGCAGCCTCTGATGGACCATAGAAGGGCACCGTCTCTGCTCTCCCAAGATATTTTTCAAGGAAATGGGCCATTGACGTAGACAGGTGGCACAGCACACTGCTCAAGGAGTCTGCAGCCAGGCTGCCCGGGCTTCAGTCCCCAATCCACTACTGTTGGCTGGCTGACGCTGGGTGGGTCAAACTCTCTGCACCTCAGTTTCCATCCTGTAAAAACAGAGATCATAAAAGCATCTTCTTTCGGTATACTTGGGTGAGTTAACGAGTCTCAGGACAGCCTAAGAGAACCTGAGGGTTTGCTCAAGGAGTGGTTTCCACTCTGCTCCGCCCACACTGTAGACTTTGCAGAAACATGACTATTTTTTAGTAGCCCAAGTTAATCTGTTATGAACTCCCACTCTCGTAGGGATACGAGGTGAATCTGCCATGGGTGAGACTTCCCTTCTTTCCCCAGCGTTGTGCCTAAATTTGGGCAGGAGTGTGTCTCGCCATAGCAGGAGATGGAGGGGACCTGTTCTCACTATCACCTCCCCACTGTGGTGCCCACTGAGGTGGCCTCATTGCTCTCTGGATCTAATCATTGACCCAGGGAGGCCCTTCTGGCAGAGCCTGGGGATGACGATGATGCAGACCCCGCAGGGCGGTCTGAGGGCTGATGAATCAATGCACATGTAGCCCTTAGAACAGGGCCCAGCCATGCTGGTGGTCATTCCATGTTAGCCACTTTGACCTGGCAATCGGGGACCCAAGGAATGTGGGCCCAGCCTTGCCTGATCTTCCCTTTTATTCCAAGAGAAGCTGTGAAATCTCCCAATTTCTAAATTGGCATTGGATCCAAATAAACAGTGATTGTGAGAAGCAAGCAAGATACAGCTGAGGGCTGGATTTGAACCCTTGGCCATTGGGTTGAGACGTCTGTCCCCTGTTGCTAAGTTTGCCATTCATGGCTAGTCCCATTTTACAGATGGAAGAGGTGAGGCCCTGAGTGGTCGAAAAACTTGCAGTATGACCCAGCTGGCTGAGCCAGGACTTGAACCCAGACTGTTGGATCCAGGGTCAGTCCTCTCACACTTGTGCCTCCCATTAACATCCATGGCCTTTAGATAGAGCAGGCTCCTGCTGTCCTCAGCTTCCCTGTGGCTGTACTCGACCTTCTTCTTGTATTTACATCACCAAATCCCTTGTTCCAGTTACTACTGCTGTACAACTATCCAAAAATTTAGTAGCATACAACAGAAGTGATCTTATTATATTTCACAGATTCTATGGGTCAGGAATTCAGTCAGGGCTTGACTGGGTGATTCTTCTGTTCCACGAGGTGTCAACTGAGGTTACTCAATGATATTCAGCTGGCAGATGGCCGATCTGGAGGCTGAAAGATGGCTCCATTCATATGCCTGGTATCTTGGTGGGGATGGCTGGAAGACTGGGCTCTGCTGGGACTTCTGGCCACAGCACCTCCACGTGGCTTTTCCAGCATGGTGCCCCGGGTATGAGACTTCTTAAATGGTAGCAGGCTCCTGCCAGTGAGCATCCCCAAAAGAACCAGGCAGAGCTACCTGGTTTTCCTGGTCCAGCCCGTAAGTCACTGAGCGTCACCTCCGCTATACTTTATAGAACAAACCAGACACCAGCCCACCTAGATTGGTGGGGAGGGGATATAGACATGCCCCTCACCAAAAGAAGTGTCAAAAATTGTGCAGCCGTTTTTCTTTAACTGCCACAACCCCTGAGGTAACTGTAAAGTTCAGGAGGACAACAATTGTATAAGATGGATTTATCTTGGAAGGGGTTGCTTCTCCTCAAAAGGTGGCCTCCCACTTAAATCTCACTGATCCTCAAAACCCAATTCTTTCATCTGCATTCTGTGCAAATAAGCCTCATTTGTCTTCATGACCCGTGAACATGCAGACCCAGAAGAACTTTTTTTTTTTTTTTTTGGAATTCTGATTGGGAACTCTTCCAGGCCAGAGCCAGGCAATTCTTCAATTCTCCGACCGCCCGAAACAAGGCCTGTCTTACCGATTTGCATGCATCCACCATCACTGGGGACCTCATTGCCTGAGGCAAAGGTCCCCAACCTTTTTGGCACCAGGGACCTGTTTCGTGGAAGACAATTTTTCCATGGGGAGAACTGATTGTTTCAGGATGAAAGGCATTAGCTTCTCATAAGGAGCGCACAACCTAGATCCCTGACACGCCTGCAGTTCAAAATAGAGTTTGCGCTCCTAAAAGACTCGAATGCCACGGCTGATCTGACAGGAGGCAGAGGTCAGGCGGTAACGCTCCCTTGCCTGCTACTCACCTCCCACTGTGTGGAGCAGTTCCCAGCAGGCCACTGGACTGGTACTGGTCCACGGCCCGGGGCTTGGGGAGCCCTGGTAAGCCATCCATAGTCAGGCAGCGAATGAGGCAGTGACCTAAACTCACAACTCAGCCGCGGCACTTCTTCCTCACTTGGAATTCTGCCTCCTCACAAAAGCCTCATGACTGCTATTAGGTGGAGGTGCTTGTCATGCCTGAGATTCATCCTCTCCCCTCCAGCCTCAGAGCCCTTATCCTCCCCTGAGGCACCTCCATTCCCCAACCTCAGGTCACGTGTCTCCGTTTGGACTGGCCTCTCCTCCTGCCGCAGGGCAGTCACATGATCCAGGTGCCGCCGATCAGAACCTCCCATTCCCCTGGTCTCCATGATTGGTTCAGAGATAGGCACATGACCTGGGCCAGGCCAATGGGACTCCTCTTCGGGCCTTTTGTTGGAACTTCGGCAAAAAGACAAAGACTGAAGCCTACGCAGAAGGAAGAAGGACGGAGAGATTATAAAATAATAGGAGATAGCATTTACTGAGCACCTGCTATGTGCCCAGCACTATTTTATTGGCAACATGGTTATTTCACTGGCATCACAGCCCCGTGAGATACATAGTATTCTTTTTTCTCTTTTTCGTTTTTGTTTTTTTTTTTTTTTTTTTGGAGATGGAGTCTCACTGTGTCACCCAGGCTGGAGTACAATGGCACAATCTTGGCTCACTGCAACCTCTGCCTCCTGAGTTCAAGCGATTCTCCTGCCTCAGCCTCCCGAGTAGCTGGGATTACAGGAGCCTGCCACCACGCGCGGCTAATTTTTGTATTTTTAGTAGAGATGGGGTTTCACCATGTTGGCCAGGCTGGTCTCGAACTCCTGACCTCAGGTGATCTGCCCGCCTCGGCCTCCCAAAGTGCTGGGATTACAGGCATGAGCCACCACACCCAGCCACGATGCATAGTATTATTAATCCCCACATTTCTAGATGGGAGAAAGGAGGTTCAGAGAAGTTAAGTGACTTGTCTATGGTCACAAAGGAAGAGGCAGAGCCATCACTCACATCCAGGCACTTGGTTCCAGAATAGTGTTCCAGATGTAACAGACCTTCAGGATACCTGGTTATGTTTTAATTTCAGATTAACAATAAATACTTTTTTGGTATAAACACATCCTATGAAATATTTGGGACATTCTTACACTGAAAAACTAGCTATTCATTGTTTTTCTGAAACTTACATTTAACTGGGTGTCCTGTATTTTATCCAGCAACCCAATTCCAGAGCCCATGGTCTTAACCACTATGCCCTACTGCCCATACAGATGCCATGAGAGATGTTGAATCCTGATTACATTGACCCAGCCCTATATCCTGCTGTGCCTGAAGCCAGTGATGAGAGATGGCTTTCTGTCACTTGCCTCTGAAGAGTTCTGACTGACTTAGTGCTATGCCGAATTCAAATGAGCACTTTTTTGAACCCTTACCCTGTAGTTGGGACCAAGGGGTGGGAGATACAGAGGAGATAAAGGAGGAAGATTCCCACCCTCAAGGACCGGAGTGGGGCTGAGAAGACAGAACTCACACATGTGGAGGTGCTAAGTAGAGTGTGCCGCACACTGAGGCCTGGGCCACTGGCCGAGTGTGTTAGTGCTCTATTGCTGCATAATAAATTATCACACACTTAGCAGCGGAAAACAGACCTAGACTCTGTTGTGCTGGGGTGGGAGCAGGAGACAGGCACAGGGAGGCTACAGAGAGAAAGAAGGGGCATGGGAGGAAAGGAGAGAAGGGGCCAGCACCTGTGAAAAGAGGAAACGAAACAGGGCTGGTTGCTGCCTCCAGCTTTTTAAAGGAAACCACCTGCCCGTCCAGGGCCTACCTCCCCAGCCCTCAGTCCTATTACTGTGTGCAGCCGGTTCCGCACCTGAAGGGGTTATATGACCCAGGCCTAATCAATCAACATATTTCCTCCTCCTGGCCAGTGATTGGCTCAGGTTTGGTCATATGATCCAAATAGCCAATAAGCTTCAAGATGGGGACTCACGTTGAAACTACGGGGAGGGGGGGAGGGGATCTTTCTTCCCCTCTTATCACTGTGAGGACATAAGCCTGGAGCTCAAAGAATCCATCTTGCCATCATGAGAGGAGAGTCCATCTGAGAATGTCAACACAGAGGAAGGCAGAGATGAGATGGAGAGAGAGAACACTGATAATGTCATCAGAGCGTCTGGATCCAGCCACACCTGAAGCTAATCCTAGCATTGGAGTTTTCGAAATGGTGAGCCAATTACCCCTTTTCTGCTTGAGCCAGTTGGCGTTGGGGTTTCTGTTACTAGTAGCCAACAAAATACTTAGTCATGACTGAAAAAAACAAACAAAAAAGTGGATGCCAAAAACAAGCAGACCAGGTGCCACAGGTAAATAGTGAGCAGGGTCGGTGAGACTGATAAGCACAGAGCCTGCAAAATGGAAACTGGTCCAAGTCTCGTGGTGCCACTTGACAACCACTCCCTTTGACTCTCCCAACAACCCAACATGACTTGTGATCTCACTGTTTGAGCCAAGGAAAGAAAGAAAGAAGTAGGAGGGAGTCCCAAGATGAAATCTTTTGGAAATAGTCCCAGAGCATAATGAATTGACTAACACCTGTTTCTCCCCTGGAAGTCATCTAATGAAATTATTAGACCATCAATTTACCACTGTGATGGCCAAGAGTGCTCTCCAACGGGATAAACCATGACAACAAAGCCAGAGTTCCAATTGTAATGGGCCTTACACACCTTTTTTTAAAACAATTTTTCCTTTTTTATTTATTTATTTATTTTTTTTTTGAGATGGAGTCTCACTCTGTTGCCTAGGCTGGAGTAGAGTGGAGCAATCTCAGCTCACTGCAACCTTCGCCTCCAGGGTTCAAGTGATTCTCCTGCCTCAGACTCCTGAGTAGCTGGGACCACAGGTGTGCACCACCATGCCTGACTAATTTTTGTGGGTGTTTTTTTTTTTGTTTTTTGGGGGTTTTTTTGTATTTTTAGTAGAGATGGGGTTTCACCATGTTAGCCAGGCTGGTCTCAAACTCGTGACCTCAGGTGATCTGCCTGCCTTGGCCTCCCAAAGTGCCGGGATTACAGGTGTGAGCTGCCATGCCTGGCCATTAAACACCTTCTTAACAGGTCTTTACTTGCCTATGACTCTCTTTGGACACAAATTGGCAGGAAGCTTTTAGAAATCATTTGCACTAATCTAAAAGGCAGTCATGGCTCAGAGAAAAAGAATCTCAGCTCATCAAAGCCAGCTTAGGCTTCTGAGGCCTAATCAGACAGTCTCCTGATCATCTTTGCTATGTGTTCACTGCCTGTCTGCTGGATGGTCAGAACGCTTGTCGTGTTTTGTGCACACATGGTGCTCAGGCACAGTGACAGGAGAAGAGCAAGAAGGGAAGGAGGAAGCTGGTAAGCCGACGTCATGGAGCCACTGGGCTTTCACCAGCCAGCGCCCAGTGCAGACCCACCTGCTGCCCCTACTGAGCCCAGCAAAAGGAACTGCCCTCGGCGCGATCCTCCAAATGCTCATCCAATGATGTCACTGCTCTGGGCGCCCTTAGAATGTGTTCCATGCCCAGCACCACAATCCCACCTCCTCTCCCACTCTCTTGCCCCCTGTATTAGTCAGGGTTCCCTAGAGGAATAGAACTAAGAGGATAGATAGATATAAAGATAGATATATAGATAGATATAAAGGGGAGTTTATTAAGTATTAACTTACGTGATCTCAAGGTCCTACAATAGGCTGTCTGCAAGCTTAAGGAGCAAGGAGAGTCAGTCCGTGTCTCAAAACTGAAGAACTTGGACGTGATGTTCAAGGGCAGGGAGCATCCAGCATGGGAGAAAGACGTAGGCTGGGAGGCTAGGCCAGTCTCGCCTTTTCACGTTTTTCTGCCTGGCAGCTGATTAGATTGTGCCCACCAGATTAAGGGTGGATCTGTCTTCCCCAGCCCACTGACTCAAATGTTAATCTCCTTTGGCAACACCCTCACAGACACACCCAGGATCAATACTTTGCATCCTTCAGTCCAATCAAGTTGACACTCAGTAGTAACCATCACACCCCCATATTCTCCAAATAGGCTTTCTTGTTCCTGTAGTTCAGTTCATTTCCTTCTCAGGACCTCTGGTTGGCTGGTCATCCTACGATCTTCACATGGCAGTGTCAGGCCTCCCAGGCTACAGCTTCAGTGTCACCTAAGGGAGGCCCCCCGACCAATGTGGCTAAAGAGCATCCTGTCCCATCAGACCTCCTCTTGTTTCCTGTTGGCCATCTGTCCCCCTCCACGAGGCATACCCTCTATGGTGCAAAGAGCTCAACTACCCTGGTGATCAGTGGGCCCAAGGATAAGCACAGATGTATCCATTGGACACATGAGTTAGTACCTGGTCCCCTGGCTCTGCAGAACACTGAAGAAAAGCCACTTGATTGGGACATAGAGCTGTCACTGAACTGAGAACCACTGAGGGCACAGGCTGAGGTCCAGTGGCCATGAGCAGCCGCAGTTGGTCAGTGTTCTGTGAGAACAGGGAAATCACCCTGCTTGCCTGCCTGTCGGAATGGGCACTGGGCTTTCAGGATTCAACTTGAACTAGAATAGAAACTACATTCTGACATCCTCACAGCTATGTTCTTTGGGGTTTGGGGATTTGGGTTTTTTTGTTTTTTTTTTTTTTTTGAGACAGGATCTTGCTCTTGTCACCCAGGCTGGAGTGCAGTGGTGCAAATCACAGCTCACTGTAGCCTCAACCTCCCAGGCTCAAGCGATCCTCCTGTATTAGCCTCCTGAGTAGCTAGAAACACAGGTGCATGCCACCACACCCAGCTAATTTTTAAAAGTTTTTTTGTAGTCAGGTCCTCACCATGTTGCCCAACCAGGTCTCAAACTCCTAGACTCAAGCAATCCTCCTGCCTTGGCCTCCTCCCAAAGTGCTAGGATTACAGGCATGAGCCACTGTGCCTGGCTCTTTCGGGTTTTGATAGGCATGCAATCTCAGCTTTAAGGGCACACACGCACACTCATATTCACACACATATGTTCACACACACATACACATACATTCACAAACACACATAAGGCCAAAGTGTTGTAAAAACCGATGCGTTTGCCTCACAAACCTCACAGTCTACCCTTCAAAATACAGAGATGCGAACACAAGCAGCATCGCCTCCGCACACGTGCACACCCACGCCCCACCCCAGCCGATTCTTCATCTCTCCTGGGCGGCAGGACCCAGCGGGGTAACCCCCATCCCAGCTCAAGCAAAGCAGCAGCCGTCCAGGAGAGATGGAGTCGGGCACAGAAGCAGCCAGATTCCTTCATTCCTGTGGGAGGGGCTGCGACTGTCCCCCATCACCATTCCCCACCCTTCCTTGTCACAGAGCCATCTGCACCCACCACTAGAGTTCTGGGAGGGCACCTGTCACCCTGCTGGGCAGCACATCTCCCCGCCTCCTACACAGCTGAGTGCAGTCAGGTGACAAGGTTGTGGCCAAGGGGGTGAGGGTGAATGTTAGGTCACCTCCTCCATGACTGTGGTGAGCCAACATCTTCCAAGTGGACAAGACCTGCACACCAGGGGAGGCAGCAACCATTTGGAAGCCCAGGTCCTTGGGTGACCTTGCAAAACAAAGCTACCTACCCGCCCTGGCCTACCCATTCACCTCAGAGCGGTGACAGGAGAGAAGACACATTCCGGATTGAGCCAGATTTGGGGGCACCTGTTAGAGCAGCCCAGCTTGAACCCAGTGACAGATTATCCCCCATAAAGCTGCATGTGACATTCCCTCTGAAGGCTTGAGCCCATCACAGGATAGGTTGTGGCTGGGTCCTCAAAGGGAGTGTTGTTCCCCATGAGCCCTTCTCCTGGGCATTTGCAGACTCGAGGGAAGGGGCTCTTCTGTTCACCTACAGCCATGGTGACAGGGGTGGTACGACATCAGGAGGATGCCTTTTCTAAGGCGTGTGGGTTTCAGGCCTTCTGTTTGGGAAACAGATGAGTGAGCCAACCTGGGCCCTATCCTAGAGGGCTCAGATGCCCCTGTGGGGACAGGTCAGTGGCTGACTGCAGCTGGAGTTGATCGTTCAGCTCCAGTTGAGGAGAATCCTCCCGGGCGAGAAGGTGGGGCTGGGCAGCCCAAGCATGAGAAGGAGGCCTCCAGCCTGGAGAAGGTTCCTGGAGGTGGGCAGGAAGGGCCTGGAGGAGGACCAGCTGCTCAGAGGCCTGCTGGCCGTGGGAGATAGCAGAATCCTGGCAGCCCTAGCCAGGCTGTGTGGCAGATCCTGATGCCTTCAGAAGCTCCTGATGGGCCAGGCCTGGTGGGGAGCTGGAAGAAGACGAGAAGGCACGGTGCAGCCCACGGCCATCTCAGAGATGAAAAGGCAGCTGGCCGGCAGGTGGTGGGTTCTTTAGAGTGATGCTCGGGCCAAGGAACGTCAAAAGCAGGCTCAGCACCACGTGCACTCAACTGGCTGTTGTTCCAGACCATCTGTCCCTCATTAATGAAGTTGTCCGGCAGGGCTTATTAATAAGGATGCGTGGGCTTATTCAGCCTGGGCCGTCTTGCTGGAACTAAAGGGCACGCTGATTAAGCTGTAATGACTCCTCAGGCACTGTCAACATGAAGGGAATCTCCAGGCACCCAGTGAGAGGAGAGGACCTTGCAGGCCCCAGGCCCGACCTGAACCCTAAGGCCCACGGGCCACTCACAGGGGAGGACAATCCCAGCCCAAGTGTCATCAACCAGGGCTCCCTGCTGCTCCCAACAACCACCATCCACTTCTCCCTCGGCCAGCAGGACCCAGACTGTGTTTGCAAAGTGAGGTCAGCAGAGTAGCAGCCCCCCAAAGATATCCACATCCTAATCCTTGGAACCTGTGAATGCGTTAGGTTACATGGTGCTGTGGGTTGGATGTGGCTTGTCTATATGCCAAAACTCATGTTGACATTGACACCCAATGTAGCAGTGTTGGGAGGGGTCAGATCCCTCCTGAATACATTAATCCCCTCTGTAGGGGGTGAGTTCTCACCGTCACTTGTGCCTCGTGAGAACAGATTAGTTCCCAAGGGCGTGGTTGTTGAATGGTCTGGTTTCCTCTCTCACTGCGTGATCTCTGCATGCACCTGCTCCCCCTCCATGTTCTGCCCTGAGTGGAAGCAGCATGAGGCCCTCACCAGATGCAGCTGCCCAGTCTTGGACTTTTCAGCCACCAGAATCATGAACCAAATGAACCCCTTAATAAATTATTAACTTATAAATCACCCAGCTTCAGGTATTCTGTTACAGCAAAACAAAATGGACTACGACGTCGTGAGGAGGAGTGAGGGCTGCAGATGGAATTAAGGTTGTTAATCAGCACACATCAAAATAGGGAGATTATCCTTATTCAAGTGGGCCTGCTGCAATCACAGGGGGTTCTTACATGTGGACACGGTGGGTGGGAGTGTCAGCGTCAGAGAGCTACAGTGGAAGGAAGGTGTGACCGGCCATTGCTGAAGACAACAGGGCACCAGACAAGAAACACAGTGGCCTCTAGAAGCGGGAGAAGGCAAGGAAATGGATTCTCCCCTGCAGATTCCTGAAGGAACACAGCCCTGCTGTCACCCTGATTTCAGCCCAGTGAGACCCACAGCAGACTTCTGACCTCCAGGACTGTAATAAACTGGGGCTGTGTTAAGCCACTGCCTTTGTGGAAATGTTACAGCAGCTGTTGGAAACTCACAAAAAAGGGGAACAGGTCCTCTTTGAAATACTCAGACCCCCGGATGCCCTTGCAGCGAAGGCGGCTGCGTGTCCCCAGGCTGGCTGGTGAGGCCCAGCAGATGCTGCCGGCTTTCCAGAAAAGCCATCATTTTGCAGATAAAAAGGGACACACTCCAGAGATGCAGCTTTTTGCCTTTACCCAGCCCCCTTCTCACTCCCACCTTCTTCCTGCCTACAGCACGGATGAAAGACTAGAGGTGGGGCAGCCAGGCAGGGCCAAGATGATGACTGCCACATCCTGAGGACAGCAGAGTGCAGCAGACAGGAGCCAGGACTGCTGCACTGTGGAGTTGCTGCCCGGCCCCGGGAGAATGGACTGCCTCCAACTTCCTGTGACGTGAGAGCCATAAACGCTGCTGGGCCAAGCCTGGATCCCGTGGCATGTAGCCACACACAACCCAAGTGACATGCAGCTCTTGCGATGACAAGAAAGGAGCCAGAAACCTGGCTGGCGCTGGGTGTTGGGGGATCTCAGGGTGGAGGGGGCCCAGGGTGCTGGCTTCACACTGAGCAGCACTCCTCGTTGGTCACAAGGGAATGTGGGTAAGTACCAGGGCCCTGGGAAGTGCCCCCAACAATTCGAACCACACAACTCCAGGGCACAGCTGTTGGCGGGCGCACAAGCACCACCAGCCTCACACACGCAGATGCGGTCCCCCCTCCAGAGAAAACACACCAGCACACTGCACACACAGCATGGGTGCATGTGCACACATGTATACATTTATTGCATAAAATTCATCATAGCACTTTCCCCCATATTTTTATAATCCAAAAGGAAAATGATTCAAGAAAGGATTTCATTGTGCTCAGTTTCAAAAAATATAAAAATGGACATCAGATTAGAGATACAAGTTCATACGCTGAACTGAATTGTACATACCAACTGCCTGGCTATGGAAACCCGTGACTTGACTTAGGGGTGCTGATGACATGATCTCGACAAGAACCCCCTAGCAACTCTCAGGTGGAGGCAGCACAGGGATGCGGTTCCTGGTGAGGAGGGTCCTCACTCGGTGACCACACTGCCTGGGCTCACAGCTGGAGGGCTCACCCATGAGGGACACGGGTGGACACCCACTGCTTCACATGCCTAATTCACATTAGAAACATGTAAAGCCATTCAGTCTGTGCAATAAAGAGATCCTGTATGAAATCCACTCATTCCTTGGAGGGAAGCTGGCCCGGAGGCACGCTCTGGTTGACGGGTGACGCACAGTCCTCCAGGGCCTGCATTGCATCCATGACACAGACACACGTGAACACCCAGCCCGCCGGTCCTAGCAGCCAGCTGTGAAAGCTGTGTCAAGTCACGGGGGTTCCTTTCTAACAGCTAAAGCTCAAAGGCATACTGGACCCTGAGGGAAAACAGGAGAGCCTGAGATGGGAAGGGAAGAAAGGGATTTGCACCTTCACAGAGCAAAATGGGACAACGGGACGGGGAGGTTGAAGACAAGACCTTGGCTCAGGAGTGTGTCTGTCTTCAGCACCAGCCAGCCCCACCGTTCCCGCTGCACTGTGTGTGCAAAGACACACACTCTCACCACAGTGCCACACCTGCGGCCCAGACACTCCCTCCTGGTCTCTGAAGGCCAGAATCCCACTCGTGTGGAAGATCCAGGTACCCACCAGATTTAACAAAACAGAGAAACGATCCCTCCCCAAGCCTACAGAACACTTGGTGCGAGCATCCTTTTACAACAGCTGTAGGTTTCTGTATAATTTCTTGAGCACACAAAAGTTACAGTGCACACGGGTGCGGCTGAGTGACACGCCAGCCAGTCTGACTCAGAAGCCCTGCAGCTCAGGGATGTCCCGGTACAGATCCAGGGTCTCGGGGTTCGAGAAAGCACCTCCTTGCTCCACGGCTTTTCCAGCGATGATCTGTTTGACGGCAACTTCCACTTTCTTGCCGTTGAGCGTATACTGCGAGGGAAAGGTAGAAAAACAGGAACATTTAAACCTGAAGGGGGGAAAATCCGCAGCCCTGGATATATCCAGGCCCCAAAGGCCCAGCTCCACCTGGAGTGCCAAGAGTGAATGGGTCTCGGCTCTAAGATGCCCCTCTTCCCACCAGGTCTGCAAACGTGCACCGAAGTACGGTGAACTGACCACTGTCTCTCTGTTTGGGGGATAAAACCTGTTCTTCTGAAAGGCACTTTCAAGGACTGGTGCTGAAACTCAACTCTAACACTCTCCACACCCCACCCCCGCCCCCTGGCACGGCTGTTGAGAAACTGAGGCTATTTCAAAGTTGCCCAGAGGTCACCATGAGCATGTTCATTTTTCTTTTTTTCTTTTTTTTTCTTTTTTTTTTTTTTGAGACAGAGTCGCACTCTGTCACCCAGGCTGGAGTGCAGTGGTGCAATCTCCGCTTACTGCAAGCTCCCCCTCCCAGGTTCACACCATTCTCCTACCTCAGCCTCCTGAGTAGCTGGGACCATAGGCACCTGCCACCACGCCCAGCTAATTTTTTGTATTTTTAGTAGAGATGGGGTTTCACCAGGATGGTCTCATGTTAGCCAGGATGGTCTTGATCTCCTGACCTCATGATCCACCCATCTTGGCCTCCCAAAGTGCTAGGATCACAGGCGTGAGCCACCGCGCCCAGCCGAGCATGTTCATTTTTCTAACGCTGCACACTCTACTGGGCCCCGTTGGGACCCACGACACGTGTCACATCCAAGCTGGCCTCGAGAGGGCCCTCCAGACACCCCACTGACCCCGGCAGTGCATATTCCAGATGGGAATATAAAAAAGAGTATCTCTCAGGGTTCAGGGTCAGCCTGACCAGGATAAAAATGCAGGCATAGACCATTCCTAAATCCCAGCAGACACCCTGGGCAAGAAAGTTTTCAGGGAAGATGTGGCTCCTGCCACCCCATCTGGGGGATGCTGGGTAAATTCCTGAACCTGAGTTCACTTCCTCGAATGAAAGTAGGGGTGCCAGCACCTAGGCTATAAGGCTGTGAGTCACTGGGTGAATGAATCAGTGCACACACAGCTTCAGAAGTGCCTAGCTACTATGTTTTATGATGATTTTACTTTTATTTATACTTTTTTACTTCTCTATATATTTTATCACGTTATTCTATGATAAAGACCATTACTTTATTGATATTGCCATTACTTCAGAAGTGGCCCAGCTTCCTAGAACTAGAGGCAAGAGTGTCCCCAAGCTCCCATGAACTCCTCCTCAGAGCCAGCCATCTGCACGGGACGGTGTGTTACTTCTTCTCACAGTCGGGCCCTTTCCAAACATTCAGAGCTCCAAGATTTATGGCACATGTGTTTCACCTTGAATCCAGAAGAGCCCTTGGCAGTGTTGGTGTGTTGTGGGCTAGGAAACTTCAGGAGCAACAGAGCCCAGTGACGAGTCCTCGATCACTGGCGCCTTTTTTTTTTTTTAACCTGAGATGTAATTAAAATTCATTCACTTGAAAATTCAGTCGACGTGTGAACTAATTAAGGATCTAAGCACCGGCTTCCAAGGGCCTGCCTGTCACTTCATGTGATGTCGCCGGCCCTCCCGCTGTGAGATGCAAACGTCTCGCCTGCTCTGTGCCCTGCTACGCTTCACACAGGGGTCCACGTGCAGCTCACGGGAGCTAATACCGCCACCTTCCACCCGCTGGCAAAATACAGCAGCATCCTCTTAAAAGAAATCCTGCTACCATTTCCTCTGGGGAGAGGGGAAAAGGTAGAGGAAAGGGAAAGAGAAAGGAAGAAGCCACCGCCCCCCTGCCCACCCCCACACCAGCTCCTGCATGAGGCGTCCCCAAGTAGACAGGAGCCCAGCAGCCTCCTGTCAGGAAGGGCCAGACATCCCAGCCATGACCCGAGCAAAGGCCCGCTGGACTTGGGACAGCCATGGCTGCCTGAGGGCTGCAGTCGGGAAGCCCTCAAATGCCAGGAGTCCATTCCACTTGGCCATGACCCTCGCGGGGTCCCCAGGTCTTTATTCTGGGTGAGCAGAAGGCAGAGCTGACTATGGACACCCCTTCCTTGGGCAAGACCCCTCATCTCTCTGGGTTTCCTCATAAGAGGAAGTAAGATGGGTGTGAGGAAGACAAGTTTGTCCCGCCTCACCAGGGTCACAGGACCAGCTCCCCACCCCCCATTCACTCACCAGACACCAAAAGCATCTGCTGTTTGCCAGGCAGTCAGCTGAGCTCCGAAGAAAAGGAGGTAGACCCACAAGGTTCCTGTCCTCAAGAGGCCTCCACTCCACCAGAAAGATGTGCACATACACAAGAACTCACCCTCAGCACCCCCATGGTAAACACTGTCAAAGCTAAAGATGGAGGCCAGGACACTGTTCAAACAGGAAATGCAGGGAAAGCCTCTCTGACTTTTGCACAGAGAGCAACTGAGATCAGGTGTGTGGAAGGGCTTTGCACAGCATGCGCACCTACTCCGAATGAAGGCTGACGGTGAGTGGAGGCAGCACAGAAACAGAGGCACGGGGACTGCGTTCTGGGCACCCTGTGGCCCACGGCACCCACCAGAGAGGCTCTGTTGTCAACTCATCTTAGAGATGGGGAAACTGAGGCTTGGATGCTGCGTTGCCCAAAGTCATGCCTCAGGGGCAGAGGGGGGGCCAGAGCTAAGTGACAGAGCCCCTGTGCATAAAGACCCTCAGAGAACCCGCTGTGAAGGCTGGCGGCAAGGACTACGCCGGCCAGAGCCTCCCCAGTCCCCCGGGGCCGCTCACTCCAATGGTGCCGCATCACCACCCTGAGCTGTGGCGGGTGAGTGAGGGGCTCCTCTCCTCGTGTCACAGATCAGAGATGGGATGAGTCTTACTCAACACAAGGAGTGTGGCTGGCTCTGGGCCCAGATCTCTCCTGAGCCCTCACCAGGAACCCCCTAAATGCTGAAAATGGCACTGGCTTCCCAGGGAACAGAAGCGGCAGTGTCTCTCCACACAGAGACAGAGATGCGCCCCGGGCTCAGGCTGTTCTCGGGGTGGTGAGGGGTGGGTAGCCCACTCCCTACAAGCAACATGTGAAGGGTCAGACCTGCAACAGGCTCTCCTGCCTCAGCAAGGCCCCGGGACTTTGCAGATGAGACCTCAGTTGTCCTCTTCTGACCCTGAAGTGGGTCCAGTTCCTGAATGGGCAGGCTGGGGCCACGCCGTGTCACCTCCCTGTGGAGGCTGGACCCCTCCCTAGCTCAGCAATAAAAGAGGTAAATCCTCTCCTAAGCCTGCCGTGAGGGCTCGAAAATGTAAGGGCATTCAAAAATCTGGAAGAACCCTCCAAATAACTTCCCGAATGCACCCAGGAGGAGACCTTATCTGGGGAGAGAAAGAGCCCAGAGCCCAGCTGGGTGCCCTGGACGCAAGCCCACAAAAGCCAGGACAACCAGGGAAAGAAAGGTGCTGAGTTTTCCCCCTTCATAATAAATTGTTCCACTACTCTCGTGATCAAATATGGTTTGGTAACAACTGTTTTGGCAGCAAAAGACCTAAGTTCTTTTTCAATAATATAAAGCCAAGGGGATAAATGCAAATTCCAGTTCCCTAAAATGTTCCAGATAAGACAGCACTGATTCACTGAAGGAAAACCTTAGACCCTCATCAGAAAAAGACAATAAGGGTCACTGATTCAAGAAGTACCTTCTTGGAGAGCATCAGTGTCCCCACAGAGAGCCGCCAAGAGTCACCAACCAAAAATAAGGGAAAAAGAAAGAGATGGATGGAAAGCCCCAAGCTGCAGGGCTCTTCCCATGCAGAACCAGAACACAAAGGAAACGTGTGGACACCACAAAAAGCAACCAACACCGCAGATGCGGGCAGGCGCCGGGAGGAGGAGGGACAGGGGTCCCGAGTGGGAGTCAGCGCAGATGTGGACAGGCGCCGGGAGGAGGAGGAACAGGGTCCCGAGTAGGAGTCAGTCTTCCAGGGATGATCAGGGATTGCACACCGTTGTCGTGCTGCAAGCGCTCTCCCCAGCCCCCACTCCTGGACAGGTTGTTTTGAAGATGTTGAAATAACTTTTAAGGCAAAGAGAATGATCTACGGGTTTCAAAGTAAACGGCATCAGATATTTCAACATTCTCCAGGAAGCAGACTCTCCTGGTAAATCCTGTCTCTAGTTACACCTCACAGAATCAGCCCTGCTCCCGGGCAACATCAAAGTCAGCTTCCCCTGGGAACCCAGTGAGTGTGTGCTCCCATCTTCTCCTTAACGAATAGCCATTCCATAGGCTTCAAATACAGCCTGCCACTGTCTAAATTGTTGTATACATTCACATACACACACACACTCACACACACACAGCAGCTTCTGTCAGCTTGCGGGGTATCCGTTTTGTAAGCAATGCAAATGAAAGCTGTGATCCAATTTGGGTGACCCTCCTCCTCCCCCACTTAGAATCAAAGCAGAGCGTACTGGGGCCAGGGGCTGGGGGATGACGACACAGCCTTAGGAAGACCTGCCTCTAAAAAGAGTCAAGTCTTGTCTGTACCAGCAGAACTTAAAACTAAAAGGCAACAGCAACGGCTCCCAGCAGCACTTTAAAAAGTTAAAATTGGCTGGGTAGAGTGGCTTACGCCTGTAATCCCAGCACTTTGGGAGGCTGAGGTGGGCGGATCACTTGAGGTCAGGAGTTTGAAACCAGCCTGGCCAACATGGCAAAACCCCATCTTTACTAAGAATACAAAAATTAGCCAGGCATGCTGGCATGTGACTGTAATCCCAGCTACCAGTTAACTCAGGAGGCTGAGGCAGGAGAACTGCTTGAACCTGGGAAGCGGAGGTTGCAGTGAGCTGAGATTGAGCCATTGCATTCCAGCCTGGGTGACAGACTCAGTCTCAAAAAAATAAAATAAAAAATAAAAAGTTAAAATTAATGTTCTCATTAAAAATTTTGAGAATACACTAAAACCAGGGGATAGCAGGGAGAAGCCAGTTGGACCTGCAGGGCTGGGCCTGCTAACCCTCTGAACATGGGTATTTAGCAGAAGTTGCTTTAAATGCAGTCTTAGGAAGGGTAGGAAAAAGGATGGCAGGGAGAGGATGGCGTTGCTAGGCAACGTGGACAAACGATATATAAAGCACCGGCAAGCTGCTCAGATGTAAGCGCCCCTCAATGTGTGGGCTCGTGGGGCGATGGCTGCGGTCTCCTCGCTGGCGGGAGATGGCCATACCGGGATGCCCTTGGTTTCCAGGATGAGGCTGGGCACGTGTCGCGCAGACAAGCCCATGCGGATGGCGTCACGGATCCTCTTAACCAAGTCAGGCTGGAAGGCGTGCCCGGAGGCCATCTTCAGGAAGAGGATCACCCTCTCCTCCCTGTACTTGTTATACTGGGGGACACACAGGCTGTCCTCCACCTCCTCGAAGGATTCCACTGTGGAGACAGGAGAGGGTGCACATTCACGCAGGGGGCCCCTCAGTGTGGGGTCGGGCCTCACAGCAACCTGGCAGAGCAGGAGGGGCAGGCTGGGTCCCCCAAGCCTTCCAGCGGTGCCTGTGTTCTCCCAGTCCACCCAGGAGAAGGGCCTTGGAGGGACATTTGCTGAGGAGGCCGTTTCACAAGCGGAAGAAAACCCATCACTGGGGAGGCAGAGAGAGCTTCAGGTTTGGCAGGATGGGTGATGTTCTACCAGGAAGCCAGGTGTGGGCCTTACTTAATGAGAAATTAATTCAAGATAAAAAAGAGGGCCGGGCATGGTGGCTCACGCCTATAATCCCAGCACTCTGGGAGGCTGAGGTGAGAGGATCACTTAAGTCCAGGAGATTGAGACCAGCCTGGACAACATAGGGAGACTTTGTCTCTACGAAAAATCAAAACCTAAGTTAGGCATGGTGACACACACCTGGAGACACAGCTACTCGGGAAGCTGAGGCAGGAGGATCGCCTGAGCCCAGGAGGTCGAGGCTACAGTGAGTTATGATGGCGCCACTGCCCCCCAGCCTGGCCAACAGAGTGAGACCCTGTCGGCCTCCCAAAAAAGGAGGCAGGTGGCCGGGCACAGTGGCTCACACCTGTAATTCCAGCACTTTGGGAGGCCGAAGTGGGTTGATTACTTGAGCTCAGGAGTTTGAGACCAGCCTGGCCAACATGGCAAAACCTCATCTCTACAAAAAATACAAAAATTAGCTGGGCATGGTGGTGCACGCCTGTAGACCCAGCTACTCAGGAGGCTGAGGTGAGAGGATTGCTTGAGCCCAGGAGGCGGAGGTTGCAGTGAGCTGAGATCACACTATTGCACTCCAGCCTGTGAAGAGAGTAAGACCCTGTCTCAAAAAAAAATTTTTTTAAAAAAGAAAGCAGGTGCCTGTGGTGGGGACTCCACTGGAGTGAGGAAAAAAGGCTGGAATCAGACATCGGGATTTCTCTACCCTGGCCACACAAACGACCTTGACATAAGTTTAGGACTCTGACCTAAGCACTAGCATAAGAGGCCATCTGACCAACTCTGCGGCCTGGGCTGGGTCTGGGTCCCTGGGCTGGGAAGTTTGAAGGCCCACAGGTGACTCCACTGTACAGTTGTGAGATCCACAGGCCTACACTCTCTGTGCTTGGTGTCCTGCATGATGCTGTGTGACCTTCAGCAATCCTGAACCCTCTCTGTGCTTCTGGTTTCTTCAACCATAAAGAGTAGACACAAGTTGGCCGGGCGTGGTGGCTCATGCCTGTAATCCCAGCACTTTGGGAGGCCGAGGCAGGCGGATCACTTGAGGTCAGGAGTTCGAGACCAGCCTGGCCAACACGGTGAAACCCCATCTCTACTAAAAATACAAAAACTAGCTGGGCATGGTGGTGCATGTCTATCATCCCAGCTACTGAGGAGGCAGAGGTTGCAGTGAGCCAAGATCGCGCTCCAGCCTGGGTGACACAGCGAGACTCTGTCTCCAAAAAAAAAAAAAAGAGTAGATAGACACAAGTAACCAGCCCAGCAGAGCTCACCGGGAGGATGAGCTATAATGAGGAAGAGGATGGGCAAAGGGACCTTAAAGACCCCATTTGAGGTTTTATGAGGATGGCAGTGTGGGCAAGGTATGTTCTGGAAAGGAGGTCAGGCTCACAAATGTCCACTGTCACACCAGAGAACAAGGGGCCAGAGTTGTGCCAAAGGTGGGGCTCCTGGGGCTCCCGCCAGGACCCTCCTCCTTCCTGGAGACTGGAGAACGCTCAGGGAGGGGAAGCACGTACCAATGTTATAGATTTCCGAGCTGCCGAACCGCACCCCGTTGGGGTTGAGGGTGCCGTCACTGGAAAGAGAGAAGAGGTCAGGGCCACACCGCAGCTCTGGAGTGAAGCAAGTCCCAGGGGTCCCACGGGAGGGCAGTCACCCCCCACTTTCCCATGGCATCCCCCAGGACTAGTCACGGACACTCCGCTCCCCAGCTCCTTGCCCTACCACCCGGCTCTTTCTCCCTCTCAGGTTAAAGCTTTCCATCGAGGGAGGCAGGAACATCTGTCACCTCACTGCCTTCCCACCTGCACACGTGTCCCCCATTGCAGGTGTGGACACTGCTGTGCCTTTGCTGTGGAACCCCCATCCTGACACTCCCTACCCGAGAACCCCATCACAGGGCAGGGAGACTTGGATCACGCCCAGACCCATCCCTCGGGAAGGAAGCTGGCACAGGGATGCGCCACCCCAGGAATGACACAGGAAGGGTCCAAGATGAGGGACAGTCAGCCATGTTGCAGACTGAGCAGACAATGCTTCCTCAGAGGGGGTCTTCAGGCCCAGGGATGGTGTGTGCACAGGCACAGGGGTGGGGAAACATGGCGCACCAGCCGGTGGGGGCTGGGGGGTCCCAGACACCAGCAGAGGTGTGGGTGGTGTGGACACCCTGGTGCTGGAGTGGAGTGAGGTGCCCAGGAAGGGGGTCACTGACTTTTATAGAAAGCACCTCCTCTCCCACCCCCATGCCTCTGGAAGGTGGGGCTCCAGGAAAGAGAAGCCGACTCTGCAGCCCTTACCTCCGGCCAAGCATGACGATGCCCCCGGTCTTGGGGTTGATTCTGCAGTAGTCGCCATGAGCCCAGATACCTGCAAAGACAGCAGAGGTGCCCGGTCATCCCGAGGAGAAGGGGCCATGACAGGCTGCCTGGACAGACGCTGGGTGTAGGTCCGCAGACATCACTGGGGCCCAGAGGCAGGTCTGGCATGGGGCTGGGGGCCAGAGGGAGCCAGACAGTTCCTGCCCCAAGGAACATGCCCTCTAGCGGGGCTGCTGCCCGGGCAGCTCTGACACCGCCGGCGAGGAGGAACGCAGCTCCTCAGGCACCAGCAAGGACCCGGGAATTCACAGAGGGCAGGACCAAGCTCGGCCAGGCCACTGGGGGTCAACAGGAGTGTCTGGAGACAACCCTGAGTGTAGCACAGGAAAGAATAAGCCATGTCTTGGGAAGCAAGAGTGGCCAGGGGCAGTGGAGGGCACAGGGTGTGCAGAGGTTGGGGCCAGATCTTGGAATGGAATACACGTGCTCGTGACCAGGAAGGAGGCTACTGCACCAGTCCGAGTCATGTAGGCTTGAACCAAAACATTAGCCACATGGACAGAGAGCCGATTAGCAGGTAAAACCCAGGGGATGAGGAGACGGGGAAGAGGAAAGAGCCAGGGATGACAGCAACACAGTGTCAGCAGGCCACGTGAGTGGCCTCATGTGCAGCTGTTCAGAGAAGGCCTGCACGCTGGGGTGGCACCATGAAGCTGATGGACCAAAGGGATCAAATCCCAGATTTGGATGCCGCCTCTAAGGAGAGAGGTTCCTTGGCCACATCCTCCACCCAGGCGCCAAACAGTGAAGAGAAGCCACACAGCCGAGAGAGTCACCAAGGGAGCAGTTAACCAGCTGGGGGCCTCCTCCTGCTGACACCACCACCAGCCCTTGATCAGCCACACTGAGGGGAACTGGCTGGCCGTAATCAAAAGCGCATCTCTGCTGCTTTGTAATGCCAGAAGTCATCTGCCTCAGCAGCAGGCTGGCCTCCTGCAATAACGCCCCGAAGATTTCCTGCGATCCGGGAAGGGAAAACAGTAAAGAAGCCAGCTTCTGTGTCTTCACTGACGGGCGGCAGCCTCAGAAGGCATCTCCTCCCTCCCAAATCTCGAGACACTTCTCCAGCACTTCTCCACTCTGTGGCAAGAGCTAACCCAAACAGCTTATGACTCAACAGCTACCTAGTCTACTCACGCATTTATGTGACATCATGAAGCAGACACTGCCACAAGCCACCACCAAGCCTTCTATGGGGACGAAGGCCAAGGGGACTGTGTACAGGAGTGCATGGTCCCTGGGAGGCAGCTGAAGAGAATGAAATGAGCCCAAAGCTACTTATTCCAATGCAAAAAAAGAGAACTGCAGGTCTTCAGGTCTTTCCTCCCGCCTCCCCAAGCTAGAGAATGAAACCAATTCTTTTCTCATTGGACTTTTAAAAGATTCACATACACAAATAAGGAAAAAAAAAAATCCACTCCTAGGCTTGCAATGGATGTGCCTAGCTTCTGCAGGAGCACGCCTGTATGGCTACTCAGCAAACTGAGTCTATGAATGGCAGCCCTGGAAGATGAGAGCTGCAAGCCTGTGCCGCTCACCTGGGAATCCTGCCTCATTCTGGCACTTCGGTGCCAGCAACAACATACAGTCTTGTTTGCCTGGAGTCAGATCTCCCTTTAATCGGACGAGAAATTTCTGGGTTTTCTGGGCCATCTGCAGTACTGTGCCCTAATTACTGAGACCCCGGAAATGCAGAGAAAAAGGAGGATGTAAATCCACTCTGAAGAAATGTTTTTTGTGAAAACTTCCCCGACACACTTTGATCCCTTGCAAAGCCAGGCTGAGAGGAGCAATCCACTAGTGGCTGGCTCCAGGGCACCACAGAGGAAGTGGCCTGATGGCAAAACGAAGCCGCAGAAACGATGTCTTCCTTTCTACAGCAGACTGAACAGATTTAGATCATTCTCATTCTTCAAGGCACTGACTTAAGCTTCGAGTCTCCTGGGAGCTGAGGCGAAAGTGGAAATACAGTGGGAACAGGTGACTGCCGATAGCAGACCAGGCCTGTTTGGAATGTGGCATCTGCAATGACCTAAATCTTAAGTCTGCTTTTACTTTCTTTTAAAATTTTAAGTTTTTAAAAATAATAAAAAGTGGTCAGGCCTGGTGGCTCACGCCTGTAATCCCAGCACTTTGGGAGGCCGAGGTGGGTGGATCACAAGATCAGGAGTTTGAGACCAGCCTGGCTAACATGGTGAAACACCGTCTCCGCTAAAAATACAAAAATTAGCTGGGCGTGGTGGCGCGCGCCTGTAATCCCAGCTACTCAGGAGGCTGAGGCAGGAGAAGCTGAGATCGTGCCACTGCACCCCAGCCTGGGCAACAGAGCGAGATACCGTGTCAAAAAATAAAAATAAAAAGCCATAAAGAAAACCAAAATGGGCTCATAATCCCACCACTCATATAACCCCATATTCATACTCATTATTCATTTATTCACACAATCACACATATGTACTTCCTTTTTAAAATTTACACAAGGCCGGGTGTGGTGGCTCATGCTAGTAATCCCGGCACTTGAGGAGGCTGAGGCAGGAGGATTGCTTGAGCTCAAGAGTTCGAGACCAGCCTGGTCAACATAGAGGGACCTCATCTCTACAAAAAATACAAAAATTAACCAGGCATGGTAGCACACACCTGTAGTCCCAGCTACTTAGGAGGCTGAGGCGGGAGGATCCTTTGAGCCCTGGAGATCAAGGCTGCAGTGGATGGAGATCACACCACTGCACTCCAGCCTGGGGCCAGACGGAGACCTTGTCTCTAAAATAAAAATTTAAAATTTACACCAAAGGGATGCTATGTCCTCTGTTCTTAAACTCTCATTTTCACTTACTAACATCCTGGGTATCTTTCCATACCAGCACACGGCCTGTTTACATTTTCACCTGGCATCATTTTTTAAGGTAACGACGTCCAAAAACCCACTCCGAGTTGTGGAAACGAAGGCTTGCTCTTGTTGCTTGGTTTTGCCATCACGCCATTTCCTATACAGCCCAAGAATCTCTCAGCGCTGGTGCTTGAGGAAGGGTCTAAGTGCAGCCTATGTTCACCTTGTCCATGATAAACAGCTTCAGATCTCATTATCTGATCTGCCTTTGTCTTTCCATATTTATTCATATCTCTCACCTACACTCAGGAAGTATTGGAGGAAGCTACCTTTAAAACTGACTTCATGACAGGATTATTCAAAGAGAAGCAAAATCTTACCCTAAAGGTAAGAGGACTACAAAAACAAAGCAATTATTTCAGCTCTGAGTTTCCTGGCAGCCAAGGCAAAAATGGAAATATAACACGTCACAAAGTACTTGTCTTCTCCAAGAAGGAATATCAGTTTCAAAAAAAGATTATTCTGAAATTAATCCTGAGAGACATCTATCACATGAACCCTTGCACATGTGACAAATAAAGTGACAGAAAAGAGAGTTTTCAAAGAGCAATGTTACAGAAGATGAAGGGCCATCATTTCTTGGATGGATCCTCAAGCTGAGATTCTAATCCTTTTGGCCTCTCCTCCCAAGGCAGGAGGCCCTACCCTCCTCTTCAGGGTCATCTGATGAGTGTTTCTCTACATCCACTCTTGCTTTTCTGCATTCGTCTGTCTGCACAGCTGCTCACGGCAGGAGCCAAGGTGGGGCATAGGTGCAGCAGGTATGCAGTGGAGGCTGAGCCACCCCTGGGGGGATGCCCCACGCTGCTGCAGGAAGGCACTATTCCAGGCACAATGGCTTTAACGGTGAAACGCAAACACGCAAGGCAGGAAGGATACCTGGCAAATCCTACCACTTACCGCTTTCTGATTCTCCATACGTGGTCTGTGCTAAACCAGATTACCTTTTGAGAGACTGCAGAAAGCAAGTACTGAGTATAAATAACTCTGGAACAGAAGGCTTGCTAAACGATGAATTATATAGCAGCAGTAACTCGAGACTGCTTATGAAATAAGATTAGAGGGAGGCAGGAATCAGAGCTTTAAATAAAAGACTTCCCTGCTTTGGGGCAAGGCACCACTCAAAAGACGACACCCAAGGGTGTCAGTCTATGTGAGAGTGACGTGTCGGGTTGTAAATGCTTCCACCGCAAAAGCGCTCTTCCTCCAGCATCTCCATGAGGACTGGATGATGGTGAGAGACACGAAGGAAGAGACCCGAGCCAGACGCCACTTCCACATGCCACTCCTCGTGAACAGGCAGGCATCACCCTGTTTCAGCCCCACACCCTCCACCCTCCCACATGCAAACCAGAGGCTCGTGCCAGCTCCCAGCAGCAGGGGCTGGGGCCAAGAGGCTCTGGGCAGAGGTGGCTGAGATTCAACTAAACCAGATTGCAGTTGCACACGATAGCTTCAAGCTGAAGACAACAAGATATTGATCAAAAATTCATTATCCCCCCACTGGCGGAATGAACTATAAGCAGCTTCTCCAAGCCCTGGTGGGGGAAGGAAGAGGGGAGGGGCACGATGGTACAGAATTAGACACAGAAGGCCCAGCCAAGGCAGAGGCTGGCCAGCTCTGTCTGCATCTCTCCAACCGACCTGGGAATTTGGAGAAATACGCCTTCCTGTACTTGTTGCCGTTCTCATCGTTCCAGAAGTGTGTGGGCTGGCAAGGGATCGGCTTAGTACACACCAGCTCGCCGCTCTCTCCCCAGACCGCCTTTCCTGGTATGGGAGAATTAAAAATAAGCCCAACACACACCACAGCCACACACCCTGGCTGTCTCTCTCTCTTTCTTAAGCTATTACTTATTATGCAATATTCCAGACATATACAAAGGTACAGAGATGGTCCACGCCCACACACCTGTCACAGCAGCCTAATAATGCGTTCCTCCCAGATGAAGTCCCCTCCCTGTGTGCTCCCCAAAATCGCTGTCTCGGACGTAGTGATTTGTTATTCCCATGTGTGTTAACATTTCTGCTCCATCCACACGCATCCTTGAATAGCATATGTCGTCACTCTGCATGCCTTTGAACACATACACGCTGTCCTTCTATGTGTCCCGCATCTTCCTGTGCTCACTCAGCATGACATCTGGGCTCGTTCGGGCTACTAGGTCTCACTCTGGTTCATTCGTATTCACCACTTGGGCATTCTCCACATGTGATCACAGAGTTTCTTCCTCTCAAAGATGGACATTTCTATTGTTCCCAATTTTGTTTTCCATTACAAATCATGGGGCGCTACAAACATTCTTGCATGGATCACAAGTAAGTCTTCTGGGAGTGGCATTCCCAGATCACAGGGCACGTATGCATCTTCAGCTTCACTGACTCCTCCCACATTGCTCTGCAGAGCAGGTGCACTGAGCCCTGCTCACCCCTCCTAGCACAGCTGGATTTCTAGCTGCCAGGCCCAGCATAGCGGGAGACTATCCCTTCAATGACCAGGTTCTCAGAAGCTCAGAGCTGGCTGCTGCCTGTGTATCCAGCACCAGGGTTCAGATGCAGGGCAATGACCACCCACCTGCCCACTGTTCCCGAGCACACATCTCTCCACCTGTCCTCCAGCTCGACCCTGACCTCTCAGAGGCTAGGGACCAGAAGCCCGGCGGGTGTTAAACCAAGCTGGAGGGAAAGGACATCACACTGCAAGTGACAGGGGCCTCCCCTCCGAGGGCTGTTTTGGAGAACTATGTCCAAGCAAAGTTACACATCCGAACGCTCCCACACTCCCAACTCACGCCTAATCACAGAAAGAAACAGTTGGTGGAGCCATCACCTTCCTCGTTCCACGCTTCCACGGCCATGCCCAGGTTCCGGGCCTGAATCTCCCCTTTATACACAGGAAGAGAAAAATTGTGGCCCATGAAGCAGGAGATGATGTCGGTGCCTCCTGCAAGCAATGGCAAAGGGAGACTCAAAATTTAGAAGCCCAAGACAAATTGTGTTAAATTAGTGAGCAACAAAGGAGAAGGTGCCAAGAGGACAAATATCTACTCTCCCAGACAAACACTGCAACATCCCAGACAGGTGGGGCTTCTCTTCAGGGAGCAGTGGGAGAGGTGATATGGAAATTAGAATGAACCCCCCACATCTGGTGATTGACGTTTTAGCCGAGCCTTCCTGCCAGAGGATCCGCTAAGTAAATGACCTCCTGTGGTCATGCTGAAATTCAAGACTCAGGATCGCAGAAAATGGAAGCTTTGCCTGTGATACATACCTGGCAGGCACTGCCTAGACAGACCCATCACATGGGAAGGCTCGAGTGCCATGGTTTATGTGGACTTAATGGTTGGAAAAACAGAAATGTGGCTGGGCGAGGTGGCTGACGTCTATAATCCTAGCACTTTGGGAGGCCAAGGTGGGCAGATTGCCTGAGCTCAGGAGTTCGAGACAAGCCTAGGTGACATGGTGAGACCCCATCTCTACTAAAAATACAAAAAAATTAGCCAGGCGTGGTGGCATGTGCCTGTAATCCCAGCTACTCAGGAGGCTGAGGCACAAGAATCGCTTGAACCCAGGAGGCGGAGGTTGCAGTGAGCCAAGATTGTGCCACTGCACTCCAGCCTGGGCGACAGAGCAAGATTCTGTCAAAACAAACAAACAAACAAAACAAAAAGTTCCCAGCTGCAAGATTGTGGAGTGTGATTTTATTTCTTCCTTCAGGCAGAGAATAAAATGTGATGTCTTCTCTGCCATTTCATGTCACTGACTGATGTGTCCCACGAAAATGAGTGAGTCACGTTCGTTTCTGCCACCATCAAGGTTGAGCAGGGCTCCTGACCTCCTTCCTGCTGCTCACTCTGCTGGTGGGAATGGCTCAGACCCCCCACCTCAGGCCGAGGAACCAACGGTGGGGAGGAAGGCTGAGGGGTCGGCCTCAGGCTTCGGGCAAATGGCACCTTTTTTTTTTTAGACGGAGTTTCACTCTTGTTGCCCAGGCTGGAGTGCAATGGCACGATCTCAGCTCACTGCAACTTCCACCTCCCAGGTTCAAGTGATTCTCCTGCCTCAGCCTCCCTAGTAGCTGGGATTACAGGCATGTGCCACCATGCCCAGCTAATTTTGTATAAATAGCACCTCTTAAAGAGGTGCTTTGAGAGTATGTTTTTAAATCACAAGGAGAAAAATCAGAACTACAAATATGTAAAAATAAAATAAAAGTGACCCAGGCCAGGCACGGTGGCTCATGCCTGTAATCCCATCATTTTGGGAGGCCAAGGTGGGAGAATCACTTGAGGTTAGGAGTTCAAGAACAGCCTGGGCAACATGGTGGAACCCCGTCTCTACAAAAAATAAAAAAACATAACTGAGCGTGGTGGCATGCACCTGTGGTCCTAGCTACTCAGGAGGCTGAGGTGGGAGGATCACTTGAGCCTGGGAGGTGGAGGCTGCAGTAAGCCATGATCGTGTCAGTGTGCACTCCAGGCTGGGCAACAGAGCAAAACCCTGTCTTTAAAAAAAAAAAAAAAAACTGACCCAAAGATTTCTATGGGCAGCAATGGAATCAACTCTTAAGTCATGTGAAGGGGAATTGAGGTGTGTACCCTAAACTACATCTGTGTAAAAATGGGGTGCTCTCGCCCCATTTACACACACTCACACACACTCAAGCACACACGCTCACCTATGCACAGAACATCTCTGAAGGGAACGACGTCGGCTTCCTTGGGGAAGGGGGACGGCAGCCATGAGGACACCTTTGTGGACTGAATTTTTTACCACGTGCGTGAACCATTTTCTAAAGCACAACTTTATGTTAAGAAAAAAGTTATGAGAAAAAATGCACTTGGGGGCCAGACACAGTGGCTCACACCTGTAATCCCAGCATTTCGGGAGGCCAAGGTGGGTGGATCACCTGAGGTCAGGAGCTCGAGACCAGCCTGACCAACACGGTGAAATCTCATCTCTACTAAAAATATAGAAAAATTAGCTGGGCGTGGTGGCACATGCCTGTGATCCCAGCCACTTGGGAGGCTGAGGCACAAGAACTGCTTGAACCCAGAAGGTAGAGGTTGCAGTGAGCTGAGATCGCACCCACTGCACTCCAGCCTGGGTGACAGAGCAAGACTCTACCTCAAAAAAAAAAAAAAAAATTCACTTGGAATCCACATATAATACACCCATATATATACATACATGAGTGTGCATGTACACATCCATATATACCTGTTTTCCACCTGCAAAAATGACCGCACCTTGTAATTCTGCAATCTGATTTTTTCACTCATCATGGCCAATGGCCATGTTTCGATGTCCATCAGTGTATTTCATGCACTTCTAATGGCTGCATAAATTAAGACTGTACCCTAAATTATTCAATCAATTTCCTTCTGCTGGGCATATAGGTAGTGTCTATTTTTTACTTATATAAACAATGTGGCAATATTTGTCCTTCCATACAGTGGATTCTCACTATTTGCAGATTCTATTTTGGGGAATTTGCCTACTCACTAAAAGGTATGTTACACCTCCAGATCCATACTCTGGAGCTTTTGTGGTCACTCTCAGACATTGCAGAGCAGTCAAAACCCTAAGTCACCCAGGCACATTCCCACTGAGGTCACACAAGGCGACACAGCCTCCCTGCCTTGCTCTCACACACAGGAGCCCAGGGCAGGGTGGGGCAGGGTGCTGTCTTCCCGGGCGTGGCATCCCAGCTCTAGCACCTGACGGTGGGGCAGCCTTGGGCAAGTCACTGAATGCTTCTGAACTGCATTTTCTCTTTTGCAAGATAAAAAATGTAGAACCTACCAAGATGTATTGTTTTGGATTTTAAGACTATAATCGATGTGAGAGGTGTGTGTGTGTACATAAATCTATTTCCCCCAGGAGCAAGGGTTCCGTATGGGTTCCGTGTTCACAGTGACTTCGTGGAACATCACTGCCTCAGATCATGAGAAGGGACTGTGCGTATTGGCTGCCCAGCGGACTGTGTCCTTGGGATGAATCCAAGCACTGGGCAGAGGTGTGCATACTTATGGGGCCGGCGGGGATGGCTGGAAGGACTGTCCCCACCGGGGCCATACCTGAGATGGAGCCCAGGAGGATGCTGCTCTTGATGCACCTGTAGACATACTCGTAGCTCTGGGCTTTCAGTGGGGAGCCAGTGGACAGGATCGTGTGGAGCATCTGGAGACTGTGGGTTTCCACTGGGGTGCAGAGTCACCAAAAGATTAAAACTAAACCCAGTGCCTGAAGCCTCACTCGCAAGCAGGAAATAGGATGGATTTAATTTCCTTGATTGGCAGTACAGGGAATGAGTACTGAAGAGGCACACTCACCCGGCTTCATGGCCTTCTCTTCCAGCACTGACAGCCACTTGGCCCCAGTTACCAGGACAGTGATGCTAGGGTGCAGGCGGGAAAGAAAACACCAGAAACTCTTCAAGGCTCTTGCACCAAAGCTTTCTAAAGTTAGTGATTTATTTCTGACAAGTTTGCAAAACCCAAGAGAGAGCAGTTTTCTGGGTTGAACTCATACTTCATGTTTACTCGAGTCTGAGTCACGGCACCTGACTTCCTCACAGGTGCACCTGACTGCTCTTTACACTGATTTCAGCACGCAGGGCCAGCTCCCTTTACCACGAGGCGTCACATAAAACAGTCGCTCACCCGAACCCATTATCTTCCCAACTGCAGAGTATTGTATCTTGGGGGACCAAAGGAGGCCATAAAAATCAAGTCCCCTCAAATTCTATCCTCACACATTCATTCACCAATGAAGAGAAGGCTACAGAATTATTATTATTATTATTTTAGACAGGGTCTCCTTCTGTTGCCCCAAGCTGGAATGCAGTCGTGCAATCACAGCTCACTGCAGTCTCCAACTCCTGGGCCCAAGTGATTTTCCCACCTCAGCCTCCCAAGTAGCTAGAGCTACTGGTGTATGCCACCATGCCCAGCTGAGAGACAGGGTCTTGCTATGTTGCCAGGCTGGTCTTGAACTCCTGGGCTCAAGTGCTCCTCCTGCTTTGGCCTCCCAAAGTGCTGGGAGAATTCTTTATTTGTGAAAACATGTGCCATACTTGAAACTCTCCACCCATCCCCTTTTCTTAAACAAGATCACATTTTTATGAAACTTAGAAAAGTCCAGCTCTTCTTGAACATTCAGAATCCACCGTTCTATGCATTTGTGCTCACAGAACAACACACGCTGCTGAATATACCTCACTGCGCTTTCAAGGGCAGCCCTGTCTAATATGCTATTTCCTTCCTCAGCTTTTCCTCCAGCCAGGCGGCCCTTCACATGTAAACTCAGTCGGCCCAACTAAAGAACGTTATTCTCTTCGGGGCCTAGAGGAGGCTGTGAGATTCAGACTCTTCTGGGTCACTCTGGGCAGTAGAACCTCAGTCCTGCACATTCGGTGGAGAGACTCATCCCACGGAAGACCGTCATAGCATTCGCTGTCTGAAGCCACGAGGCAACATGGCACAGAACATCCCGGAATTCAGGGCTGGCTGGGCTGGGCGTGGCTAAGGCAATGGCAGGGTGGGTCTCCCTCCACGCAAGGAGGCGGGTTACCATGGTCCTTCCACCTCCCACACCTTCGTTCTCTTACTTCCCCAGACACACCCTGCCACCAACAAAGCCACCACTGTACCCTAGAGATGGCTGGAGTTTTGGGGGAGGGAGACTAGCTCCTCCCACCATCCCCCATGCTTCTTTCATAAACTCAGAGTTTGATTAACTACTTCAACATCATAGCCAAGGACTAAGGTGTCACTTCCTTTGCAAGTATCACTAACAGAGGATGGAGACCTCATGACTCTAATGGTGATCACCCGGCCCTGAGCAGCAGTGACCACCTCCAGCTACAGGTACAAAGCTCTCCAATCAACAGCCACGCCCAAACAACACACGGGTTTTGTGCAATCCCCCCACTGCCCACCCCCAGAAAACTCGAAGGCTCTCTGTGGGTCTAAAGTGCGTCTAAGTGCAGGCAAGACTCTGCAAACCCTGATCTTGGTGAAGCTCCGCCAGCACTCAGAGGTGATGCTCTCCGGCCTGTGAGTCACAGTCCTGCTTGTCTGAAGAAACGGCAAAGTCCCCCATCTATCTCCAGGGTGCAGGTAAGACGGTTAGGAAATGCAACACCATTCAGCTCTTGGAAGCACGGGAGCCCACCTGCGGGCACTCATGCCACGTCTTATTTCTAGCAAGTACTGTAGGGGTCGCTGCACCAAAGCATGAGACAGTCTCAGGTCCCTAAACCGTTGGGACCCGGTGCCCGAGACTGCCCAGAGCCCTGTTCGGAGGGAAGTGTGGATCAGCCCACAGGCAGCCCCTCCAGGGTCGCCACTGCGCCTGTGGGCTCCAGCAACCTGAGTCTCTCAGCTTCTGCCCCTACCCCAGCCCTGGCAATGCTCTCTTCACTCAGGCGCTACACTGCCTTTTTTTTTTTTTTTTTTGAGATGGAGTCTCTCTGTGTCACTCAGGCTGGAGTACAGTGGGGTGATCTCAGCTCACTGCAACATCTGCCTCCAGGGTTCAAGTGATCCTCCTGCCTCAGCCTCCCAAGTAGCTGGGATTACAGGCCTGCACCACCACACCTGGCTAATTTTTGTATTTTTTGTATTTTTAGTAGAGACGGGGTTTCGCCATGTTGGCCAGGCTGGTCTCGAACTCCTGACATGGTAATCCACCCACCTCAGCCTCCCAAAGTGCTGGAATTACAGGCGTGAACCACCACGCCTGGCCTACACTGCCCTTTTAATAACATGAACCAGATCAGTGTTCTCCTGATTCAGTGTCCACTGCTGTTCCATTCCACTCGGGGAAAAACTCACCCTCCAAGCAGCTCCAAAAGTCCCCGCCCCTCTGACCCCTGCTCCTGCCCCCAGCCCCGCATCAGCCCTTCACACTCGGTCCACAGGAGGCCCCTCCCAGCTTCCACAACACATGGATCTTAGGCCCATCTCCTCGTGGTTCCCTCTGCCTGAAGTACACGTCCCCAGTCCTGCAAAAGTAGTTCCTGAACCTTTCGGCCTCAGCCCAAATGCCAAGACCTCTCGAGGACTCTCGAGGACTCCCTGACCCCAGGTCTCTGACAGCACTCCTCAGAGCCTGAGGTTGGCCTCTGTCTTTTCCTTACCTTCCCCCTCCCAGTGCCAGCCCCATGAGGACAGAGCGTGCTGGCCCCTGGTCGCTGCTGTGTGGCCCCCAGGACCCCCCAGGGAGCTTGGCTCAGAGCACGTAGTCCAGCACACACGGGGTGCAGATCCCGACAAAGTGCTACCCAACCCATGCACTTCCTTAGAAGGACAAGCCTGCTCGCCCACGAGGCCCCTGCCCTCTAGAACCATCTTAGACAATGGCCCCATTCAGAGACGGGCAAAACTGGGCAACCCAGACAACGTCCACACCTGCCCCACTACTAGCAAACTGGACAAAGTCCCCGGGGTCCTGGCCCTAATTCTGTCCAGAATAGTCCCCTCACTAGAACCCAGAAACACACCCCTGTGAAGAAGAAAATTCATCTTTTCAAATTATCTTGTCTGTGCCTACAAAATAAATGCTCTTTGATCGAATGTGTCAATAAGGCTGAGAGCTGACATGCTGGTAATCAACAGAGATCTCACCCCTCATTTACTAACAGATGTGGGTTTTAATCAGAGGCACTGAGACAGCATCACGAGGACTGTGCCTGCCCCGCATGCCTCTTGCCACAAAACAGGGTTTGCCATGACTGCTTTCAACTGTTACACAACATTCAGTTTCCAGGAGGTGGACAGAACTGAGCTGAAGTGTCCTGCCCCGCCCAGCACCCGCTCCCTCTCACTGCTGGTGGCGACCAGTGTAGTGGTTTAAAGCCTGCATTCTTCCGAAAGCCCCTCACCCGCAGCCCCTGCCAGGGTGCCAAGTCACACCTGCCTCGCCAAACGGCGCAGGAGGCTCTCTCAGGCGGGGCGATGGCCACATCCAGAGGGAGCCCTGCGACAGCACGACCACACCTCAATCAGCCTCAGCGCTCTGGCCAACCCAGGGCCCGTGATTACGGCACGGAACCAGCCACCATGCTGTGAACACTTGCACATGTACGCGTGTACACAGGTACATGCACACATACACAAGGCACACATGCATCCACATGTACAGCACTCACAGCTGCATGCACATGCACACACACCCGACACCTATACATGCACACACATCCATGCACTCACTTGCACTTACACATGTAGGTGCACATACACTCATGCACATACGCACTCCCACGCTCCCTTTCACAAGATCACGCTCCATGCACGCGCGCACACACTTTCACATACACTTTTGTGCACACACGCAGACTCACACCCATGCACACACAGAGCACGGTCTCCCTGGGATGCTTCATCCCTGGATCTCATTAGCACCGGGCCTCACTGATGTACATTTCCCTCTCCACCCCTCCTCCAGTAACCCCCGACCCAGTGCCTGCCTCCCCGACACACCAATAAAAGTTCCTCCACCTGGAGCCTGGCTTAAGGGTAAAAGGGTAAAGATTCTAAAGCCATCTGAAGTTCCCAGGGATTTGATTAACCTTTTGCTGGAAACAATCTCATTAGGAAATAGCCTTCCTCACTAAGATTGTGAGCCAAATGTCAGGATTTAAATATTACCCAGGCCAAGTTATATTTAAAATGTTTAATGGCCAAGGATTTAAAAACATGAGTGGCTCCTGTTTCCCCCAAGAACAGATTCAGATGTAATTAGGACAGAGCATGGTTGTTTCTGGGCCCCTGGAGCTCTGGCAACTTCTATATTCTTATCTCTGGAAACACTGTCATTAGGCCAAGGGTGACCAAGACCACAGTGGCCAGAACACGCCAGCCAGTTGTGATTAATTCATCAGCAAAGTGCTGACGAGACTGGATCTCATGAGGCCTTTCTAATGATGATGATGAGAAGGAGTTGGGGTCGGGGGGGAGCAGGGACCACTACACCTATCCCCATTTGCATAATTCTCAGGCACCAGAAGGGTACCCAACTGGCTCTCGCCTGTGCTCATGGGATTCCTGTCTACCATCCAGCCAGGGCCACAGGAAATAAATGACCACCTCCAGGGGCCCCAGGAAGCACTCAGTGCAGTTATGATGAGGTGAGGAAGACCCTAGAAGACAGGTGGCTGCCAGCCCCAAGGGACGGCTAGGAACAAACAGGGTTCTCCTCCTGCCAATGGGCTCAGGAGAAAGGTGGCAGGAAATCCAAACACCACGCAGCCCCCCAGTCACAGGTTCTGCACCCACCCCTCATGAACTTATCCACATACCTCCCCTGTGCGTTCAGCCTTCACCTCACTTCATCTCTGATATGTTTTAGCTGTCTCCACCCAAATCTCATCTTTAACTGTAGCTCCTATAATCCCCATGTGTCGTACGAGGGACCCAGTGGGAGGTAATTGAATCATGGAGGCAGGTTTTTCCCGAGTTGTTCTCTCGATAGTGAATAAGTCTCACAAGATCTGATGGTTTTATAAAGGACAGTTCTCCTGCACACGCTCTCTTGCCTGTTGCCATGTAAGACATGCCTTTGCTCCTCATTCACTTTCCATCATGATTGTGAGGCCTCCCCAGTCATGTGAAACTCTGAGTCCATTCAACCTCTTTTTCTTTATAAATTACCCACTGTTAGACATTTCTTCATAGCAGTAGGAAAATGGATGAATACAATCTCACTCCTGAATCTGCAGAACCTGTGTGAAACAGGACTCTAGGCGACCCTCGGTTTTCCTCCTTTTGCTGGGAAATGCCACAACTAGAGAAATAAGATGAATGCACAGTATGATGACTGCAGCTGACAACGCCGTACTATGCAATAAGTGCTGGAACTTTGCTAAGAGAGTCCATTTCAGGTGCTCTCCTTGCTAAAAACAAACAGGTAACTGTGTGAGGAGATGCAAATGCGAATCTGCCTGACTGCAGTACTCATTTCACTATACGTATACACAGCAAAATACCATGCCGCGTGCCTTACGATACATACCATTTTTACTAAAAAATAACCTTCAAAATAGAAATAGATTCTTAAAAGAAATGAGATTGCACACTGCCCGTAGGATTTTTCTCAGCCCTCACTCTGGAGGGAAGAGCCCTGGCCCTTGGTGTCCCTCCCTTCCTAACAGTTTCACCTTCTGCTTCTGGCACCTCCCATGCCCTCCTCTTGGAGAGGGGGCGTCCACAAAGGCAGAGCATGCTGGAGACGCCCCGACCACGGTAGAAGGCAGGCACAGCTCTGCATCTGATCCCAAGGAGCCTTCCTGGTGCTGCCTGTCCCTTGCTTTGAGCACAGCATCTTGGTACCTACCCTATCCTGTCAACCAGGTCCCAGAGCACATTGGGCGTGGGCACCAGGGGGGAGCCATCGTACAAGACCATGGCCGCTCCTGTGGCCAGAAGGGACACCATCCAGTTCCACATCATCCAGCCGACCTGCAAAGACAGGAGGGATGCGGCTTCAGCGGGCGCTAGGCAGCTCCCCCCAGCGCTGCCCCCTCAGCTTCCTGTGTCCCTGGGAAACCACCTAAGATGGAGCCACAGGTTGGTGCTAACTTCCCATTTCAAATGCAGGACACTCTGGCCCGGCAACTCCACATCTAAGAATGGATCACACAGACATATTCACACATGTGCATGAAGATGTGTCACAGAATGTCTGTTGCACCCTTGCTGGTGACAGAGACAAAGCAATGTAGGTGTTATCGACACAAGCAAGGCCACAGGAGGTGCACACTTGCTACTGACACTCCTACACAGTCACTGAACCCACATGAGGCGTTCTGAACAGCACCTGACCCCCAGCAGTATGACAGCAGCCATTGCACAGTCATGAAACAGAATGAGGTCTGGACTGACACGGAACCACCCCAAGACATTGTTCATCCATGATGAATGGTGTCGGGAACCTGCCTCCCGCCCGCCACAGCCTAGTGCCATCCCCAAATCATGCGGGCTACAGTGACCCAAAACCAGCGTCCCCTGGAGGGCCCACCCACACCTACTCCCCACGCACAAAGGCAGAGGGCACAAGGACACAGCCAAAGGTCTCCATTTAGTTGAGGTGCTTTCTTCTTTTTTTTTTTTTCCCCTGAAACAAGGTCTCACTCTGTCACGCAGGCTGGAGTGCCGTGGCACAATCAGAGCTCACTGCAGCCTCGACCTCCTAACCTCAAGTAATCCTCCTGCCTCAGCCTCCCATGTAGCTGGGACCACAGATGTGAGCCACCACGCCCAGCTAATTTTTTTATTTTTTGTAGATGAGGTCTCACTTTGTTGTCCAGGCTAATCTTGAACTCCTGGCCTCAAGGGATCCTCCTGCCTCAGCCTCACAAAGTGCTGGTATTACAGGCATAAGCCATCACACCTAGCCATTGAGCTGCTTTCTGAACAGGTCTTAATGTACTCGTTCAATTTCTTTTATTGAGGAACTGTTCCCAAAGAGGAAACCAGTGCCTGGAAGCCCCAAGCAGCATAACATTCCTGGCCACCTCATTGTCCAACAAAGCTGCTAAAAGCTGAATCAAGGCCTGGTGGCTCACACCTGTCATCCTAGCATTTTGGAGGGCAAGGTGGGAAGATCACTTGAGCTCAAGAGGTTGAGACCAGCCTGGGTAACACAGTGAGACCTGGTCTCTATGGAGAAACATTTTTTTTTTTTTTGAGACGGAGTCTCACTGTGTCACCTAGGCTGGAGTGCAGTGGCACAATCTCGGCTCACTGCAACCTCTGCCTCCTGGGTTCAAGTGATCCTCTCACCCCAGCCTCCCAAGTAGCTGGGATTACAGGTGCCCACCACCACACCCGGCTAACTTTTTTGTATTTTTAGTAGAGACAGGGTTTTTCCATGTTGGCCAGGCTGGTCCCAAACTCCTGACCTCAAGTGATCCACCTACCTCATCCTCCCAAAGTGTTGGGATTACAGGCGTGAGCCACCGTGCCTGGACTCCAAAAAAAAATTATTTTAATTAGCCAGGCATGGTGGAGTGCACCTGTGGTCTCAGCTACTTGGAGGCTGAGGTGGAAGGATTACTTGAGCCCAAGAGTTGGAGGCTGCAGTGAGCCATGATCACCACTGCACTCTAGCCTGAGCAACAGAGTGAGACTGTCAAAAGAAAACAAGAAAGGCAAAGGGAAAAAGGAGGACAAAAGGCAAAGGGAAAACGGGAAAGGAAGGGAGAGGTAGGGAGGGGAAGGGAGGGAAAGGAAGGGGAAGGAAGGGAGGGAGGGTGGGTCACAGTATAGCCTGGGCCCAGGGCTGCAGGACATGAAACAACTGCCACCAAGGCTGCTGTTAGAACCCAGGTCGGGAGGCCGGGCGCGGTGGCTCATGCCTGTAATCCCAGCACTTTGGGAGGCCGAGGCAGGCGGATCATGAGGTCAGGACATTGAGACCATCCTGGCCAACACGGTGAAACCCCATCTCTACTAAAAATACAAAAAAAATTAGCCAGGCGTGGGGGCGGGCGCCTGTAGTCCCAGCTACTCGGGAGGCTGAGGCAGGAGAATGGCGTGAACCTGGGAGGTGGAGCTTGCAGAGAGCCAAAATCGCGCCACTGCACTCCAGCCTGGGTGACAGAGTGAGCCTCCGTCTCAAAAAATAAAACAATAAAATAAAATAAAAATAAAAGAACACAGGTGGGGTCAAGCTGCTCCAGGAAAAATCTAACTGCCTGATTCTTAGTGGACAGGATCCTTCCAGTAAAAATGAAATGCCTCTGAGAAAACTGCTCCAAATTTTTGAGTTCTTTCCATTGTATCCTTCCTCTCAATACAAGACCCTCCCATTTTAAATTGCCGTGTCCCAGGGAGGCAGCCGAATCCTGCATCATCGTAGCTGCTGGGAGCTTCCTGCACCTCCGTAAGGACACTGCACTGATGCTGCTGCCCGGGCTTCCCGCCCTGAAATGTTTCAGAAAGGACCCAGCACACAAGGGTCCATGGTGGGGGTGGGGCTGGCACTGGTATTCTACGTTAGGGATTGGGGACAGGGGTGGGTTGTAGAGCAAATCCCTGCAGAAAAAAAAACCTGAATCATTTGTCTCAAGCCCCTTATTAATTCACAGCTGGTCACAGAGAGCAGGGAGGGGCCTCTCCACAGTCACACATCAAAAACACACCCAAGGTCACCACTCTTGAGCCTGTGTGAGATCCCAGGGGTCTGTCCCCTGCACGGGTGTATGTGTGAGGTCTCAGGGGTCTGACCCTTTCTGCATCTCTGTGTAATCCCAGGGGTCTGTCCCCCGTCCTCCATCTGTGTGCAGTCCCAGGGGTCTGTCCCCACTCCTACATCTGTGTGCAGTCCCAGGGGTCTGACAGTCTCCTGCACCTGTGTGAGGTCATGGGTGGGGGGTCTGATACTCTCCTGCACCTGTGTGAGGTCACTGGGGTGGGGGGGTTGTCCTCCCTCCTGCATCTGTGGGGAGTCTCTCATAAGGGGCACAGAAGGGCCCTGGGCATTGACCTCACAGGTCAGGCATGTGCCTGCTGCATTCCACTTGGCATAAAGACTCAGCAGGCCAGGGGCGGTGGCTCACGCCTGTAATCCCAGCACTTTGGGAGGCTGAGGCGGGCGGACCACAAGGTCAGGAGTTCAAGACCAGCCTGCTCAACATGGTGAAACCCCATCTCTACTAAAAATACAAAAAATTAGCTGGGCGTGGTGGTGCACGCCTGTAGTCCCAGCTACTCAGGAGGCTGAGGCAGAAGAATCGCTTGAACCCAAGAGGTGGAGGTTGCAGTGAGCCAAGATCCAGTCACTGCACTCCAGCCTGGGCGACACAGCTAGACTTCATCGCAAAAAAAAAAAAAAAAAACTCAGCACAGAAGCATCACCTAGGACCTGTAGCTAGATCACTGTGGAAGCTCTTGATGTTTTGAGTTCTCCTCCTCTGGGGTAAAATACACTTCCTTTAACATGTCCTAACCTTCTGTCTTTCAGTGCTCAACAAGGGCAGGAAGGCCTCCAACACCTTGAGTTGAGTTATGGTTTCATGGCGTGGATTCCACGCTGCTGAGGCAGGGTGGGCGGAGGAGCGGGCCCAACTCGACACCGTGCGCTGGGGAAGCCCTCACCACAGTGCAGCACAGGCAGCGCCCCAGAGAAGCCCCTACCACGGCGCAGCACAGGCCGGCGCCCGGGGAAGCCCTTACCATGTGTCACGGGCCAGCGCCCGGGGAAGCCCTTACCATGTGCCACGGGCCGGCGCCCGGGGAAGCCCTTACCATGTGCCACGGGCCGGCGCCCGGGGAAGCCCTTACCATGTGCCACGGGCCGGCGCCTGGGGAAGCCCTTAACATGTGCCACGGGCCGGCGCCTGGGGAAGCCCTTACCATGTGTCATGGGCTGGCACCCAGGGAAGCCCCTATTGTGGTATAGCACAGGCCAGCACCTGGGGAAGCCCTTACCATGTGCCACGGGCCGGCGCCTGGGGAAGTCCTTACTATGTGTCATGGGCTGGCACCCAGGGAAGCCCCTATTGTGGTATAGCACAGGCCAGCACCTGGGGAAGCCCTTACCGTGGTGTAGCACAGGAGGATGTCACTGCTGGTCATGTTGCCGTGCAGCAGGTGCTCCTTCAGATGCTGGATGAGGGTGCCCTGCAGGGGAGACACGGGGGAGCGGGTGCTCTCTGTTAGGCATACAGTACCAGGAATCTGGTACCTGGCCCACGCGCTGCTCAGACGCTGCCAGGAAGAAGCCCCAGCAGATCCCCATTTTCTTTCCTGGGAGAAGCAGACTTTGGAGGGTTCCCCCCACTCCCCTGTGATGAGCCATGCCCCCATGTCCCTCTCCCCCAAGAGCTGAGCGTGGCTTGTAGTCTGGAGAGGAAAACCCTGACACTCCTGTCTGCCCTCAAGCTCTCGGTGCCCAGGACATCAAGGGCACCACGGAGGCCCACCAGCTTCAGGCAGAAGAGAAGTGACCCTTCCTGAGAAGAGAGTCAACGAGCAAAAGACCAGGGCCTAACCCTTCCAGGACGGGTGCTAGCCCAGCCTCATGAGGGACAGGGAACAGCGGGGTGAGGGGGATGTGGTGGGGGTGGGGCACTGGCAACAGAGCAAGACTGTAGCTGGGACTCACGTTCAAGATCGGATTTCAGGAATGCCTCAGCTGAGGGGACAGCACAAGACCCTGCTTCTGGCTAAAACACCCAAGCAGAACCGCTCCCTCCCACCCACTATGCCCTATTACCTTTTAATTTTGGTGCTTAATAGGCAATGTATTTGCACGGTCCAGAACTCTGAAGCAGATACTATGAAAAGCCGTCCTCTCTCCCTGTCCTGTACCCAGTTCTCCCAAGAGGCAGCCGGTCCTAGCAGTTTCCTGTGAACGTCTTTCTTGCTGATGCCGGCACATATTTATTAATGCCATTTTGTTCATTGTGACACAGTGTCCCGCACTTTGCCTTTTCCACCTAACAGCACACCTGGGAGCTCTTCCTTGGCATGCCGGGAGCTCCCTCATGTCTGTTTACAACTATATAATCTTCCACTGCCCAGAACACACTTGTTCCAAGCAACTCTGTGTGTCTGGCAGGGGCAGGGAGGAGAGGAAGCTTCCCATCGCCAGGCACAACCCAGAGAGCAGAGCCAGTGGCCCCTGCACCCGTCACTCCACGCTCCCAGCCTCGGTTTTCCTGTCTTTCCAACGGATCTCGTACAAGATCCTGAGGACAGACGGGGATGCTGCCCCTTCAGTGACCACTGCCCTTCAGTCTGGTCCACAGATGTGAGCCTCTGGCTCATCACAAAGGTGCTCCTGGTTGTGGAGGGCCTAGAAGGCTGAAGCAAGGACTTATATATTAAAACCCAGCCATGAAGGCCCTCATTATACCCAAGGGAAAAGCTTCCAAAAGCCAGTTGCAGGAGATGATCCCTTTAAGAGCTCACCAGGAACAATCCTATCCAACACAGGCTCCCATTCAGGAGCCAAAACTCCTATTCCGGAGTCCATCCCAAACAGGCAACCGCCACCCAGCCCACAAACAGCAGCAACTGAAGCTTCCAGAGACTGCCAGGCAGACAGGCAGACGCTGCCTGATATGGTTTGGCTCCAAGTCTGCATCCAAATCTCATCTTGAATTGTATTCCCATAATTCCCACATGTTGTGGGAGGGACAAGGTGGGAGATAATTGACTCACGGGGGCAGTTTCTCCCATACTATTCTCATGGTAGCAAATAAGTCTCATGCGATCTGATGGTTTGATAAGGGGAAGCCCATTTCATTTGGTTCTCATTCTCTCTCTTTGCCTGCTGCCATCCATGTAAGATGTGACTTGCTCCTCCTTGCCTTCTGCCATGATTGTGAGGCCTCCCCAGCCACGTAGAACTGTTAAGTCCATTAAACCTTTCTCTTATAAATTGCCCAGTCTCAGTATGTCTTTTTTTTTTTTTGAGACAGAGTCTCGCTCTGTCACCAGGCTGGAGCGCAGTGGTGTGATCTCGGCTCACTGCAACCTCCACCTCCTGGGTTCAAGTGATTCTCCTGCCTCAGCCTCCCAAGTAGCTGGGACTACAGGCACACACCACCATGCCCAGCTAATTTTTTTTAGTTTCAGGAGAGACAGGGTTTCACCATGTTGGCCAGGCTGGTCTCGATCTCTTTACCTTGTGATCTGCCCACCTTGGCCTCCCAAAATGCTGGGATTACAAGCATGAGCCACCACACCCAGCCCTCAGTATGTCTTTATCAGCAGCATGAAAACAGACTAATACACTGCCCTTTTCTGCAGTCCCCCAAGGCTGCCTCCGGGCTCTGGAAGCTGAGCTGCAGGGTGGAGTTTAACAAGAATCCCCAGTCAGGGTCAAGAGACAGCCTCCCCTTCCCTTCCCTTCCCCAGGCACTCAAAAGCTTCTTAGAAAGTTACATGACAATCTGTTCTCCTGCACAGTGGGTAGGCAATAATTTGGGGGTGACAAACTTTTCAGGAACTGTCTCCATGAACTAAATCTTTCCACGAATCCACTTAAAGGACAGGGAACTCGGATTCTAGGAGCCTGTGGCAAATCCCTCTCCCACTTTCTTTTTCACTTAAAATCAGCACTTAACTCTACAGCTTCGCTCACGTGGTCTGCTGAGAGCACAGCAGAGATAGGAGCCCACCTTCGTTCAGTGGTTCATTAGCCTCATTCTCTCAGATGGCACAAAACAAATGATGGGCCCTCCTCCTCTCTCAAGAATTTCTCTGTGTGACTCTTAACAAGTTACATCCATCGTTTTTCCCTTAATTCTTAAATATTTATGGTCAAGTCTGAATGCTTTCCCTGAGGGTAAGGCAGCATAAACAGTTTCCTGGGTCTCAGCGCAGGAGAGTAATTTCATGTAAAGGAAGAGAAAGGGGAGCCACTTTCTGACACCTTTCACAGACTTAGGAAGCACAAACCAACAAACCAGTAACAGAACCCCACCCTACTCAATTGGGAAGATTACGAGCAGCCCTAGGACTCTGGCCTATGTTGCCTCACTGTTTTCAAGTTTGTAGTCAAGATAACTCTAGAGAACGAGCAAGATGCTTAGTCACTTCTCCAGAGATGCAAGAGCCCAGTGAAGATGGAGTACATATAATTTTTCCTGATTTTTCCACACTCTAAATATACCAGGCATGATCATTTTATGAGCAAGCTATATTATATCTAATACATTTTTATGCTCCTCTTAAAAAAATGACATGCACTATGCAAAGAGCACTAAAAATAAAAGTACAGTTATACATTTCCATTTTTCCTAAAATGTCTTGTTTGGCCACATACACCCGCCCCCGCCCCGACCCTTGTCTGCAAGATTTCTAAAAATGCTCATCTCGGTGGCTCACTCACAGACCTGCACCCAGGTGCAACAGGGCTGCCCTTTCACAGGGAAAACGCGATTCCAACTACACCTTAGTCTGTGAACACACCCCGACTGGCTTTCATAAAATCAGACGATTTGAGCGACAGGACAGCTCGCTGCCTGCAAAGAGGCAACTCCGTTGAGCCAGTGTAACTGCTAGAAATAAGGCCTTTGCCCCCCACCCCTGACCTCAGCCCCTCGCTCCCACCCCTGGGTTTCTTGAGAATTAACCTGCTGTGCGTGGACAGGCTCTTGGACCTTCAATCTATTTCACAGCCTGCAACAAGACCTTCAGTGAATCTAGATCTAGGTGATGATGAAACCACATTGGCTCCTTTCCACATTCTGATGAAAATACTCTGTAAAAAGCCTAATAGGGCTTTCAAATGATTCCAATGTAAATATTTCCTTTTTATGGAAGGGATTCAAACTGCTTCTAGGTAGAGGGAACGTCTATAAAAGCTAAGTGAGCTAGAATAAGGGAACTTGTATATTTCCTTTTCAAATGCCACTGTCTTATCAAGCAAAGGTTTCTCCACTTGGAGAATTCTCTTCTTCTGAGTTTGGGGGAAAAAGTGGTGATCAGAAGGTTTGACCAAGATACAGTGGATTTTTCTCCTCCCTATAGGCTGAGCCAACTGATAGGGAAATGGGGAAATGAGCTATGGGGAGAGCTGAAGAGCTGGCCCAGAGGAGAGCCTAGAGCAGCGTGAGGGTGGGAGCCACGGCGTCGCAAGCATCCTGACTCCCACAGACCGGCCCAGGAGAAGTCTGAGTGCAAGGTAAGGATTCAACCGAGTCAGGAAGCCCAGGGGCAGAAGAGGATCAGAGGAAGTAAGATGTGATAGCAGTTATTAGAAAAGCACTACATTCAGCTGGGCGTGACGGCTCAGGCCTGTAATCCCAGCACTTTGGGAGGCCAAGGAAGGTGGATCACGAGGTCAGGAGTTGGAGACCAGCCTGGCCAACATAGTGAAACCCCGTCTCTACTAAACACACACACACACACACACACACACACACACACACACACACACACACACACACACACACAAACTTAGCCGGCCGTGGTCGCGGGCGCCTATAATCCCAGCTACTCAGGAGGCTGAGGCACAAGAATCGCTTGAACCCGGGAGGCAGAGGTTGCAGTGAGCCAACATTGAGCCACTGCACTCCAGCCCAGGTGACAGTGCCGGGACTCCACCTCAAAAAAAAAAAAGCAAAGCACCACATTGACCCAGGCATTTCATTTCTGAAGAGTGGCCTAGTGAAATCACAGAAATGAAATACACTAACGTTGTATCCCCCCGATAGATGCACGGAGAAGAACACCACATCATTTCCAGCGTGTTCCCACCAAAGCTGCATCACCTGGACCTAACCACGAGGAGACACCAGACATACCCAAACAGAGCCATTCTGCCAAACCAGGAGCCTGGGCTCTTTGAAAATGTCAGTGTCACGGAAGACGAAGAAGCCCAAGGAGCTGCTCCAGACATGCAGGAGACCTGACGACTGACGTGCCACCGCCTGAGCTGCTAGGACGCTACTGGGGAACTGGCGACCTGACTGTGGACCATAGATGAGGGGGCGGCACTGCACCAACGCCAACCTTCCTGAATTTGATGAGCGCGCTACACACTCTTCTGTAAGAGAACGCTCCTGTTCTTGGGAGATACGTGCTGAAATATTAAAGAGTGAAAGATCATTGTGGCTCCAACGTACTCTCAACTGGTTCAACAAAAAGCAAAATAACAACATGTGTATATACGCTGAGAGAGAAAGAAGGCGAAAGAGGCTTTTAGGACGTGTTAAAAATGGATGTTGACATCAGGCACAGTGGCTCATGCCTGTAATTCCAGCACTCAGGAGGCCAAGGCGAGAGGATCACTTGAGCCCAAGAGTTCATGACCAGCCTGGGGAACATAGCAAGACCCCATCTCTACAAAAACAAAAAAGTAGCACGTGCCTGTAGTCCAAGGTACTTGGAAGACTGAGGTGGGAGGATCGCTTGGGCCCAGGAGGTAGAGGTTGCAGTGAGCCATGATCACGCCACTGCACTCCAGCCTGGACAACAAAGTGAGAAACTATCTCAAAACAAAACAAAACAAAAGGACGTTGAAAATGTTAAAGACAGAATGTCAACAATGGAAGAATTCAGCTGAAGGGTACCATGGAGCTTACTATTCTTGCAGCTTTTCTAGAGGTTCTCTAGGTATTTTATTTTTTTCAAAAATAAAAGGTTTGGTTGAGCATGGGTGGCTCACATCTGTAATCCCAGCACTTTGGGAGGCCAAGGCAGGTGGAATATATGAGCCTAGGGGTTTGAGTCCAGCTTGGGTAACATGCCAAAACCCGGTCTTAAAAAAAAAAAAAAAAAGCCACAAAAATACAAAACAAACAAAAAAACGAGTAGGGCATAGCGGCACACGCCTATAATCCCAGCTACATGGGAGACTGAGAGGGGAGGACTGCTTAAGCCCAGGAGGCAGAGGTTGCAGTGAGCCAAGATTACACCACTGCACTCCAGTCTGGGCGACAGATCAAGACTCCATCTCAAAAAAAAATAAAATAAAATAAAATAACAGGTTAAAAGTCACTAACCTATACATATACATTCTATTGCATAGTAGTAACATATTATTTCAGGTGCTTTAATAAAGTTAGACTTTCGGTGAAATAAGAAAAATTAAAAGCATGTGTCATGGGCTGAACTGTGTACCCCCAAAATTCGTATGTTGAAGCCCAATACCTAGTATCTCAGAATGTGACTAAATGGGCCTTTAAAAGGTGACAGAGTTTAAATGAGGCTGTCAGAGCAGGCCCAGATCCGATCTGACTGGGGTCCTCAGGAGAAGAAGCTTGGACCCATACAGAGACACCAGCGGTGTCACGTGAAAGATCACACGAGGACAGAGCAAGAAGGCGGCCGTCCACAAGCCAAGGAGAGAGGCCTCAGACAAGAGCAACTGTGCGGCACCTTGGTGTTCCACACAGCCTGTGGTGTTTCGTTATGGCAGCCCTAACAGACTCGCAGCACGGGCAGGCTCTTTCTCAGTTAATTAGACTCTAATAATAACCTAATAACCTAGTAACCTAGCCTTCTAATAACCTAACCAGTGGCTTTCAAATATTTTACCACAACCCACGGTCAGACATAAGTTTTACAACGCCCCCAGCACGTGCACACATTCCGCTCCATGTAATGACAGCTTCACAGAACACCACCCATACCTCTTATGAGCCTATTCTGTGCTAATATTTTATTTTATTTTTATTTTTTGAGACAGAGTCTGGCTCTGTTGCCAGGTGGAGTGCAGTGGCATGATCTCAGCTCACTGCAACCTCCGCCCCCTGGGTTCAGGCAATTGTCCCACTTCAGCCTCCCGAGTAGCTCAGACTACAGGCATGTGCCACCACGTCCAGTTAATTTTTGTATTTTTTAGTAAAAATGGGGTTTTGCTATATTGGCCAGGCTGGTCTCAAACTCCTGGGCTCAAAGCAATCTGCCCACCTCAGGTTCCCAAAGTGCTGGGGTTATAGGTGTGGGCCATTGCGTCTGGCACTGCGCTAATATTATCTATTCTTGTCTATTCTGATTCGTTCTTTTTAAAATACTGGCAGGGCCCACCTATTGAGTTCACAATCCCCCAGGTGGTCCAGACCTGCAGGGTGAAAGTAGCTGGTTCAGCCAGCGCACCCCCCACCCCCAAGGCACACCGCGCTGTACAGTGACCTCCAAGCCTATCGCCATGGTGTTAGGTGCCATCCCAGCCTTTGAAGTGGCAGCACTCCACTGCCCTGGGCCCAGTGCCGGATCTCCGTGCAGCACCCCACTTGGAGAGAAGCTGCACGTTGGACTCTCCGGGGATGGGGTGCAGTTTGACAACTCCAACACTGCCATCATCAGCTGGGAGGCCCTGTTGAAGCAAACAGACAACAGGAGGCCCTGCAGAGCCTTCCCCAGAGACCTACCCCAGCGGAATGCACCATGCACTTGGGTGCGCCCGTGGTGCCCGATGAGAACATGATGAACAGTGGGTGGCTGAAGGGCAGCTGCTCGAACTCCAGCTGCGGGGCCTGCTCACTGGTGCCGGTGGCAAGAAAGTCATCCAGAAACACACTGTGGGCCGAAACGCAGGGAAACACGCCATGAACGTCCCAGAATGCTGGACCGGACCCACTGATTCCACCCGTGCACTTCCCTCTGTTTCTACCCCCAGAAAAGCCAGGATTCCAGGGGGACGGTGGCCAGATTTGGAAACTTCCTGGGACCAGGGGAGGCAGTTAGATCTCAGAGATTCAAGCTAATTGAAGGAAAACTCATCGAACGAGTGAAGGTTTCAAGTTGCTTAATCAGCACTGCTGACAGGGCCAAGGGCTGTCTTTTAGAGAATATTTTAAGTGTTTTCATAACCACCACGGAGAAGGATCACTTACAATGAACAAGCCATGTGTGTACCAACACGGCTGAAGGAGGCTTTGGAAATGGCCTTGAAGTCTTCTGAGCCCATGTCCTTTGTTTGCTATTGATCACCTGATTAGCAAACGCTTTGTTTCCAATGATTGCCCAAAAGGAAGCACTCACCAAGTGGGTCTGAAGTAAGATGCTTCCCCCGTGGGGAGAAGGGAGAGGAGGAGATGCTAGATTAATGAGCCCTTCCTACAGATGTGGGGTCAATTTCCTAAACTACAGCTCAATGACAGAGAACCGCTCAGCAAATATCATGTGTTGTCACTAACTTACTAGATCCTGAGGTTTACAATAGCAAGATACAAATATCTGTGCAAGAACAAATAAAATTAATCCCAGCTATTGACTGTCACCCAGGAAGTGTGCCTAGGCTTACCCCCAAAGCTGACAGGCAGCATTGTTGTAGGTGGCCAAGAACCACCAAAGGGGCGACACAAACAGGAGATTTGTTTTCTGCACTAGAAACAGCCGCAGAAGCCACAAGCCATCTTGGGAAAAGGTGGTTTTCTATTTTGAATTCAGCAGCAACATCCATCTCAAAACATTGGCCCTATACTCAACTGACAAATGGACTTTCTCTCAGGGAAGGAGGTGGGAATCAGTTAAACGCAGCCTGCAGCCATTTGCTAGGGATAATTACTCTGAAATACAAATGCCATACAGACTAAAATGAAGAATTTTGCTGTCTTGCATGAGAAGGCATCCTTAAATATAAAGGTTTCTCCTGGGGAAGACATGGTGGTTTAAAAAGGGCATCCAAAATAATTCAACTCTAAGCAAGAAACAAACAAAGCCGTCTGCTCCAGCATGTCAGGAAAACTATTCACTGTGGAACTTTACAGCCAATGAAAACCCCATCCCACCTCTACCTCCTATAAGAATCCCATTATAAAGTGCCAGATCTAATCAGATACTTCACACAGAGAAAAGCCTTTTCTGTCAAATGGCCCATAAATCACAGTACATAATGATTACCTTTGTTAAAGCTCTTCTAAGAATGAAAAGCCCACAGGGTGGCTCCCCCGGCCCCGTCAATTCTCCACAGATGGGCACGTACCCGTTTCTGCTTTATCTGTGGCATCCACAATCAAAGGATGGACTGCAGTGGGAGTCCAGCCCCTGGGGTGTCGGGCTAAATGAAGTGGCTAACATGATTCTGCTGGATGCCCTCATTTTATATCAACTGCTGATGAATATTATTCAGAAAAAATAGCCAGGCCAACCAGGGGGCTGGTAAACCCTGTCTGGTTTTCCTCCTAGCCTCCATGCATCATGGCCTCCATCCATACACCTGGGGCACAAAATCCGAGGTTGCATGAAAGAAAGCCAGCGCTCTGGCACCTGGTTATAATTTATTAAGGTCGGCAGGGTCCCACAGTCCATGGGACAGGCACCCGGGCCTGCCTGTGAAGAATCTGCCCACCCTGACTCAGGTGCTTCAGGCGACAGAGCCCACCGCGGCCGCACAATGACAGGCAGGATCACTGAGAGCTGACTGTGCACGCTTTGCAGAGCAGCAGCTTATTTAATCCTCCCAGCCAGCCTGAGAGGAAGGTGCTGATAAGAGTGTGGATGTTTGTCCCCACCCTCATCTCGTGTTGAAATGTAACCTCCAATCTGCAGGTGGGGCCTGGTGGGAGGTGTTTGCATCACAAGGGTGGATTCCTCGTGAATGGCAGGGACCATCTCCTTGGTGATGAGTGGGTTCTCACTCTGAGTTCACACAAGAGCTGGTCATTGAAAAGTGTGTGGCACCCCGCCCCCCGACCCCCTCCACTCCTGCTTTCCCATGTAAAGTGCCCGCTCCACTTCCCTTCCGCCATGATCACAAGCTCCATACAGCCTCCCCAGAAGCAGATGCTGGCACCATGCCTCTCGCACAGCCTGCAGAACCATAAGCCAATTAAACCTCTTTTCTTATAAATTACCCAGTCTCAGGTATTTCTTTATAGCAAGGCAAGAACGACCTAATACAGGTACCACCTCATCTCCATTTTACAGATGGAGACACAAGGCTCAGAGAGGTTACTGGCACAGGGTCACACAGCTGAGAGCTGAACCTGACAAGTCGGATCTGGAGACCATGGCCCTCGCCAAGCCACCACTTTGCCTGCAGCACCCTCCAGGCTCCAGAATATGCCCTGCACACACAGCTGTCCCCAGACCCTGCTCATACCTCAAAGCCACCCCCAGATGCCACCTCCCCAGATCCTACAGGGAAGCACCCAGGCCCTGCTGTCAACCCCTGGGCACATCCTGTCCCTCCCACTCCTAGTGGTCACAGCTCAACCTCCCTGCAGGTGGGTCTCACCTCTCCAACTAGATTGCAACTCCCGGAGGACAGGACACATGATTTGTACCTTGTGGTGCCCCTGAGAACACCCTGACAGACGGTAACAAGCCATGCACCGACTACCACTTGCTGGAACAAAAAGGGCTCCGCCATCTCCTCCTCTCTTCCACCTCTGGTCCCCGTGGCTGGTATGAAGACACCCTGCCATGTTTACATAGCCCCTCCTCACCAGGCCTCAAGGAGCCACGTACAAGGTGCCCTCCAGTGGCCCCGACCCAAGGCTCAAGGGAAAGCTTACCCCGTGGGGGTAAACGCCTGAGCTCAGAACCCTCTCCCCACAACTGTTTCAAGAAAAATTAAAGGAAGGTATAACTCCAAGAACTTTGGGAAGAATTCAGCTTTGACTAAACCATAATCCATAATCCATTTCCTTAATCTCTATTCAAAATGAAGATTCTTTTTTTTTTTTTTTTTTTTTTTTTTTTTTTTGAGACGGAGTTTCGCTTTTTTGCCCAGGCTGGAGTGCAGTGGCGCTATCTTGGCTCACTGCAAGCTCCTCCTCCCGGATTCACGCCATTCTCCTGCCTCAGCCTCCCGAGTAGCTGGGACTACAGGTGCCCGCCACCACACCTGGCTAATTTTTTGTATTTCTAGTAGAGACAGGGTTTCACCGTGTTAGCCAGGATGGTCTCGATCTCCTGACCTCGTGATCCGCCTGCCTCGGCCTCCCAAAGTGCTGGGATTACAGGCGTGAGCCACCATGCCTGGCCAAAAATGAAGATTCTTACAATCCTATTGGGTACACAAAACATGTGGCTTATTCTTCTACAAATGTCAGAAAAGCCAAGGAAGATGTCATCAGCAATGGGGAACACACGCATGTCCTAAAAGGTGAAAAATACATATACGAGTGTTTATGTATGCATAGCCATACATACACATGTACACATGCATGTGCACCTGTGCACGTATGCACGTGTGTAAATGCACATGCATGTGTACACGTGTAGATATGTGTGCCTTGTCGTGTGCATGCGTGTGCAGTGCATGCACCATGTGCACATACATGTAAACATGATTTCCAATGCAAAATTTCTGTGGCCAATCTAGGAAGGTGGGCTTGGCCCCATCAGAGCCCCCTACATAAGGGACACCAGATTGGAAGAGTGAGGGTGCCTGGGACTGTCTCTCTTCCGCCACTCATTCACTATGTGGCCTTGGGGGATTCACTCTGGGGCCTCAGGTGTCTTATCTACAAAATGATGCTTTTAACTAAAACCTCCTCCACTTCTAAAATTCTCTGAGTGACCCCAAGTAGAAGATCCAGAGGCCTACTTCCCCGCAGGAGCTCCAGTGGGTCCACACGGACCTGTGGGTCAGAATGCGGTACATTACCTGTTTGGAATCTTTGAAAGGTCTATGTTCTCTCTGGAGGACACATAAGGAATCACCACCACTTTCTTCAAGTCTGGTAGGCCTGGAAGGAGCGAGAGGAGAAAACACAAGGTTACAGGACAAAGATGCTTGGCTGCTTTTTTTTTTTTCCACAAAATATAACACAATCTGGGGCAGAGAATATAACACAATCTGGGGCAGAGACTACCCAGATTGACTCCTGGCAGACTCTTATGTACCCACACACACACCCAGCCATGCCGGCTGGGAGCCGGAAGGGCCACACACCTTTAACCACCTGCTGCAGCTTTTCCATGTGGTTGTGCTCTTTGCCATTATAGACAACAGCCTCCACAGAGAAGATGAGCTTTGGCTGAATTTGAGAAAACCGGTCCAGCACACCCTGAAAGCAGGAGGAAAAAGTCATCATTGATCATCCAAAAGGCAAAAACCAGCAGGCATGGTGGTGGGTGCCTGTAGTCCCAGCTACTCTGGAGGCTGAGGTGGGAGGATTGCTTGAGCCCAGGAGTTCAAGGTTGGAGTGAGCTATGCTTGCACCACTGCATTCCAGCCTGGGCACGAGTGAGACCCTGTCTCTAAAAAAAAAAATGGCAAAAACCTTCAGTAGCCAATAGGACCACTGCATTTCACGGGAGAGAAAGGGCATCATCATCAGTGCATGACCAGGTCCCTGTGTCCCCAGCACCCGTAGCCAATAAAGAAAGTCGATGAGGCCGGGCGCGCTGGCTCACACCTGTAATCCAAGCACTTTGAGAGGCCGAGGCAGGTGAATCACTTGAGGTCAGGAGTTCAAGACCAGCTGGCCAATATGGTGAAACCCCATCTCTACTAAAAATACAAAAATTAGCCAGGCATGGTGGCACATGCCTGTGGCCCCAGCTACTTCAGAGGCTGACGCAGGAGAATCGCTCTGCAGTGAGCCGAGATCGTGCCATTGCACTCCAGCCTGGGCAACCGAGCAAGATTCTGGTTTTTTTTTTGTTTTTTTTTTTAAAAAGGCAAGCATGGTGGCTTACACCTGTAATCCCAGCACTTTGGGAGGCTGAGGTGGGCGGATCATGAGGTCAGGAGTTCAAGACCAGCCTGACCAACATGGTGAAATCCCATCTCTACTAAAAATACAAAAATTACCCAGGCATGGTGGCACGTGCCTGTAGTCCCAGCTACTCGGGAGGCTAATGCAGGAGAATCGCTTGAACCCAGGAGGCAGAGGTTGCAGTGAACCAAGATAGTGCCACTGCACTCCACCCTGGGCGACAGAGTGAGACTCCATCTCAAAAAAAAAAAAAAAAAAAAAAGTTGATCAAAGCACAACTTATATCTGAGAACAACCACTATGCCAAGGAAGGCATCAATATCAAGAAATACCAGAAGTATTTACAGACATATACTGAAATATGAAGAGTATAGAGTGTGTGTTTACACTACCAAAAAGATTCCCCACCTTACAGAAAGAGCCTGTTAGCACAGCTCTGCTAGTGTATACAAAAGAAGATTCATCTTCCAAAGAGGCCACAACAGCAAAGCAAAGTGGCCCCATATTTTGGTTCTCGGAATCTTCAATTAAAGAGGAACCTGAATCCTCCAAGCAGTGCATTTATGCCAACCAATGGCATAAGCCTACACGTGCATACACTAGTTAATGAGCCCCATCTTAAAAGGCAGGATCACCACACCCATGTCTCTGGTCTGTACTGCACGTGGAGTCTGCAGTCCAGCCAAGGGCACTGCTTTCCTGAAACAGGGGATTCCTTCCATGCAGGCATGGGCTTGTTCTTGGAACTCATAACATTCACTGACACTCCCTGAGTGTTAGTCCAGATTATTAATTATTAACAGATTATTAATGTTAGTAACAGATTAAAGCACTCTCAGACAAGGCTTCTATTCACTTCCCTCCTGGCCATCCTCAAGGTTACACTGTGTTAAGAGACTGCCATCTGCAAACATGGGTAGCCATCGCCCAGATGGCTGCTATTCCCTCGCACATGAGCCTGATGCAAGCAGTTCAAGACCAACACCTAGGGCTACCCCCAGGGCACATACAGTGGCCCCAGAACCTGTGAGTAAGGACTTCACAGCACAGGCTCTCCACCCTGGCTGCCTGGTAGCACCGCCTGCAGTGGGACTATTAAGTTAATTAAGCTCATTAGGATAACTAATTAACGGGTCAGGAGCGGCGGGCATTTGTTTTCAGAGCTCCCTGGTGACTCTTAGCAGGGAAGCAGAAACGCTGACTCTGGGGGAGTCTAAGGGGCAGAGTGTTGTGGGAGGGAGGCTGGGCAGCTCAAAGTGTGGTCCCCCAGGCAGCCAGTCAGCCTCACCTGGGGCCCCAGACCTAATGAATCGGACACTCTGCAGGAGACCCAGCAATCTGTTCTCACCAGCCATCCAGATGATCCTGAGGTGTGATAAAATTTGAGAATTTCTGTGCTAAGAGTTCTAGGATTCAGAGTTTACTCAACACTGTCCAATTTCCCCAACTAGAAGGTGAATTAACAGAGAAGAGTAGGGAGTAGAAAGCATTTGTTTATTCCATGTGCTAGGTGCCAGGCACCGTGCCAGGGAACCAGACAGACAGGGTTCCCACTCCCCAGAACATACGATCTATCAGAAACACAACAGGAAAACAATTGCAAATGTTATTGTTTTCCATTTCCAATGTTTTCAGTAAACTACACTCAAAATTAGGTAGCCAGGGAAAGAAAAAGAGAGAAGGAATTAAAGCCATAAGGAAAAACTAATGATGGACTTGACCAGCAAAACCAAAAATCATTTTTCCAAAACAACCAATAACATAAGCTTCTTAGCAGGCATGGTGGCTCGCGCCTGTAATCCCAACACTTTGGGAGACGAGCTTGGACAGCTACAAAAGAATTATTTTATTAAATTAGCAGGGCACCTGTAATCCCAGCTACGTGGGAGGCTGAGTGGGGAGGATTGCTTGAGCCCAGGAGCTCGAGGCTGCAGTGAACTGTGTTCGCAGCACTGTACTCCAGCCTGGGCAACAGAGAAAGACCCTGTCTTAAAATAAAATAAAAGTAAGCTTCTTGAAAAATCTGGTCAAGAAGAAAAAATGCATTTCGGCCGGGCACAGTGGCTCACGCCTGTAATCCCAGCACTTTGGGAGGCTGAGGCCGGCAGATCACTTGAGGTCAGGAGTTTGAGACCAGCCTAACCAAAATTGAGAAACCCCATCTCTACTAAAAATAGAAAAATTAGCCAGACACGGTGGCCCATGCTTATAATCCCTGCTACTTGGGAGGCTGAGGCAGGAGAATCGCTTGAGCCCGGGAGGCAGAGGTTGCAGTGAGCTGAGATCATGCGGCCTCGGTGATAGAGCGAGACTCCATCTCAAACAAACAAACAAACAAAAAAGGAAACCTAACATTTCCAGTTATCCCTTGTAGAACACTTACTCTGTGTCAGGTGCTGCCCTAAGCACTGGACCGATATTCGCTCATTTACTGCTCAGAATGACCTTGGACATGGGTGGCCTTATCACCCTCATATTGCAGGTGACTAAGCTGAAGCATGTGGCCTCTCAAAATTAGAAATCACACTTGACTACAGAATAAAAGATTCATGAGCCAGAAAACAATGTTTAATAGATTTTGAAATCCAGATAGAATGGATGACTTCTCAAGAAAATAAAAATTACCAAAATTTATTCAAAAAGCAGCACCACAGCTGAAGTGACAAAGGTCTACCTCCTCCAGGGACACCAGGGTGGGCAGCTCTGCAGGCGAGCACCACCAAGTCTCTGTAAGCTACAGCATCCCTTCTGCGTAAACCATTACAGAAGTCGGAGAAAGACAGGAAACACACAAACCAAAAGAGAGAGAGATTACAGACCAATGTTATCGACTACAGCAACAGGCTAACAGAGGGGGAAATCGCATGATTATCTTGGAAGCTTCTGATAAAAGGCAACATGCTTTCCAAACCCATGCTTTAATCAGCTGGAAACTGAAGGATACTTCCTCACTGACAAAAGGTATCTGGCAGACACCTGACGGCACATTTCGCACTTGGTAAAAGATAAGATGTCCAGTGAGAAAAGGACATGCAAGACGCCCACCCCCAGCCCACCTGCACCTGTGCCGAACACCCCCACCTACGTCCCGGGGTGGGAACTAGAAACAGTTTGCCCCCTACACACAATGGGAACAGCTGCACACAAAATCTGTGAAAGTCACCAGAAAAACCACTAGAACAAATCAGTTAGGCAAGGTGGCCACATATAACTCAATCCAGCAAAATAAATAGTGGTGTTAAACCCCAGCAATACAGTTTGAAAAGGTAATGAGGGCCAGGAGCGGTGGCTCACGCCTGTACACCCAACACCGGGAGGCCAAGGCGGGTGGATCACTTGAGGATCAGGAGTTCAAGACCAGCCTGGCCAACATGGTGAAACCCCATCTCTACTAAAAATACAAAAATTGGCCAGGCGTGGTGGCGCACGCCTGTAGTCTCAGCTACTTGGAAGGCTGAGGCAGGAGAATGACTTGAACCTGGGAGGCAGAGGTTGCAGTGAGCTGAGATCATGCCACTGCACTCCAGCCTGGGTGACAGACTGAGACTCTGTCTCAGAAAAAAAAAAAAAAGGTAATGAGAAAAACAGAACAAAAGAAAATGAGAAAGTCACTGAAGGATTTTTTTTTTTTTAGACAGGGTTCTGCCCTGTCACCCAGGCTAGAGTACAGTAGACAGATCACAGCTCACTCAGACTCAACCTCCCGGGCTCAGGATCAGGCTGTGTGCCACCACACCCAGCTAAGTTATTTCTTTTTTGTAGAGATGGAGTTTTGCCATGTTGCCCAGGCTGCTCTCAAACTCCGGGATTCAAGTGATCCATCCGCCTCTGCCTCCCAAAGTGCTGGGATTACAGGTGTAAGCTACCCAGCCCAGCCCTCTAAAGAATATTTAATCTGGGAGAGAGACAGAAACAAACACTGGTTCGGATCCACTTGTTAAAGGGTGTGTACTGGATAGTAGAAAGGTGATGAAAGTTAAAAAAGAAAGAAAAGAAAAAGATAAAAAGGTGTACAGTAGAGAGAAGCAGAAATGAGACTGGTCGGAAGCTACTACGACGGCACGCGTGAGAGATGGCAGTGCCTAGCCGGGGTCACAGAGGAACCGAGGAACCGCTCAATCAAACGTATGAAGGAGGACAGTGGAGAGGCGGCAAGAACAGCCAACGGTAGGGAAGGGAGTGAAAGGGTGTGGCGCACAGCCCGAGCTCCTGGTTTGGCAGGGTTGTAGTGGCGGGGGTTACTGAGATGGGGCTCCCCCTGGGGACTTGTGAGCTCCTCTGGGGCTCACTGAGTCTTGAGAACTTCTGGCAGCCCCGCCAGTGCTGACTGGACAGGGGGAAGGAAGGCTGAAGTGCTCTCAGGATGCACAGTCATGACAGGAAGGAGGGGTCTTCCTCCAGCTGAACACCTTGGCCACTGCGGAAGGCACGGGAGGAGGCGCAGACCAAGCCAAGCTTCTCTCTACTCCCGCCACTTCCTCTGCCCCTCAGCAAAGTTCACGGCGGGCGGGTGGGGGACAAGGGAATGACTGTGACATTATTACAGAGACGCCCTTGGAGCTGCCCCAACGCACTTTTTTTTTTTTTTTTTAAGTAAAACATTGGCCAACTTCAGCATCAGTTTAAAAAAGTGCATGGGACATACAGGTAACAGGGACTTGGCCCCTGGCCTCAGGACATCAGGCCTTCGGTCACCGTCCACCTCCTCCCTCCTCCATTTCAAGGGTACCCCCGGTACCCCTTCCTCAGTGACGTCCTTGGTGGACAAAGACTATTTCCTACTACTTCTTCTTCTGCTCTAAACTGCTACACAGAGGTGGTTGCAGAAAGCCCCAAAATGGTGCCCCCCAGGAGTCCAGCAGCAACAGGCCGAGTCTGCAGGCAGGTGGCACCCCGGTCCCACCAGCATTTACTCCGCAGGCCACCAGGGCTAGCCCTCCTTGCGTCTGATGCTAACATACACCCTGCCCAAATCCATCAGAAGAACAGAATGCCCAGAAATGGCCCTTCCTGGCACCAAACCCTCCTGGACTGAGAATGCCACCCCTTCCTCCTCCCCAGCCACTTCTGATGGGCAGGAGACTGGGACAGAAGCATCCAGGAGAGAAGTCTTCACCCCCTAGACCAGCGCCTGGGCACTGGCACTGGAACAAGGCATCTAAACAGAAGCTCACCCCCAGCCAGGCAAGCCCCTCTTCCCCATTCTCAGTGCCCAGATGCACCCCCCGAGAGCAAGTGCCTGCCCTTCCTGGAAAGACACCACGTCCACTTAACTAAGTGCATGCACAGCGATTTCTCAGACTCTTTCATGTCCTGCTGGGACTTGGGTGTCCCTCTGTTTACTTCTGACGCTCTCTATGCAAATATCAAGGTAACACATTCAACCTACTCTAAGGCCATGGTCCTTACTCCTCCCTTTCCTGGCCACATGGCCCTGGACAAGGTATCCCTGCACCTGGCTCCCTCCAGCCCCAGCCACCCCTTATGCAAAGTGAGTCCCAACACTCCTGACACCCAAGCTCCCTCACCCACAGGTAAGGGGCCTGTCCAGACCTTGGCTGTGGCGAACACACAAACCACAAATGGCATGTCTACACTGGTGCCCTCTCTGTGCCCGGGATTCTAAGATGGACCGAGAGTTCTTGGTTTAGTGGGGAAGAAATGATTGCCAGTTAAAACATATTGAGCATTTACTGAATGCTTACTATGTGCCAGGCCCCAGTCTGAGCTCATTAGAAGCACTTACTGCCCTTCACAGCCTTAAGAGAGGGGCAATAAGGCTGGGCACAGTGGCTCATGCCTGTAATCCCAGCACTTTGCATCACGAGGTCAGGAGATCGAGACCAGCCTGGCTAACATGGTGAAACCCCGTCTCTACTAAAAATACAAAAAATTAGCTGGATATGGTGGCAGGCGCCTGTAGTCCCAGCTACTTGGGAGGCTAAGGCAGGAGAATGGTGTGAACCCAGGAGGTGGAGCTTGCAGTGAGCCGAGATCGCGCCACTGCACTCCAGCTTGGGAGACAGAGTGAGACTCCGTCTCAGAAAAAAAGAGGGGCAATAGTATCCACTCCCTAACCCTGATAAGGCAGGAACGGGGTGAGTGACTTGCCCAAAGCCTCACAACTGGCCAGAGGCATGGCTGGGCTGCAGCCTGGCTTGTCTGATGTGGGTGCTGGTGCTCCTCACCACTGTGCTGGCTCCACTCAGAAAACACTAATACCGTACATGGAACAGAAAATCAAAACAGCAGAACAGATTCGGGTGCTAAGATACTGCAGCAGACTGAATCAGGAGGAAGAGGAGGAAACCCAGAAAGCCGCTGGAGTCAGCATCTCCAAAGCCCAGCGTCAAGAATAAGCAGGTCCCACAGGGTAGGCGGGAGGGAGAAGAGGCTGTTCTGAACAGAGGACATAGAGATCAACACCCAGGGGCAGGTGGAGTGGGGCCCAGAGGAAGACCTGCCAGGAAGCCTGAGGCCAGGGAAGAAACAGAGAGAGCCAGCCTGGGAGAGCCCCGGAGGGCGGCAGAGAATTTCCACAAGGAAACTGGGATCTCAGAGAACCAGCCCAGTACAGGGTGACCAGGATCTCAAGGTGAAAGGACTGAGCCTGCCAGTGATCTGGGGCTCAAATACCACAGGACCCCAGGCACAGTGACAGTGATCAGGCTACAAAGACGAGTGTTTCTGAATCAGAGGTCTGGCCCCTAGCCCCATGAAAAGACTCAGGGGTCCTCTGACACAGCTGAAGTTTTCCTGGCTGGACCAGCAGGGATCAAGATCTCGAGCATCCAAAACCAGCTGTCAGCCTGTCCTGGCCCAGGAGAGCTGCTCGAGGACAGCTTTCATGTTGCAACAAAACAAACACACCTATGAACATGTGTCTGACCTGAATACGGTGCTTAGCAACCAATCAAGCATTGAAACCAACAGCCGGTGTTGAATCATGGTGACAGCCACCCAGAGCGAGCGAGAATGGCTGTCCTATTTACACACACAGACACACACACACACACACACACACACACACACACACACACACACACGGCCACCTGATGGCACTTCAGGAGGACAAGGCCTGCAGGCTACAGGCTGGGCTCTCTGGTGTGCAGGGATCAGAGGGTGGCCTTCCCTGACATCTCTGAAAATGGCAAAGGCTCAAAGGTAAACAGTGAAACAAAAAACCCAAAGCCATCAAAAGACTCAGGACCTAGAGATCTTGCTGGGGCTGGAAAGGTTGGGAACCCTTAGAACAGAGCACTTCCCCAACCTGGCGATGCCCTTCGAGCCCAAAAGCATTAGTAAGGCAAGCTGAGATGCCCAGGCAGCCAGCAGAGAGCAGGCAGAAGGAGGTGGGCAGTGGTGGGAGAGAGCATGGAATGGGTAGAAGTAAAGCACAGGGGAGTGACGGAGGCCAGAAACGCGTTCCCCCAGTGTCATCGAGTAAAGACGGATGCCCCAGCACTCCCTGGACAGCCCACTGCGGTCTGTGGCTCTGCAGCAGAGAGGGTCCCTTCAGCACCCAGCACAGCCAGCCGAGGAGCTCTCAGTGGACAGGCGTGTGAACCCACGAGTCCAACGGTGCGACTCCATCAACAGAGACCAGAAGTCAACACAGGATTTGTAGGAGAGTGGCAATTTCCCTTTACGATATTCTCTGAGATTCAAAGAAATATAATTTCAAAGCAAGAGAAAACATGATTCCAAAGGGAAGACATTCACGCTTCATTGCAGTTTCTGAAGAGCGCCCCTTACTGAAAATGGGGCACAGTCTGAAGTTTAACATGGTGATGATGGAAATTAAAAACAGGATCTCTTTTTTAAGTAGAGATCTGCAAACCGATGCAGGAACTGTCCACGAGCCCAGAACCCATCAGCCTTGGCTCAGTTCCAGCCCCACCTCATCAGCAACTCCAGGAATTCATCCCTGTTAGTTTTAGCCCCTGAACAAGGATGGTAAATAGAGGGTGAGCAGAGGCTTTCGCGCAGTCGACCTGTGCCAGGTCCTTACTCAGCTCCGACAGCGGGTGTCCAGGTGTCTGTGGGACCAAGCGCTATGAACATGGCATCCACGCAGGCCCTCCCACGCTGGGTGCACACGGCCAGGAGTGCTGCCCAATAATGCCTGCCACGAAGCCACCAAATGCCGACAGACTCCCTGCCAACCGGCTGGATCTCAGTTCGAGTGCGAGTAACGTGCGTCACACACACCCCCGTCTCCGGCAGGATGGAGTCTATACCTCGGACACTAGCAAAATGAGCGACAGAGAGAAGCATCTCAGCAGGAGGGCAGGTGGCCCTGTTTTCTGACCTGAGACGTAGCCGCAGGGCCTGGGACTGTTCACTTCCCAGAAGCTGCGGGAGCCATGGGGTGAGCAGAGCCATGCTGCCATCTAGTGCGCCCAGCAGCTCGGCCAGCACTTCCCACTCCAGAGGTGGCTCGGGGAGGCGGTGATTCCAGAAAACCCTGGACCAACCCCGGCCAGGAAGCAGTGTCCCCGAGACCATGTTTGCTACAGAGCCATGCATCCCTCCTGAGTCCTTCCAGGATGGGCAGATCCTGCCGGACTGGAGTCAGCGGGGAGTGACGTGCACAGGACAATGACCCAGCGAGGCTGGATGCAGCTGTGAGACAGGCTGGGGTCCAGCCCTGCCACTGCAGCCATGCAGAGTCAGAGGCTCTCCCTCTCTCCACCCCCTGGCCTCAGACAAACCACCAAAGGCCGATTCCAGTTGCTCTGATATCACCTCTCCAGGGGGAGGAGGCTACACTCCAGCTCTGGGAGGCCATGATCACTCCCCTGCCACACACGGCTCTCCCAGCCTCTCACAACCCGTTTACAAAAGGTTAGTCATAATTTAACTCAAAACACACCCATCTCCCGACTAGTTCAAACAGTAGCTAACACTTACTGGGCTGGCCTGGAGGGTCACACCCTGTCCCCGGCTCCACACAAACGTGGCTCCTGCCATCTGTGCAGTTGCACTAACACTGCTGCCATTCTCCCTCTGGGGACACCAGGGCACTTGCCCATGGACACTGATCAAGGAAGCCACATGGAGCAGAGGCAGCCAGCCTGCCCGGCCTTGAGCACACCCTGCCATCCTGCCGTCTCACCCTGGGGCCCTTCCCTCTGCCCTGGACAGCCTGGCTCAAGGTCGGCTGAGGGGTCTGAGTGTCCAGTCCGGAACTCCACCCCTCCAGACCCTCCCACAAGGACACCATTGGCCCCAGCAGCCCAGGCAGCCCCCACAGAGGGCCCTAGGGACAGGAGAGGCCACAGGTTGAGTTTCTGTCTAGGTCAGTCCCTGCTGACCTGGGGAGGTCCTGGGGTGAGATGGCCTGGGAAAGAACACAGGAAAGTTCCAGAAGGCAGGGCACGGCCATCCAGCCACACAGTACAGATCTACAAGGTGGCCACGCCCTCCCTGAACCCAGCAGGGCTCCATCATCAGCCCAGCTGGTGCTGCGGCCTGATGCACGGCTGGCCAGTCTCACTCCTCTGGGCCTGTGTCTGATCTCTCCTCCCACGGTGTGGAGAAAGGACACTCCTCCTCCAAAACCTTACTGAAAAAGCAAGCCTCTAAGTAGACATGATTTCTAAGCTCACACCCAAAAGCCTCACCTGTGGACAAGCACAGACACCAACTCCGGGCACTGGGTTTTAAAGGGCCAGCGGCCACACCTGCAGCTGGTGCTGCTGACTGACGGACGGCACAGGGCCTGGCCCAGAACAGAGGCAGCTGGCACCAGGAGGAGCGGTCAGGGACACGGATGCTGCATGTCCTGTAACAGGTTCTCATGGCTCCTGAAGGTCCCTGACGCTCAAGGCTCTGCAGCCAGGAGAGGGCCCTGGCTGGGGAGTGGGGGCCCCAGGAAGACCCGCTCTGCGGCTGCTTCATTTGCCCCGTGGAAAGACCTATAGGCTGGGGGGCCCCAGTGGGGATCAGCACATGCTTCCGGCCCTGCCTGGGCCACTCTGGGCAGCTGGACACACCCTGGGGTGGTTTGGGGACAGAGAGGCCACCCTCCCGGAGTGCACACCCACACAGTACGGGTCCAGAGGAAGGGGCTGGTAACAGCAGAAACCAACACAGGGAGGTCCTGGGGAACTTCTGCAGGCAGGACTTTGAGAACAAAAATCTAGAGAACTCTCTTCAGAGGACATACACTTAGCAAACCTCACGTGGTCACTAAATCCCAGGTGAGGAAGACAGGGCTCGACCTTACTAGACCTTAACAACACTGGGTGCTGCATACGCCACCTGCCCACGTCTTCGATGAACACGGCGAGGAGTGGGGGAACGTCAGGACTGCTTGAAAGGAAGAACCAGACGCAAGTCCTTCTGGCTTCTTTCCCCATAGAGGCAGCTGCAACGCCACCTCCTCCCGCTGGGCTCACGCTGCTGTCCGGCTCCCCTGGGAATTCAGCCCATGCAGCCCCTGCCCAGGATGCTCACAGGGCAAGGGGTGCCCCCTCTGTCACAGACCCTGACTCACATTCACACCGAAGTCCGGGGACGTGGAGCTCCAGATGGCACCAATGCTTGCCGCAGCCAGCATCGCCTCGACAGCGTGCTCACTGTTGGGTAAATAACCTGTGGAGAAAACATAGGAAGAAGCCTTGGGTTCAGGGTGTATGGGAGGTAGCAGATGTCCAAAAGGTTTCTCTGAGAGCCAAGGTCAGAGTGGGAAGGGGGCTGGCCTTGAACTGCCTGAGGATCCTGACCACCAGCCCCCGCCCAGATGAATCGCCTGCTGCCAGCCTGTCAACTCCCCACCATCCCCCTGCAATCCATTCTCCATGCTCTGATGACAATGACCCCGTGGGCTCTCCTCCCTCTGCTCCCCATCCCTCCCTGGGATCTGGTCACAGCAGCCTTCTTCCGACTCCTCAGTTGTCCTAATCACCTCCTGCCTTTGCACAGCTGTCTGATCTGCTGAACACTCCTCCACGCACACCAGCAGTCTCCACTCAGTGTGCGCTCATCCTGCAGCTCTTCACTCAAATGAAACTTCCTCAGAGCAGCCTTCTCCAAGGCTGTCTTGCCCCCAACCCGGTGAACTCAGGTCCCCCAACTAGTTACCTGCAAAGCACACTGTATTTCTCCTTCACCAAACTTAGCATAACTGCAAATGAATAATCACCTGTGTAACTGGCCGTCTAGTATCTGGTTCTCACATGAGGGCTGGGACTTTGCCTGTCTTGTTCTTTGCTTTACCAAATGCCTTTTACCATGCCCTGCACATCAAGGGTCCTCATATATTTGCCGGCTGGCAGATGGATGGATGGATGGATGATGGATGAGGAATGATGAATGGAGGATGGATGGATGAATGAATGGACGGATGACAGATGGAGGATAGATAAATGGATGGAGAGATGGATGATGGGTGAATGGGTAGGCAGAGAGAAGAATGTATAGACGGATGGATGATGTATGAGGGATGATGAATGGAAGATGGATGGATGAATGGATAATGAGTGAAGGATAGATGAGTGGATGGAGAGATGGAAGATGGGTGAATGGGTAGGTAGAGAGAAGAATGTATAGACAGTTGGATGGATAGTTGGATGGATGGTGGATGAGGATGATGAATGGAAGATGGATGAATGGGTAGATGATGGGTGGAGGATAAATGAATGGATGAATAGATGGATGACGGATAAATGGGTAGGTGGAGAGAAGAATGTATAGACAGTTGGATGGATGGATGGTAGGATAAATGATGGATGAGGGATGATAAATGGAAGATGGATGGATGAATGGGTAGATGATGGGTGGAAGCATAATAAATGGATGGATAGATGGATAATGGGTAAATGGGTAGATGGAGAGAAGAATGTATAGACAGGATGGATGGATAGATGGATGGATGATGGTGATGGATGATAAATGGAAGATGGATGGATCAATGGGTAGATAATGGGTGGAGGATAGATGAGTGGATGGATAGATGGATGAGGGATGGATGGGTAGGTGGAGAGAAGAATGTATAGACAGATGGATGGATGGATAGTTGGATGGATGATCTATGAGGGATGATGAATGGAGGATGCATGGATGAATGGGTAGATGATGGGTGGAGGATAGATAAATGGATGGATAGATGGATAATGGGTAAATGGGTAGATGGAGAGAAGAATGTATAGACAGGATGGATGGATGGATGGATAAATGATGGTGAGGGATGATAAATGGAAGATGGATGGATGGATGGGTAGATGATGGGTGGAGGATAGATGAAGGGATGGATAGATGGATGACGGATGGATGGGTAGGTGGAGAGAAGGATGGATAGATGGATGGACAGATGGATGGGTTGATGGATGGCTGCACAGACAGGTGGACTGGTGGATGGTTGGTTGGATGGATAGAGAGGAGAGGGAATGAAGAACACAAGCAGTACTGTCAAGAGCCATATTCAAGCCTATAAGGGGCAGAGGTCCTCAGGCCCTCCATCTCCTAGCAGGCTGGCTTTCATGACAACAGAGGCAGGGAATCCTCATGGCCACAGAGACTATGATCAATTAACCAGATCACTCTACACATTCCAGAGGAAAGGACCTGTACAGTAGGGCAGAAGGCAGTCACGAGACGAAGGGCCATGAACAAGGCCTCATCAGAGCGAGGTGCAGCTACCCAGGTGTGCCCCCAGGGGTCCCTAGTCAGCTGGCTCCCTTTTTCCCTCCTTCTCCCCCCTGCAGTGGGTGTTTCTGTTTGTCTGGATTCACACGCGACTCCCCTGCTGGGCCATAAGCATCCAAGGGGCAGGGGTCACACCACCATGGGGTTCCACCCACATCCGGCAGATGGTTGGTGTTGGCTGAGTTTGCAGCGAAGATGAGACTTGGCTATGAGCGTAAACTGAAGCATCTCAACACTGTCACCCCCAGGGTCAGGGCAGGACTCGGTGCCCAGGGGAGGCTGCTTAACCATCTGACTCCATGTGGCTGACAAGTGAGGAGGAGCTGGCCCTTCTCCCATGGTACATCAGACGCCAACCCTGGGAACCACTTCACAGACAAAGGAAAACGGAGCTAGGCGCAGCTTTAACTCCATCTTTTGAAGACTCTAAAGCATCCAACCCCATTTTAATCATTTTCTAGTGTTTTCTGGAAAACTCAAAGTCCCAAATCCTAGTAACTATGATCAGGTCAAATCCGTATCCAACTGAGACCCACAAAATGGCTGGGGCACAAGGAACCAGCTCACCTCTGAAGGGTCCAGGGCATCGCGGCCAGGCGTCTCCTCAAAGAAAGCATAGCTCACAGGGACCTTGGCTGTCCCCAATATAACCTGTTTTGTCTCTCCTTCACTCAGAAACGTTTGCTTCAAAAGATTTTTTTAAATGAGAATTGGGAGGGAAGAAAAAAACTGGGGACAGAACATTTTGCATTCCTTTGCAAGACCTTAAAAGTGTACAGATTAAATCAGACGACCAAGAACCCAAAAAGTGAGGTTTCAGCCTCAAAAATGCCTGCTTTGTGACTAGACGCAGTGGCTCATGCCTGTAATCCCAACACTTTAGGAGGCCACGGCAGGAGGATCTCTTGAGCCCAGAAGTTTGAGACCAGCCTGGACAACATAGCAAGACCCTGTCTTTACCAAAAATACAAAAATTAGCCAGGCATGGTGGCACGTGCCTGTAGTCCCAGCTACTCAGGAGGCTGAGGTAGGAGGATCCCTTGAGCCCAGGAGTTCGAGGCTGCAGTTGAGCCATGATCACGCCACTGCAGTCCAGCCTGGGCAACAGAGTGAGACCCTGTCTCAAAAAGAAAAAAAAAAAAAAAAAAAGTCTGCTCTGATGATCAGCCCAACACCCATAGTCATTCATTCAATAAACACTTCTTAGATGCTGCTAGGTGCCAGGCACTCTCTATGAAGATACAGCAGTGAGGAGAAAACAAAGCCCCTGCCTTCTAGTATGGAGAACACACGCACACAAACACACCAAGATCCCTGCAGGTTCAGGTGAGCCATGAGGACTATGATGAAAGCAGCTGCAGGAAGAGTGGGATGCATTTTTCGAAGGCTAACCAGGAACGGCCTCTGAGGAGGCAACCCCGACAAGCCAGGGTGAACCCTGAGGATAGGCTGAAGGAGAACAGGCCGCCAAGGGCTGAGACAGGAGGCAGCCGGCATGCCCATCGCTAGATTCCTTCCTAGTCAGCTACCAAACGCTGAGCACTAACTCCATGTCCAGTCCTGTTACTCAAGGGGGAGGCGGGGCAGGGTAGTGGGGCCTGGCGCACAGGATTCTTGGTCCAGCCACTTACTGCACTTATAGATGACAAGGCCGCCCAGCTCCTCCTGCCTCTTTGCAAACAAGCTGAACGGCAATTTGCAGTAAGTTCCCTCGGGAGAGGCACACCCGTGCCAAACACCAAGGCTCCAAAGCCCAAGCCCCTCCCCAGTGGCTTTTCCTGCCACCCGCCCCCTGTGGTCCTTGTCCGATGACATGGAGGGGAAAGGGAGGGAGGTCGGGAGCCCCAACCACCAGGGCTGCACTGGAAGATAAATCTCCTTCGTCTGCACCTGCTCATCCCCATGTACACACCTACCTGCATCTCAATTAACTAACAAGTATGTTTGGGGTAAAGAACAGGTCCATGCACAGGCCTTTACATTTTTTCCACAAGTCAAGGTGAAAGGAAAATTGTAAGAAAAATACCTAAGCAGTTCTTCGTGGGAAATCCTCAGTTGCTATCCCAGGGAACAAAGGAGAGCCCCGGCCCAGAGTGGGAAGACAAACCACGCCTCAAGGTCTACACATTCCAGCCCCTGCTCCTTCCAGAACAATCCCCAAATGGGGCCTGCTCTTAGGTCCTACTTCCCTTGCTTTATGGCTCAAGGCGGGAAGGGCGTCAGAACGGACCAGCACCTCAGGAAACTCTAGGCAGAGTGGAAGAAAGTGGACGAGGCCTTTGGGATCAGACCTGGGCACCTGCCCCACCTCCTGCCCTCCATGTTCCACCCCACAGAGCTCCTAATGCCCGTGTAGACGCCTCCTGCTTGCTGCCTCCAGGCCTGTGGCCTCCTGCTTGCTGCCTTCAGCAGCCTCCAGGCCTTTCACAGGCCGTTTCTGCTGCCCAGACTGCCCTTTCCTGCCCTGCCTCACTGCAGGGCTAACTCCTAAATGCGCCTTCCTCCCTCCAGCAAGCCCGTATTGAATGTGCCTTCATCCCTCCAGCAAGCCCATATTGAATGGGCCTTCATCCCTCCAGCAAGCCCATACTGAATGCGCCTTCATCCCTCCAGCAAGCCCATATTGAATGCGCCTTCATCCCTCCAGCAAGCCATACTGAATGCACTCCCTTGATGTTCCTGGAATTGTTTTAGGCTCTGGGACAAAGCAGGGAACAAAGCAAAGCAAATTCCTGCCTTCGCAGAGCAGCATATTCTTTCAGCAATTTTCCTTGGTCTATTTTTTCTCCTTGCATGTAGAGTCCAAGTCCCACAAGGTTCCATGTAATATGACATGACTCCCCCTTATTTGAAAGCCGTCTTGACCTTCACATCACCCATTCTACCTTGGTCTCCTCCCTCAAACCATCACCAGCACCCAAAATACTTACCAACAACCCGATCTCCTTTCTTCACACCCATTTTCCTCATTGCTGCTGCAAACAAAGCCACTTCTTGCCTCAGCTCTTCAAAAGTCACCTTCACAATTTCCTCTTTGCCTTCCCCTGGGAAGAGAAAAAGGGTAAATTGTACACAGACCACCGCAAAAAGAAAAGTTGCAAGCCAGACACTGAATGAAAAATCCCACCTGTTTCAATGCAGGTTATTAATCTACACCCAGGGAAAACAGACGCAGGGAACACAAGCAAGATACAGGTCAACTTAACCTCACACAGAAGAAAGGCTGCAAGAGTCAGCCGAACATATACACTAACAACATGTGCTGCGTAAAGATTCTCTATTAGGCCCGGTGCAGGGGCTCATGCCTGTGATCTCAGCACTTTAGGAGGCTGAGGTGGGAGGACTGCTTGAGCCCAGGAGTTCAAGACCAGCCCTGACAACAGAGTGAGACCTCCATCTCTACCAAAAACGTAAAAATTAGCCAGGCATAGTGGCACACGTCTGTAGTCCCAGCTACTTGGGAGGCTGAGGCAAAGGATCACGTGAGCCATGATCACACCACTGACCTCCAGCCTGAGCAACAGTGCAAGAACCTGTCTCAAAATAAATAAATAAATAAGATTTTCTACCGGGAATGCTTTTATTAACTGAAGAATCCTTTAATTATAATTGTGGGTTTTTTTTTTTAATTACAGATTCACAAGAAGTTTCAAAGAAAGAACAGAGAGGTCCCATGTCCCCCTCACCCAGCTGCCCCAGTGGCTACATCCTCCATAAACAGAGTACACCAGCAAAGACAGGAAACAGAAATGGATGCAACATGCATGTGTGTAGTTCCACGAAACAGACGTGGATGCGACGTGCATGTGCGTGATTCCGTGAAACAGATGTGGATGCAACGTGCACGTACGTGGTTCCATGAAACACATGTGGATGCAACGTGCATGTGTGTGGTTCCACGAAACACACGTGGATGCAACGTGCACGTGCGTGGTTCCATGAAACAGACGTGGATGCAAGGTGCACGTGTGTGGTTCCACGAAACAGATGTGGATGCAACGTGCACGTGCGTGGTTCCACGAAATAGACATGGATGCAATGTGCACGTGTGTGGTTCCAGGAAACAGACGTGGATGCAACATGCGTGTGCGTGGTTCCAGGAAACAGACGTGGATGCAATGTGCATATGTGTGGTTCCAGGAAATAGACATGGATGAAACATGCACGTGCGAGGTTCTCTGCCACCTTACGGAATTTCCTGCAACCACCACAATTGAGATATAGGACATTTCCACCACCCCAAACCCTTCCCTCCTGTTGCCCCTTTATAGTCATCCCTGACCCCTACACCACCCCCACCCCGGGCAATCACTTACATATACTCTAGCTCTATAATTCTGCCATTTCAAGAATGTTATATAGGCTGAGAGAAGTAGTTCATGTCTATCATCCTTGCTCTTTGAGAGGTTAAGGCAGGAAGATCACATGAGGTTAGGAGTTCAAGACCAGCCTGGGTAAGATAGTGAGACTCTACAAAAAATGTTAAAACTAAGGCTAGGCAGGGTGGCTCATGCCTGTAATGCCAGCGCTTTGGGAGGCCAAGGTGGGCAGGTTGCTTGAGCTCAGGAGTTCGAGACCAGCCTGGACAACTGGTAAAACCTCGTCTCTACAAAAAAAATTTTTAAAAATTAGCCAAGCATGGTGGTGCTTACCTATAGTCCTATCTACTCGGGATACTGAAGTGGGAGGATCACCTGAGCTCAGGAGGTTGAGGCTGCCATGAGCTGAGATCACACCACTGCACTCCAGCCTGGGTGACAGAGTGAGACTCTGTCTTGGAAAAAAAAAAAAAAAATTTAAAAACTAGCCAGGCGTGGTGGTGTATACCTGTAGCCCTAGCTGCTTGGGAGGCTGAGATGGGACGATCACTTGAGCCCAGAGGTTTAAGGCTGCAGTGACCTATGTTCGTACCACTGCACTCCAGCCTGAGCAACAGAGTGAGACCCTGTCGAAAAGAAAGGAAAGAAAGGAAAGGAAAGAAGGAAAGGAGGGGAGGAAGTGAGGGAGGGAGGGAGAAATGTTACATGAAATATAGAAAGTGATCCTTTTTTTTTTTGAGATGGAGTCTTGCTCTGTTGCCCAGGCTGGTGTGCAGTGGTGCGATCTCAGCTCACTGCACCCTCCGCCTCCCAGGTTCAAGCAATTCTCCTGCCTCAGCCTCCCAGTTAGCTGGGATTACAGGCACCTGCACCTAATTTTTGTATTTTTAGTAGAGATGGGGTTTCACCACGTTGGTCAGGCTAATCTCAAACTCCTGACCTCAGGTGATCCAGTGACCTCGAACTCCCAATGTGCTGAGATTACAGGCGCGAACCACCGCACCCAGCCAGAAGGTGACCTTCTAAGATTGGCATTTTTCATTTGGTGCAATGCCACTAAAATTCACTTAAGTTATTGCATGCATCAATAATTCACTTCTAGGCCGGGCACGGTGGCTCACGCCTGTAATCCCAGCACTTTGGGAGGCTGAGGCAGGTGAATCACCTGAGGTCAGGAGTTCAAGACCAGCCTGGCCAACATGGTGAAACCCCGTCTGTACTAAAAATATAAAACTTAGCCGGGCGTGGTGGTGGACGCCTGTAATCCCAGCTACTCAGGAGGCTGAGGCAGGAGAATTGCTTGAACCCAGGAGACGGAGGTTGCAGTGAGTCAACATGGTGCTACTGCACTCCAGCCTCGGCGACCGAGTGAGACTCTGTCTCAAACAAACAAACAAACAAAAAAATTCACTTCTTTTATTGCTCAGTAGTATAATTTTTTAGAAGATTAAAAGTGACACAAGCTTACTGTCAAAAACTTTGATAGTACAGAAAAAAATTAAAAAAAAAACGATCAACCACCCGTTATCAAAGAAATGTATGTTAAAACAGGAAGATACCAATTTTCGCCTAACAGACTGTACAAATGGGAAGGGACAGTGTGTAGCCGGCCTCCACAATGGCCCCCCAGTGACTCCTGCCCGCTGGTATTCACACCTGACCTGGGGAATCGATGGGTTACTGTGGAAATGACAATGACTTCTGAGCTGTGGTCATAAGAGTCACTGCAGTTCCCATCTGGCTCACTCTAGGGGATGCCAGTGGCCATGCTGTGAGGTCACTGAGGAAGCCTCTGGAGGAGGCAGCCCACACGAGGAGGAACGAGGCCTCCCACCAACAGCCACGTGGGCACACCATCTTGGATGTGGTTCCTCTAGCCTCAGTCAAGCCTTCAGATGCCTGCAACCCCTGCCAGCATCCTCACTGCAACTTGATGAGTGATCACCCAGCTAAGCCACTGCTGGATTTGTAACCCACAGAAACTGGGAGGTAAGAAATGTTTGTTCTAAACTATGGCTTTCAGGAAATCTATGACATGGAAAGATAACTAATACAAGTAAGACTCAGTGTTGTGAAGGTACAGGAAAATGATTTGAAGATAATTTCTACAGTATAGAAGTTACTCTTTTGACCATTACCCTTGATGCAAATATTTTGCTCCTGATTGATCATCGCTTTTCAGTTCTATAACATGAATTACCTCTTTGTGTGTGTGTGTGTGTCTGTGTGTGTTTGAGACAGAGTCTCGCTCTGTCACCCAGGCTGGAGTGCAATGGCACCATTTCAGCTCACTGCAACCTCCGCCTCCCAGGTTCAAGCAATTCTCCTGCCTCAGCCTCCCGAGTAGCTGGTACTACAGGCACCCGCCACCACACCAAGCTAATTTTTGTATTTTTAGTAGCGACAGGCTTTCACCATGTTGGCCAGGCTGGTCTCGAACTCCTGACCTTGTGATCCACCCACTTCGGGCTCCCAAAGTGCTGGGATATACAGGTGTGAGCCACCGTGCTGGCGAATTGTCTCTTTTAGAAAGTGAATAAACATCCTAATTTCCCTTTGGCATAAATCTGGCTTTTTCCAGCCAGGTGTTACAGCTCACACCTGTAATCCCAGCACTTTGGGAGGCTGAGATGGGAGGATCACTTGAGCCCAGGAGTTCGAGACCAGCCTAGGCAATATGGGGAGACCCCATCTCTTAAAAAAAAAAAAAAATGAAATAGCCAGGCACAGTGGCACATACCTGTGGTCCCAGTTACTTGGGAGGCTGAGGTGGTAGACTTGCTTGAGCCCAGGAGGTCAAGGCTACAGTGAGTTGTGACTGCACCACTGCACTCCAATCTGGGCAACAAATCAAGACCCTGTCTCCAAAAAAAAAAAAAAAAATCAGGCTGGGCGCAGTGGCTCATGCCTGTAATCTCAGCACTTTGGGAGGCGGGCAGATCACTTGAGGTCAGGAGTTCAAGACAAGCCTGGCCAAAATGGTGGAACCCCTCTCTACTAAAAATACAAAAATTAGCTGGGCATGCTGGCACGTGCCTGTAATCCCAGCTACTTGGGAGGCTGAGACAGAAGAATATCTTGAAGCCAGGAGGCGGAGGCTGCAGTGAGCCAAGATGACGCCATTGCACTCCAGCCTGGGCAACAAGAGTGAAACTCCACCTCAAAAAAAAAAAAACTCGTTTTTTTTTTCCTATTTGCCTAGAGTTGTACGCGTCTGCCCTTCATCCTCTCCTTGCTGCCCTGGGGTAGCCTTTTTATTACCTCTCCCACATTCCCAGCCCAGAAAACTTTCCATCATGTGAAAATACTCGGTAAGCTGATAGCTACTCTTCAAAAGCAAAATGTGCTGCGCAGGCAGCTGTTCTAACAATCTCAACACGGATGTGCTAATGCATGTTGTTTGCTCTACTCGCTGGAGCATGAAGGCAATTGTGCACATGTATGTATTTTTTTAAGCAGGGCATCGCATGGCCTCGACGGGGATTACCCATAGGAGAGATGAGTTTTGCTGAGAACGCCTGAGTGAGCATGGAGCAGAGCTCCGTGAGCACCTGCACCCAGCTGGGTAAGGAACAAGTCAGGAAAAACATGCAGAAAACGAAGCACAATGATCTTAAAGCCCCCGAGCCAATAATCGGCTGCTTAGGCCCTTGCTTAAGTAAGGGATGCGATTTGTAAACTAACTGTGATCACTGGCATAAGGGTCCTTATTCCCACTGCAATTATAAGGAAGGGATAAAGCTCATTAAAAGAAGGGGCTCTGCTAGGCGTGGTGGTTCACGCCTGTAATCCCAACACTTTCAGAGGCTGAGGCGGGTGGATCACTTGAGGTCAGGAGTTCAAGACCAACCTGGCCAACATGGTGAGAAACCTCATCTCTACTAAAAATACAAAAATTAGCCAGTGTGGTGGCGCACGCGTGCAACCCTAGCTACTCAGGAGGCTGAGGTGGAAGGATGGCTTGAACTGGGGAGGTGGAGATTGCAGTGAACTGTGATCACGACACTGCACTCCAGCCTGGGTGACAGAACGAGACTCCATCTCAAAATAAAATAAAATAAAAAGGCCAGGCACGGTGACTCACGCCTGTAATCCCAGCACTTTGGGAGGCCAAGGCGGGTGGATCACGAGGTCAGGAGATGGAGACCATCCTGGCTAACACGGTGAAACCCCATCTCTACTAAAAATACAAAAAATTAGCCAGGCGTGGTGGCGGGCGCCTGTAGTCCCAGCTACTCGGGAGGCTGAGGCAGGAGAATGGCGTGAACCCGGGAGGAGGAGCTTGCAGTGAGCCGAGATCAAGCCACTGCACTCCAGCCTGGGGGACAGAGCTAGACTCTGTCTCAAAATAAATAAAAAATTAATAATAATAAATAAAAAATAATTTTAAAAAGGGGGGGCTCAAATACTTAAGAGAAGAGATGGTGGGAGTGAAGAGAAGACAGGCTAAGGTAAAGGGGTAGGGGGTGTGAAACAGACACAGAATTATAACCCACCCTCGAGACAGGGCCGGGTTTAAAAAAATAAAAGGCAACTGGCTGGATTCAGCCAATACTGTATGTAACAGAGAGAGAGAGAGAGAGACACCCCACCCAGTTCAGTCTCCACCCAGACACCCGTATTACAAGTTCTGGGAAGACTGGCTTATGTCATCACTAGGAATCAAGTATATTTTTAGTTTTTTAGTTTTGGGTTTAGATTTTTAGTTTTGGGTTTTTGGGTTTTTTTTAAGGATTCACATTTGACCGTTCCCACTTTACAGGAGAAACCAGGAGCTCATGAAGTGTCTGAGACATTGGGTTAAAGCACACACATTTAAAGAGACGAGGAAAAGAAAAGAGACGCAGCGTTCTCGTTCTCCTTCTCAGGATTACGAAAGAGGCGACTGGGTTGGCACCCTAGGGAGGTTCCCACATGCACTGCAGTGCCTGAGGCAGGCCAGTCTCACAGGAGCCTCTTAGGGATCAACGAAATGTGGTCTGCCTGTACTGTGGCAGATTACTAGGACATAAAAGGAATGAAGTACTGATCCATGCTACAATGTGGATGAACCTTGGTAACACTGTGCTGAGCGAAAGCAGCCAATCACAAAAGGCCACATATCGTATGATCCAATTATACAAAATGTCCAGAACAGGGAAACCCAGGAAAGAAAGCAGAGAGGTGGGTGCCAGGAGCTGGGGGAGGCAGGAACAGAGAGTGACTGCTAATTGGTATGGGGTTTCCTTTCGGAAAATGGAAATGTTCTGGAACTAGGGGTGGTGGCTGCATAACCTCTTGAAAAATGCTAAAAACCACTGAGCTGCAGGCTTTAAAAGGGTATTTCTGTGGTATATGAATTATATGCTAATTGGAAGAAAGGAGCTGGCTGGACGCAGTGGCTCATGCCTATAATCCCAGCACTTTGGGAGGCCAAAGCAGGTGAATTGCTTGAGCCCAGGAGTTCGAGACCAGCCTGAGCAACATGGCAAAACTTCATTTCTACAAAAAAACTTAAAAAAAAAAATTAGCCGGACACAGTGGTGCATGCCTGTGATCCCAGCTACTCAGGAGGCTAAGGTGGGAGGATCGCTTGAGCCTGGGAAGTCGAGGCTGCAGTGAGCCACGATCGTGCCACTGCACTCCAGCCTAGGCAATAGAGTGAGACCCTGTCAGAGGGGTGACCCTGGGGACGCAGAGCTGGAGCACGGAGCAGTCCCCTAAGTCTCCTTTCCCATGATGCAATCCCTTCCCGTTCTCCACCCAGCAGCCAGGTCACCACGGGATCACCCAGCCCTTGCTCAGAACCCTGAGGATGGCCCACTCCCTCTCACACCTCCCCACACTCCTGGACTCACCACCGAGGCCCCCCAGCTCAGCCTTCCTGGCTGTTCCCCACAGACACAGAGCCTCCTCCAGCCCAGGGCCTTCTTCTGGCTGTTCCTTGTGCCTGGGAACATGACTTCCGCAGAGGTGCGGGGAGGAGATTCCAGGTACAGGGGTCAGCCAGAGGAAGGCTTCATCAAGTTCCGTAGACTCCTCCAAACAGGCTTTCCCTGGCAGCCCTGTCTAAAACAGCCCTACACCCCACCCCATCATCCCTTTCCCATCACAATGCTTTACTTATTCTTCCAAGCATGTTTTCTTACTTATTGTTAAACCACCACGCTTTGCCCCCCGGAACATCAGCGTCTCCCAGGGCAGGCAGCTTGTCTCCTTGCAGAGGAGGCTTTTTTTTTTTTTTTTTTTTTTTTTGAGACGGAGTCTTGCTCTGTCGCCCAGGCTGGAGGGCAATGGCATAATCTCGGCTCACTGCAACCTCCACCTCCCGGGTTCAAGCGATTCTCCTGCCTCAGCCTCCAGAGTAGCTGGGATTATGGGCACCCACCACCACGCCTGGCTAATTTTTTGTATTTTTAGTAGAAATGGGTTTCACTATGTTGGCCAGGCTGGTCTCGAACTCCTGACTTCAGGTGATCTGCCCGCCTCAGCCTCCCAAAGTGCTGGGATTACAGGCGTGAGCCACTGCACCCAGCCCTAATGAGGCATTTAATACAGATCTGAGGAACAAATGGATGTAACAGACAGGTGGGCATGCAAAGGGCACGGGAGAGCCAGTCAGAGCCCTGACCCCAGACCACCTATCTACTCTGCCATGACCATGTCAAGGCTGAGAACCAAGGAAAACAGCAATGGAACACTGACCAGCCCCATATGGTACGTCGAGACGTTGCTCCATGGCTCTTCACCAGGAATGTGCATCAGAAGTGCCCATGGGCTTTGAAAATACATGGAAGCCTGGGCCCCAGCCCCGGAAGATGTGTCCCAGTAAGTCTCGGTGGGAACTGGACTGCCATGATCTTTACCAACTGCACAGGGGCTGCTGGTCCTTCCCACGATGGCAGAAGGGAGGCCCTGCTCTGTAGCCTGGGCAGGGCCACTCACTGCCTGTTTCCAGTGGTTTGGTTTCTTGTGCTGATCTAGGGAGTGAGTGAAGTTTCTGATGAGTATTTTATACCACAGTGAATTAATCTTTCTCTGGCTTCTAATAAAAATTGCCAACTGGGGCCGGGCATGGTGGCTCACGCCTGTAATCCCAGCACTTTAGGAGGCCGAGGCGGGGGGAATCACCTGAGGTCAGGAGTTCGAGACCAGCCTGGCCAACATGGGGAAACCCCATCTCTACTAAAACTACAAAAATTAGCCAGCAATGGTGGTGCTCGCCTGTAATCCCAGCTACTTGGGAGGCTGAGGCAGGAGAATCACCTGAACTCAGGAGGCAGAGGTTGCAGCAAACTGAGATCACTGCATTCCAGCCTTGGCAACAGAGGAAGATTCTATCTCAAAAAAAAAAAAAATTGCCAACTTGGAGACTCATTTTGGCATTTAATATAGATTGTCAACTGTTTCTGTGTATGTTGGCCTTATTTCCATGATTAGAATGTAATATTCTGGAGGCAGAACACGACTTCAGTTTATCTCTGAGTCTTACATTACAAGATGTCTTAGACACAAAGAGTGTCCAATAAACTCTTGCTGAACATACAATTTTTTTTTTTTTTTTTTGAGACAGAGTCTCACTCTGTCGCCCAGCCTGGAGTGCAGTGGCGCAATCTCAGCTCACTGCAAGCTCCGCCTCCTGGGTTCACACCATTCTCCTGCCTCAGCCTCCTGAGTAGCTGGGACTACAGGCGCCCGCCACCACGCCTGGCTAATATTTTGTATTTTCAGTAGAGACGGGGTTTCACCATGTTAGCCAGGACAGTCTCGATCTCCTGACCTCGTGATCCGCCCACCTTGGCCTCCCAAAGTGGAACACACAATTTAAAAATAATAATAAATTTTTAAAAGCTGCACAGGGGCCGGGTGCAGTGGCTCATGTCTGAAATCCCAACACTCTGGGAAACCAAGATGAGAGGACTGCTTGAGCCCAAGATTTCAAGACCTCCCTGGACAACATAGCAAGACCCTGTCTCTACTAAAAAAAAAAAAAAAAAAAAATCAGCCATGCATAGTGGTGTGTGCCTATAGTCCCAGCTACTCAGGAAGCTGAGGTGGGAGGATTGCTTGAGCCTGGGAGATTGAGGCTGCAGTGAGCCATCCATGATCATGCCAGTGCACTCCAGCCTGGGCCACCACACCCGGCCTCTGCACCCAGCCTCAACTTTATTTTAAAAGGAAAAGCCAATGGGAAGAGATTCTAGTTATAGTTCCATCATTAACTTTCTGTGTGACACAAGCTAGTTACTTAATACTGAGTATCTCCATTTTGCCCATAAAGCATGACCACACACTGGCCCTTTCCCCTCCCCAGCAAAAATAAAGTCGACAGAAATCTTAATTACATCAGAAAGGTGCCAACATATGGTTTAGAAATCCTATCTCTCCAAATATGTGGCACCGCATGCATGCACCATCTAGAACTTCCACGGAGGAAATCCCAGGTCTCGCCATCAGGACTTACTTGCAATGTAAAGGGCAACTCTGTCATTCTCTTTGTGCCGCAGGAGGTTTTCTGCATAGTTGAGCCGACTGCCTTTGAACCACTCGGGGACATCTGCGATTCCTTTCGATGTGTCCACAACCTATAGAGAATGACAACAAACCAAGACGCACACACATGAGACTACGCTACAGATCAGCAAAACATGAGACTATGTCACAAATCAGCAAAAGTGGTTCTTCTTCCCAGGAAGCCAGCTCACTCATTGGCCCAGAGCATTTTTAAATCATTTTATGGACTGAACTCTGAACTGGCCTAAAAGCTAGAAACTGAAAGTAGGGATTAATGCCAACGGAAAACAACCATCCCCAGTAACATATGTGTTCCACAAATACTCATTAAACACCTACTCAGTGAGAGATCCTAAAGACAAAGACGACACCCAACACGTCAGGCTCTGCCCAGACGCATGGAAACCAGGAGAGCAAGCTCCAGGACCACCTGCCCCTTGCCTACAACTTTTGGGGGCTTCAGCCTTTGCTTCCTTCCTTGGAGTGCTGGAACCTTGATTTTTATTGTCAAAGTCCCAAAAGATCAACATTTCAAAATGGTTTGCCCCAAGGAGACAATAAATTCGACTTTGAATGGCAGGACTCCCTTTTTCCCGATATTTATTGATTTACAGTGTAAGGAATTGAAAAGTTTTTTCTAAGCTGCAGGTTAAAAAAATAACAAAACTCCAGCCAGGCGCAGTGGCTCACGCCTGTAATCCCAGCACTTTGGGAGGCCGAGGCAGGCGGGTCACAAGGTCAGGAGCTCGAGACCATCCTGGCTAACACGGTGAAACTCCATCTCTACTAAAAATACAAAAATTAGCCAGGCATGCCAGCGTGCGCCTGTAGTCCCAGCTGCTGGGGAGGCTGAGGCAGGAGAATGGTGTGAACCCAGGAGGCGGAGCTTGCAGTGAGCCAAGATCACGCCACTGCACTCCAGCCTGGGGGACAGAACGAGACTCCATCTCAAAAAAAAAAAAAAAACTCCAGCTGGGCACAGTGGCTCACGCCTGTAATCCCAGCACTTTGGCAGGCCAAGGCAGGCGGATCACCTGAGGTCAGGAGTTTAAGACCAGCCTGGCCAACATGGTGAAACCCCATCTCTACTAAAAATGCAAAAATTAGCCGGGCGTGGTGGCGGGCGCCTGTAATCCCAGCTACTCAGGAGGCTGAGGCAAGAGAATCACCTGAACCCAGGAGGTGGAGGTTGCAGTGAGCCGAGATGCACTCCAGCCTGGGTGACAAAAGCGAGACTCGGTCTCAAAGAAAAATAAAGAACGAAACTTCTAAATAGTTTAAAAAACTAATGCCGGGCACGGTGGCTCATGCCTGTAATCCCAGCACTTTGGAAAGCTGAGGCGGGCAGATCATGAGGTCAGGAGGTTGAGACCATCCTGGCCAACATGGTGAAACCCCATCTCTACTAAAAATACAAAAATTGGCTGGGCGTGGTGGCGCATGCCTGTAATCCCAGCTACTCGGGAGGGTGAGGCAGGAGAATCACTTGAACCAGGGAGTTGAAGGTTGCAGTGAGCCGAGATCACACCACTGCACTCTAGCCTGGCAAAAGAGCAAGAATCCATCTCAAAAAAAAAAAAAAAAAACTATGACAATGTGGCCAGGCATGGTGGCTAATGCCTGTAATCCCAGCACTTTGAGAGGCTGAGGCGGGTGGATCACCCAAGGTTGGGAGTTTGAGGCCAGCCTGGGCAACATGGCAAAACCCTGTCTCTACTAAAAATACAAAAATTAGCCAGGCGTGGTGGTGCATGACTGTAATCCCAGTTACTCAGGAGGCTGAGGCAGGAGAACTGCTAGAACCTGGGAGGTGGAGGTTGCAGTATACTAAGATGGCCCCACTGCACTCCAGCCTGGGCAATAGAGCAAGACTCCACCTCAAAAAAAAAAAAAAAAAAAAACTACAACAATGTAAATGTACTTAACATCACTGAAGTGTACAGTTTAAAATAGTTAAGATGGTTACATAATAGTTTATGATATATGTATTTTAACATAATTAAACCTTTTTTTTTGAGACAGGGTCTGGCTCTATTGCCCAGGCTGGAGTGCAGTGGCGCAGTCACAGCTCACTGCAGCCTCAACCTCCTGGGCTCAACCAATCCTCCCACCTCAGCCTCCTGAGTAGGTGGGACCACAGGCATGCACCACCACGACCAGCTAATTTATTTTTTTGAAGACAGGGTCTTGCTATGTTGCCTAGCCTGCACTCAAACTCCTGAGCTCAAGGGATCCTCCCATCTTGGTCTGTCAGAGTGCTGGGATTATAGGTGTGAGCCACTGCACCCAGCCCCAAATATTTAAAAATTAAAAACAAACAAACAAACAAACAAAACTACTATTTAGGATCACTCAAGTTCCCAGGACAGGGCCTGGGGTCCCCATACAACAGAGGATTAACAGGCTGCAAAGTTCTCGATGAGGTCTGTGATAATTTAATGCCAGTTCTCTAGGGCAATGACTTTTTCCCATCTGCATGAGGTTGTAAAAAGGAGATACAATTCAGTATTCCCCAAAATTAGCATTTCACTTTGAAGCACGACCACAAAAAGAGATGATATCCACGGAAAATCTCTACTTACCTCATCATACACACGTGAGAAGACAATTCCACTGAATTTCCAGAACTCTGCCCAGAAGTCTGAATATGACTCAACGGACCAATGGTACAAGTCATCATAACTCTCTAAAAATGAAATAGCTCAGATTAACCTTAGAAGGGAAATCTTGGCAATCCATTAATAAGATGGACACACCTCAGAAGCCTTGAGCATGTCCAAGCGAGCCAAATTCATCTGAGGAGAAATGGTCTGGGGGAGGAAGGAGCTTAATTTGTATTGACGCAAACCCAACACCACTAGTCCCCAAAAAGAACAAAAGCTGAGGCGGTGATGTTTTGAGTCATCTTCAGTGATTTTATATCTTAACTACCATGCCTAAGAACATAGACTCTAGAGCCCAAATGCCCGGGTTCAAATCCTGGTTCTGCCACTTATTAGCTTTGTGACCTCAGGCAAGTGCAAAATGGGGATAATTAATAATCCCCCTCCAGCCACAGGGCTGTTGTGAGGATTTAAATGAGCACATGTAGAAAGTGCTTAGAACAGGGCCTTGGAAATTAACACCATGGCATTAGGAGTTCACCATTATTATACCATACAACCTTAGGAAATTTATAGTCGATACATTGGAAAACCCAGAAGTTCAAAACTGGTAGTCTGTTGATGACTTCTCAAGGCCAGTATAATGTTGGGAGGTGTTACTACTTATTTCGATTTTTGAAGCAATATGTTCACAAGACTCAAAATTACGAAAGTGTAAAAAGTCATATGGAGGCCAGACGCGGTGGCTCACGCCTGTAATCCCAGTGCTTTGGGAGGCCGAGGCAGGTGGATCACCAGGTCAGGAGCTCAAGATCAGCCTGGCCAAAATAGTGAAACCCCATCTCTACTAAAAATACAAAAAAAATTAGCCGAGCATGGTGGCGGGTGCCTGTAATCCCAGCTACGTGGGAGGCTGAGGCAGAGAACTGCTTAAACCTGGGAGGCCGAGGATGAAGTGAGCCGAGATCGCGCCACTGCACTCTAGCCTGGGCAACAGAGCGAAACTCCATCTCAAAAAAAAAAAAAAAAAAAAAAAAAACAAAAGTTACATGGTAAAAGGTCTCCCTCCTTTTATTCCACAACAGTCTAACTTTTATGCCCAGGGGAGTTCCCCCTTGCAGATTCCACTCAGTTATACTCAAAATAACTTTTCCCCACCATCAAGACATGAGCTGGAAACTTGACACAAAGAGATGTATTTAACTCCTAAAGGAAATGTGACTTCACTGAAAAACTAACCCCAGCCTCGCTGAGGACTCTTTACCCTCTCAACTGCCTAGGATCCAAGTGGATTGGCCACAGTGAGCCAATCAGTCCTTAGGGACAGGAGAATTTTATCCTATCGGGGACCAAGGGAAGCCATACAGTGCTTCTGTTTCAAAGCACAGCCTTGCTAGGGCTCCAGGAAGGCAGAGACTGGCAAGGATATAATAACATAACAGGAAGATGGCCAATGGGGTATCAGGAATGGGGGAAAAGGTATAATACAACCGCTGAGCTGAATTATCTCACTGCCATCAGTGAAGTCAAGCTTGCCCATCCTCACTGTTCCCAGCCCCGGTGGGGAAGACAAGAAGAGACACGATGCTCCCTGCCCTTCAGCAGTGTCCCCTCTGACTGTGGTGTCCAGGAATGGTCCTCAGTTATGTTGGACAAGGAGGGATCACAAGAACTGGGGCAGGGACAGCTGAGAGGATCGCTTTAGCCCAGAAGCTCAAGTCTGCAGTGAGCTATGATCCCACCACTGCACTCCAGCCTGGGTGGGCGACAGAGTGAGACCCCATTTAAAAAAAAAAAAAAAGCGCCAGGAGCGGTGGCTCACGCCTGTAATCCCAACCCTTTGGGAGGCCGAGATGGGTGGATTGCTTGAGGTCAGGAGTTTGAGACCAGCCTGACCAACATGGTGAAATCCCATCTCTACTAAATACAAAAAATTAGCTAGGTGTGGTGGTGCATGCCTATAATCCCAGCTACCTGGCAGGCTGAGGCAGGAGAATCTCTTGAACACAGGAGGTAGAGGTTGCAGTGAGCCGAGATCGTGCCACTGCACTCCAGCCTGGGCAACAAGAGCGAAACTCTGTCAACAACAACAACCAAAAAAAAGTATCACAAAAGTGCATTCGCCAACAGCATCACTAAGGAAGGCAGACGCGGCCAGCCCCATGAATCTGGAAGGATGCAGCCACAATGGCCTCTTGACACCACAAGGACCCTGGGAGACGACAGCAAAAGCGGCCGACTTCAGGTGGAAACTTTCCCACTGTCAGCAACTCAGCCCTCTCATCAAATGCGACTCTTCAGACACACTCTTCTGCTCCCACGCTCCCCGCCTCTACCAGGGAGGACGCTGCAACCGCAAGCCCAGGTCTGATTCAGCCTGTGCAAGCTGCTCACACTTAAAAGCCTGTTGTTGCTTTTTTATGGGCTACTTCGTGAATTTGCATCTCCACCTTGTGCAGGGATCATGCAAATTTTTCTACCTAGTATATGTGCTGCCAAAGCAAGCACATAAATCCATTTTTAAATGAAACTCCGGCTTCTCCTGAGAAAAGTGAGTACCTGACTGTGGTCATCAGCCAGTAATTGTCACCTCCAGGCATTCATGGCCCTCTATGGTCCCCTTTCCAACCTGAGAGGGCTGATCTGTGTCACCAACAGGGTATTGTGGAAGTGGCCAAACGTGAGTTCCAAGGCCAGGTTGTAACGGTCACTGCAGCCACATGGCTCTCTTGGGTCACCTGCTCCAGGAGAAGCCAGTGAGGATGCTCACGCAGTCCTAGGTGGCATATGGCAGATGTCTCCTGCACTACCTTGCTGCCACCACCAGCACTAACTTACCGCCATGTGAGTGAGCTCTTGGGGACGGGTGCGTTCCCACTGCAGCCCCTCAGGGACCCTGAGCCAGAACCACCCAACTAGCCACTCCCCAGTCCTGACCCACAGAAACTCAGAGGTGATAAAGGTTTATTCTTGTTTTAAGTCGCTAACTTTTGGGCTGATTTGTCACCAGCAATAGGTAACAAATGCATTGTCCACACCACACAGTGAGGATTAGCTAGAACTGGGAACAGCTGCCTCATCGGGCCCTCAGGCAAATGCCAGAGGCAACAACTAACCAGACGGCAGACTACAGCTCCACTGCCTACAGCTACAAAGTCTTAACTGAGACTTCGTGCCTTGGTTTGTTCAGCTGTGAAATGGGGCTACTACTACCACCTACTTGGTAGGATTACTGAGAGGATTACATTAGTTGATACATATCAGGTGCCAGATGGAGCCCGACATACAGAGAGAGCTCACTGAATAGTAACTATTATTATCTTGGGCACCTGTCTGGTCCCTACAGGCTTCTGAATTTTCAGCCCTTCTTCCTCTCCACCTACGAGAATCTTGGCCAGCCCACACCTTCAAATCTTAGCTGAAGATTTTATCTGCCTCTTTTTTATTATTCATTTTCTTAGAGACAGGATCTTACTCTTCTGCCCAGGCTGGAGTGCAGTGGCATGATCATAGCTCACTGCAGCCTCTAACTCCTGGACTCAAGCAATCCTCTTGCCCCTGCTGCCCAAGTAGCTGAGATTACAGGCTATCCGCCCTTCTAAACCGCATTCTCTGCTAAACCCAGCGCACTGCTGTTGTGCTGGACCCCTGTTAACTCCAATAGATGGCACCAGATTCCAGAGATCTGGAAGCAGTGAGCCAGACACAGGGTTTATTGGAAACTTACCTACAGGGATGGTCTGGGGGCAGCAGGCTGGACAGGAGAACCGCAACCGCTTGTAAAATGCACGCAGTTTATACAGCACCTTCACTCAGCACCCTCCCCTAGCAACTTCCACCTGGTAACCTTTACTTAATCCAAAAGAAAGGGCCTCAATCCCCCTGTAGAGCTTGCATTCCATGGGATGGGCCGGGGGTTCAGATGTTCCTCATAGACAAGGAATAAATCCGGGTTGGCCACTCCTGGATTCCTTAGCTTGGAACTCTGAACACACATTCTTCTGAAGTTACAGCCGTCAGCTGCATCTGTCATACAACAGTGCAGTACTCAGAATGTCAACACCAATGCCCCATTCGTGGAATGCCCAGCGTCCACTAACGTGTGGCACTATCTTCACATGAGCTCTCTCCCCTAGCCACCCGGAGCTATTTGAGAACAGGGCCCAAGCCTTCTATTTGTTGGCAAACTCCATCCCAGCTGCTTGCACAGAGAGCCGACGTGCAGCTTGTGGTACACAGAAGGACACTTGGCACAGTCCTCCAAAAGAGCATGCCTTTGAAACTGGTGCCACCTCCCTGCCTCCTAATTACAGAGGGCTAGTACATGCAGCATGTCTGCCAGAGCTTGCTAGAGGCCTGGAATCACAGGCACATATGCCAGGCTGGAGCTGCAGCCGACCCCAAGGAAGTCTGCATCAGAGGACCCCAGAGCCCCACGTGGATGTGCAGGGAGTGCACAGGTGGCTTCAGCTGGAAGCAGTGACAAGAACCAACCAACCTGTGGTTATGGCAGTGGAAAAGAGGGTGGGTAACCCTACCAGAGCCTCCCAAAATGCAGGGATAGAAACGTCCTGCCAACCTTGGTCTGGGAAGACGGGCTCACGGAGAGGCGGCCGGAGTGGGGAATGCCCCTGCCTTCCTCCCTGAAGCCTGCAGGGCGGGAGCAAGGCTGCTGAGGATGTGTGCCTTGCTCTCTACTGACATCCAGTCCAAAGCATGGCCCCATACTGTATACAGGCTACAAGTGAGCCTCTGCTGGGACACAGAGGAGAGGATACGAGTTCGCGGGCACTGTCTTTAAGCAATAAGAATGCTCACAGCCGGGCGCGGTGGCTCACGCCTGTAATCCCAGCACTTTGGGAGGTCGAGGTGGGTGGATCACAAGGTCAGGAGTTCGAGACCAGCCTGGCCAATATGGTGAAACCCCCGTGTCTACTAAAAATACAAAAAAATTAGCCGGGCTTGGTGTTGCATGCCTGTAATCCCAGCTAATCAGGAGGCTGAGGCAGGAGAACTGCTTGAACCCGGGAGGCGGAGGTTGCAGTAAGCCGAGATCGCGCCACCACACTCCAGCCTGGGTGACAGAGCGAGACTCCATCTCAAAAAAAAAAAAAAGAATGCTCACAAATACACAAAAAGGCAGGGCAGAATGAAAGCCCAAATTACATGTGCTTGGAGAGAAGAGGGAAGGCAGAAATATTCAAAGAGAATAATCAAAAAGAAGATAGCATTTGAGCTGGATCTTCAAGCAAAGCCCAAAGCCTCCAGGGCCAGGAATATGAAAGGGGAGAGTCAGGTGGAAATCACCTTCAAGAGTGGTAAGAGGAGAAAAGGACAAAAACAGTGCTAAATGCCCTCCTCCAAACTAAAGGGAGGGGCCTCACTCAGCTCCGGACAATGCTGCCACGTTGGGAATGCAGACCCAGCATGACAGGCCTTGGGGATCTCAGAGGTTGGAAAGCTTGCTTTTCATATATGGTCTCCCAACTTTTATTTATTTGAGACAGAGTCTTACTCTGTCGCCCAGGCTGCAGTGCAGTGGCGAGATCTCGGCTCACTGCGACCTCCACCTCCTGGGCTCCAGCAACCCTCCCACCTTAGTCTCCAGAGTAGCTGGGACTACAGGCGCATGCCACCACACCCAGATAATTTTTTGTATTTTTCGTAGAGATGGGGGTTTCACCATGTTGCCCAGGCTGGTCTCAAACTCCTAGGCTCAAAAGATCCACCCATCTCAGCTTCTCCAAGTGCTAGGATTACAGGTGTGAGCCACCACGCCCAGCCCCCTCTCCTAACTTTTAAATGCAGGCAACTCAACAGTGTGTCTGGAGATGAGACCTGGCCCATGGGCCACCAGTCTGAGAGCCCTGAAGGAGGGAAAGGAGCTCCGCAGCCATGCTCGGGCCCTCCCAGCACTTGCTCATGTTTACTCCACAACCCCAGGGACCCAGGGCAGAGCTGAGCACTGGGCTTGACCATCTCCTGTCACCTGCACACCCACTCAATGACTCAGGTCCTGTTATGCCCATTTTACAGATGAGGAAACAAGGCATGAAGAGATCCAATGACTTCCTCCTGATCACACAGCTGGTAAGTGGTAGAGCTAGTTCAAAACCCAGGTAGTCGGCCGAGCACGGTGGCTCACACCTGTAATCCCAGCACTTTGGGAGGCCGAGGCAGGTGGATCACCTGAGGTCAGGAGTTCTAGACCAGCCTGGCCTACATGGTGAAACCCCGTCTCTACTAAAAATACAAAAATTAGCCGGGCATAGTGGCAGGCACCTGTAATCCCAGCTACTCGGGAGGCTGAGGCAGGAGAACTGCGTGAACCCAGGAGGCAGAGGTTGCAATGAGCCGAGATTGCGCCGTCGCACTCCAGCCTGGGGGAGAAAAGCGAGGCTTAAAAAAAAAAAAAATCCAGATAGTCAGATTACAAATCCCTTCTCTTCAACACTTCCCACGGAGGAAGGTGGTTTCACCCATCTAATAGGGCTGCCCGATCTGAAATTATTTCATAACATCAGGGCTAGACAGGCACCAGACCAGCATTCTGTTATTGCTGGCAGAGGAAACAGATGGAATCAAGGCAAGGTGACACAGAGGAAGAACATAATCCCACATGGCAGCCTCCTGCTTCTTCCAGGAGTCTCCAGGCTGCCCTAATCCAACACATACTCATTTACCAACTGCTGTCCAGAAGCCCCTGGGGCAACAGACTACACCTGTCTCCAAGGGAGAGGAAGGGAAGGAGAGGAACAGCTCTGGGTTAGCCTAGGAAAATGACTCTGTGGAAGCTCCCCACTGCTGTGGAGGGCCTGGAAGCTGCCAGGCAGCCGTCTGCAATTTTGTGGTCAACAAGGAACCACTGAGAACTTCTGAGCCAAGGAGTGACAAAGTAAGACCTGTATGCTTCAAGATTACTCTGGCAAAGCAAGCAGGATGCAAATGGATGGAAAAGCAGGAAGCAGGAAAACCAACCACTGTTTGGTGAGGAGGAAAGGAGGCCCCAGAACCCCTGACAAGGGGCTGCAAAGGAGGAGATGTGAGCGACATGGGGCTGTGGCAGAAGACTTCTGGTGCCACAGGTGACTGGGGTGTCCATCCCTGTGAGCCTGAGCAAGAACAGTGACGCCACCAACAGAAACAAGGGAGTCCCTGCGCCAGCGGAGGGGGTGAGGAGGGGAGACCATGAGTTAAAAATCCCCTAGGAGGCCAGGCGCCGTGGCTCACACCTGTAATCCCAGCACTTTGGGAGGCCAAGGCGATCGGATCACCTGAGGTCAGGAGTTCGAGACCAGCCTGACCAACATGGAGAAACTCCGTCTCTACTAAAAATACAAAATTAGCCAGGCGTGGTGGTGTATGCCTGTAATCCCAGCTACTCGGGAGGCTGAGGCAGGAGAATCACTTGAACCCGGGAGGCGGAGGTTGCAGTGTGCCGAGATCTCGCCATTGCACTCCAGCCTGGGCAACGAGAGAGAAACTGTCTCAAAAAAAAAAAAAAAAAATCCCCTAGGAATACCTAGGGGAGGCAGGGTGGAGGGGTGGAGCTGGTAGTTGGGCAAGCCAGCTAGAGCTCAGGAAGAGCACCCGGAGCGGTTACCCCACGGAGAAGGAGCCTTTGCCCCACCCGCACCGAGAGAGGCAGTTTCTGAGGTTCAAGGTGATGGGTGGAAAGAGAGTCTTTTACTAGGTTCTGTTTGGGGGCTGGGAGTGTAGACACGTGGACAGGGCCTCCTGCCTGACCATCCTGCTAGGTGCTGGCCTCCAGCAGGGGCAGCTGGAGATGAGGGAGGTCAGGGGGACAGAGTGCACGGCACTGGGGACTGGCAAGGGACCCCCACAAACAGAGGAAGAGCTGCAAGTCAAAAAGGCCCTATGTCCGGGGGAAGCCCCCACAGGCCGGAGGTCAAGACTCCAGGGAGCACCTCACAGGTAGGAAAGCCTAGCAAGGGGTCACACGGTCAACAGGCAGCTGGCCCTCCCGAGGGGTGACACTCCCGGGGAGAGGGTGACCCCCACATGCAGAGGAGACGCTGCAGAGTCAGGAAGTGCCAGGAGGTGCTGTGGAGGGGTGATGTTCCCCAAGACTGGGGGGAACCCCGCAGTCAGAAGGCCTCCCCGCCATCAAGTGGCTCCTCCAGCCCCAGAAGCGTGAAACTAGCCATGGGGAGACCACCCAACCACCCTGCACGGCTCCCGCCCATCCCCCGCAGGCCCGGCCGCGCGCCCGACTCTCACCCAGCGCCAGGCCGCAGGCGGCGCCCACAGCCGCCCGGAAGCGGTCCATCTGCGTGTTCTTCTTACTGTCAGGCTCCCACATCACCTGGCACTCCAGGATCTCCTCCCGACCGGGGCGCTCCTCCTTGGACATGGCGGCGGCGGGCGGCCGGGGCTGCGACGAGGGCTGGGGACCAGGGGCCGGGGCTGAGGCGAGGGCCGGGGACCTGGGACCGGAGGAAGCGACGGTCAGGAGCGCCTGGCGGGCTGGGTCAGCGACGGCGGCGGCGGGGAACAAGGGACTGAACGGCCGCCGCCGCCTCCTGCGGGCCGCTTGGCCCAGGCCCCGCCCCGCAGGCCCCGCCTCGAATCCCCGCCCCCTTCCAGGCCCCGCCCTCCCGCCTGTAACCCTCCGCTGAGTGCAGCGCCGCTCAAAGGAGTGCTCGCAGCCGCCGGCTCCAGCGCCCGCGGCCGGGGGGCGTGGGGGTGAGGGGCGCTCACGAGCCTTGGCCCCAGCTCCCCGACCTCACCTGGAGCTGGAGGGCGTTAGGGCAGCCGGAGAAGCCAGGCGTCCGAGCCCGCTGTTTCCTACACGTGTACATCATTCATTCGCTATTTCTTCCTGCAGGTCTTTACTGAGAGCCTGCGGCATTCGGAGGACTTTGGGAGCTTTGCGGATACAGCAGCGAACAAAACAAAATTCTTGTTCTCTGTCAACAGGAGAGGAGGGGTACAGGTGTGAGGAAGACGGGAGACGATTAACAAATAAGTACATCGTGTACATACACAAGATAATGTCATAGTATAATACAATAATATACATAGTATGCCAATGGGTATCAAAATACACATTTGTGAAAGGAAAATAAATCTTGGGGCCCCACTACTAAGCTAAAGGGAAAAGAAAAGCTGGGAACTGCTTAGGGCTAACCTGCCTCCATTCTATTCAAAGTCACCCCTCTGCTGAGTTAAATGCACACCTGATTGCCTCCTTTGCAGAGGCTAATTGAAAACTCAAAAGAATGCAGCCATTTGTCCCTTATCTACCTATGACCTGGAAGGCCCCCTCCCCGCCTTAGCTTTTTTTTTTTTTTTGAGTCTCACTCAGTCGCCCAGGCTGGAGTGCAATGTCCCAATCTCAGCTCACTGTAACCTCTGCTTCCCAGGTTCAAGCGATTCTCCTGCCTCAGCCTCCTGAGTAGCTGGGATTACAGGCACACGCCATCATGCCCAGCTAATTTTTCGTGTTTTTTTTTTTGTTGTTGTTGTTGTTTGTTTTGTTTTTTTGAGACGAAGTTTCGCTCTTGTTACCCAGGCTGGAGTGCAATTGCGAGATCTCGGCACACGGCAACCTCCATCTCCCAGGTTAAAGCAATTCTCCTGCCTCAGCCTCTCGAGTACCTGGGATTACAGGCATGTGCCACCACGCCTGGCTAATTTTGTATTTTTAGTACAGACAGGGTTTTTCCATGTTGGTCAGGCTGGTCTCCAACTCCCGGCCTCAGGTGATCCGCCCGCCTCAGCCTCCCAAAGTGCTGGAATTACAGGCGTGAGCTACCGAGCCCGGCTCATTTTTGCATTTTTGTAGAGACGGGATTTCACCATGTTGGCCAGGCTGGTCTTGAAGTCCTGACCTCAGGTGATCCACCCGCCTCGGCCTCCCAAAGTGCTGGGATTACAAGAGTGAGCCCAGGTCTGAGAGCACCCCCTCCAGAGCCTCCCTGATCTCCCAAAATTTGGTGGAGATCTAAAGTTTATTTTGCTGTACAACTCTTTTCTTTGCAGTTTTACTTGCTTCCAACAAGGAAGGCAAGGTTTCCTGCTTCCATGACAATGGAAGGCAGGTAACTCCTTTATGGAGTTTGAGCTCGCTTCCAACAGGGAAGATGAGGTCTTTTTTCCTGCTTCTAGAATGGTAGAGAGCAGTCTACAGCCTAAGACCCATCCCTAGGTAAGTAACTGAATTGGGGTTTGTCTTGGCTAAAGTTAAGGTTAACAGCCAGCTGGTCTTAATGTCAGAGGCATTTGAACCAGAGCAACTCCATCTTGAGTGGGGGCTGGGTAAAATGAGGCTGAGATCTACTAGGCTCCATTCCCAGACAGTGAAGGCATTCTAAGTCACAGGATGAGACAGGAGGTCGGCACAAAATACAAGTCATAAACACCTTGCTGATAAAACACGCTGCAGTAAAAAAGCCGGCTAAATCCTACCAAAACCAAGGTGGTGATGAGAGTGACCTCTGCTTGACTTCACTACTACACTCCCATCAGCACCATGACAGTTTACAAATGCCATGGCAATGTCAGGAAGTTACTCTATATGGTCTAAAAAGGGGAGGCATGAATAGTCCACCCCTTGTTTAGCATATCATCAAGAAATAACCATGAGAATGGGCAACCAGCACCCCTCAGGGTGCTCTGTCTATGGAGTAGCCATCTTTTTATTCCTCTACTTTCCTAAGGAACTTGCATTTGCTTTAGTCTGTAGACTCGCCTTGAATTCTTTATTGCGTGAGATCCAAAAACCCTCTCTTGGGGTCTGGATCGGGACCGCTTTCCTCTAACATTAATTTATCCTTACCATTAGAGCGTGCTCAGTGATCATATAAGTTGTGCCATTTTTTGTTTGGCTTAAATGCTTTTTTGGTTGCTTGTTTGTCTCTGTTTTTGTTGTTGCTTTGGTCTTTTCCCATTGGGTTTGATCAACTATATCTGACTTGATCAAATCAAAAGGAAAGTTCCAAATTGCTGGGAACAAGGACTGTAAAGTGGCTAAATTCACACACACACACACACACACACACACACACACACACACACACGTGGCCTGGTAGGGGGAAAAAACAACCAGCAAAAGAAAAAAATTAAAAGAGGAAAGATGTTTGATTTTAACTACTAAAGGGGCTTTATTTACATAAGGCCACCTTTTTGCTAGCCAGGCCAAAGTGAAAGCAATGGCTGTTGCCCCAAGCTGCAGTTCCATAGCTAAGGCTCTGCCTGCTTTTTCTAACCACGACAGCCTAGATTTAGTTCCTAAATCAAGTCCTTTCTGGTTTGCTACTTGGTACTTCTGAAATAGCAGCAATTTGTCCTAACAGAAATATAGTAATGAGATTTTAAAAAGATTTTTTTAAAGGAGCTCAATGGTTAAAAGTCAGCTTCATTAAAAGCTAACATCCAAGATGTGTGTGCGCATGTGCTCGTGTTTGTATTTAAAAGGCTATCATGTTTTTGTTTTTGTTTTTCTCTCCTAGGAACTGATGCTTTTTTTTTAGAGCAAAGGTTTTTTTGTTTTTGTTTTTGTTTTTCTCAGTTGACTGAATTCTGTTTTTTTCATTAACAGCTATTGCAACAGATGCTACTCTGGGGTTTTTAAGGAAGAGTGTAGTTTAGACACTTAGAAATGTCTTTGTTGGCCAGGCACGGTGGCTCACGCCTGTAATCCCAGCACTTCAGAGGCCAAGGCAGATGGATCACAAGGTCAGGAGATCGAGACCATCCTGGCTAACACGGTGAAACCCCATCTGTACTAAAAATACAAAAAATTAGCCAGCCATGGTGGCGGGTGCCTGCAATCCCAGCTACTCAGGAGGCTGAGGCAGGAGGATGGCATGAACCCGGGAAGCAGAGATTGCAGTGAGCCGAGATCACGCCACTGCACTCCAGCCTGGGCAACAGAATGAGACTCTGTCTCAAAAAAAAAAAAAAAGAAATATCTTTGTTAAAAAAAAAAAAATTTAAGCGTACTGTAAAAGCATCACATCGTCTAACTTCAAAATACTTCTCCCTTTTTGGAGACCCAGGATTCAATGTGGGCTCTGCCCAGAGCTCAGAGATCCAGTTAAGAGGTAGGTAGTCCTGGCCGGGCGCAGTGGCTCAGGCCTGTAATCCTAGCACTTTGGGAGGCCGACGCAGGCAGATCACCTGAGGTTGGGAGTTCAAGACCAGCCTGACCAACAGTGAGAAACCCCGTCTCTACTAAAAATACAAAATTAGCTGGGCATGGCGGCGCATGCCTATAATCCCAGCTACTCAGGAGGCCGAGGCAGAAGAATCACTTGAACACAGGAGGCAGAGGTTGCACTGAGCCAAGATCACACCATTGCACTCCAGCCTGGGCAACAAGAGGGAAACTCTGTCTAAAAAAAAAAAAAGAAGAAGAAGAAGTCTGAAATAATCTGTAATCTTTTTAACTTTTTGCTTAAAACATTGCTGATCTTTTTGTTTTTCTGAGTGAAGAAAACTTTTAAGCTATTTATAGCTTTTAACAATTGAGTACGGGATACGACTATGAACAAAATTTGGAGCATATTTGTTTCTCTCTACCTGATTTCTACAAAATTTTGGAAACTATTTGTGAGTATTCTTAACTTACAACAATACAGTTAATTGCATAAGTGCGGTAAGAACCTGTTTTCATTTGTAACAGGACACAGTTGGAGAAACAAGGCTTTGACTGGAATGGTGTGCTTTCCTTTAAGGGATCAAACTTGACTTATGGAGCAAATAAAAGCCCCTTGGAAAAACTGGCCTCATACCTCTGCCTACACAGTCCCTGTACAGGATTCCTGACCTGTGGTAAGTAAACAATGTCACTTTCTGACAGGTCCAAGAACTCCAAGTTTATCTTGGAACCTCAAGAAGAAAGGGATTCAACCAATTCATAGGTATTTGATGGTATGAATCCATGCCTGGACTCAGCTTTAAAATGTCTCATCTGAGATTCCTTCTATGGAACAAAGTTCCATCAAAGCCAATTTAAAAGCCTATGTTAAAAAATATATATTATTCTTGCAGCATTGTATACAAATAATCAGGCCAAGTATAATAAAGCAAATAAGTCATACCATTATTTGTCCTTAGTAAAAATGGGAAACTGGAGAGAGAAAAATTATGTTTCAAAAACTGTAGTACACCTGTTGTTAGATTCTAGTCTTGCTTAATGTTTTTCAATTTTTATTATTGTCTACAGTTTGGACCAAATTCTAATTTTTCTTGACTACAAGCCTGCAAAATAACGTTTTCAATTTTTTTTCTTCTTTTTTCCCATTTTTTCTAATTTGGAGTCACCAAAAACTAAGCTATGCTTTCATAAAGCCCTGCAAACTGAAGCTAGACAACTTAAACTTCAGAAGAAAATAACAGCAACCTATTTACAAACATAAGACATTTTCATCCCTGCCTACTGATGTATGGACTTCAGGGTAATGTGGCCTATATCAATTTTCCAGGATTGTTCTTTTGTTTGTTATTGCTTTTCTCCCTTCCTCCCCCGTTTTCTCTTCATAGGACATGAGACTTCACAACCTGCTAAAAATGAGCCTTCCTAATAACTTGGGACCTACCTGTCTAGGAATAAACCATTCTAGCCATGAAAGATCAGATGAAACCTGAGAGCAGAGACTCATTTTCTTCTTCTTTTTTTTTTTTTGTTTTCTTGAGACAGAGTCTCACTCTGTCGCCCAGGCTGGAGTGCAGTGGCCTGATCTCGGCTCACTGCAAGCTCCGCCTCCCAGGTTCACGCCATTCTCCTGCCTCAGCCTCCCGAGTAGCTGGGACTACAGGCGCCCGCCACCGCACCCGGCTAATTTTTTGTATTTTTAGTAGAGATGGGGTTTCGCTGTGTTAGGTTGGTCTCGATCTCCTGACCTCGTGATCCACCCGCCTCGGCCTCCCAAAGTGCTGGGATTACAAGCGTGAGCCACCGTGCCCGGCCTGAGACTCATTTTCTTCTAAAAATGCTTTCTCCAAAAGATTTTTAAAAAGAAAAGGGGGAAAGTGTGATAGAAAAATAAATCTTGAGGCCCCAAAATCATGAAGCTAAAGGGAAAAGTCAAGCTGGGAACTGCTTAGGGCCAACCTGCCTCTCATGCTATTCAAAGTCGCCCCGCTGCTCACTGAGATAAATGCATATCTGATTGTCTTCTTTGGAGAGGCTCATCAGAAACTGAAAAGAATGCAAGCATTTGTCACTTATCTACCTGTGACCTGGCAGGCCCCCTCCCCACTTCAAGTCTTCCCACCTTTGCTTCGAGTTGTCCCGCCTTTCCAGACAGAACCAGTGTTCATCTTGCATATGCTGACTGATGTCTCATGTCTCTCTAGAAGGTGTAAAACCAAACTCTGCTCTGACCACCTTGGGCACATGTCAGGACCTCCTGAGTCTGTGTCGTGGGCACACGTACTTAACCTTCGCAAAATTAACTTTCTAAATGAATTGAGACCTAACATTCTCTGGGTTCACACATTACAGAGAAATACATATTGTATATAATATTTGTATAATAAAAGGTATTATGCTGGGCGCAGTGACTCACACTTGTAATCCTAGCCCTTTGGAAGGCCAAGGCAGGCAGATCACTTGAGGTCAGGAGTTCAAAACCAGCCTGGCCAACATGGTGAAACCTCATCTCTATTAAAAATACAAAAAAAATTAGCTGGATGTGGTGGCACATGCCCGTAATCCCAGCTACTTGGGAGGCTAAGGCAGGAGAATTGCTTGAACCCAGGAGGCAGAGGTTGTAGTGAGCCAAGATCGTGCCACTGCACTCCAGCCTGGGCAACAGAGCGAGACTCTGTCTCAAAAAAAAAAAAAAAAAAAAAGGTATTAAGTGCTGTGGAGAGAAAGCAAGGGAGAGTACAGAATGTGGGGGGAGGGGTGTTTCTCTTTAAATAGGGTGGCAGGGAAGGCCCCCTTGAAAAGGCAACTTCTACCAGTGACCCGAAGAAGGCAACAGAAGTGAGCAATTCAGTCTCCAGGCAGGGGGAACAGCCAGGGCTCAGACCTTGAGGCAGGCGAGTGCCGGGGGTGCTTAGGGAACTTTGTAAGGAGGACAAGATTTTTCATGTGAGAGACCTGGGGTAGAAGATAAAATCCGCAGAGGAAGGGGTGGTGGCTCAGGTAGGTCCTGGAGCCCAGTGGAGACTTTGGCCTTTATCCTGGGTTAAGGCGAGACCACTGGAAGGTTTTGAGCGGAGAGGGACCCGCTGTGACTGTGGCTGTGATAGGAATCTCCCTGATGCTGAGTTGAGAATAGTCTTCAGGGGCAAAGGCAGGAGAAATTATGCAAAAGATGATGGTGGCTGGACCAGGGTGGAGTTGGAGAGAAGAAATGGACTTCAGGTATATTTTGGAGGTTTATTTATCATACCCCTACTGTGGGCTCCGTGTTAAAGACCATCCCAAGTTGTTTGTCTTCATTTATTATCTTAGCCACCCAATCAACTTCCCCCAAAATAGTTTTTTGCAGTGTTGGAGCTTAATTTGTTTTTATTTTTATTTTTTAGAGACAGACGAGGTTTCGCTGTATTGCCCAGGCTGGAGTGCAGTGGCGCAATCATAGCTCACTGCAACCTCGAACTCCTGGGCTGAAGTGATCTTACTGCCTCAGCCTTTCGAGTGGCTGGGATTACAGGATCGCGCCACCATGCCTGACCAGTATTGGAATTTTATGAAGTAAACTCCCACTTCCACCACCTAATTTTAAACAGCTTCCATCTCCCAATCACCACATATAAACGGAGATTCAAACCTAAAACAGGGTGCTTGCTATATAAACATGACTTCTAGGTTGCCCCCTCCCTGGCCTCCAAATTCTGGGGCCACCTCTGGCTCTTTGTCTCCCTGTTACTGCATTTGCCAGGCATGAGTCCATTTCCACCCAGAGGGAGATTCATCTTTGAGAGATCTACGTATTTGTGTTCATTCCTTTAACACCAGAATGCAAATTCCACAGGGGCAGGATCCTTGTCTCACTAGTGCACCACGCAGTCCCCAATGCCTGACCCACAGTAGGAGTTCAAGAAACATTCATTCCCTCAGCACGTGCCTAGAGGTTGCCCGTTGTGAGTTGGGCAATGGGGACCCAGCTGTGTAAAGCACAGACCCAGCCCTCATGCATGTGGAAATCCACTTTGACCAGTGGGTTGACCAGTTTTCATGGGGCAGGGAAAAGCCTGGATTTATATATCTGACGGCCACTTGGTTCACTCCTAATTCCTCCAGCTTGGCCCACCCAACCAGACACAGCACCTGTGAGGTAGCCCAAGGCAGAGGTGAGCCACAGCCAGAATGACTGGAGACTTAGCCCTCACCCCCTGTGACATACTTCCAGACACTCACGGGCCTTCGGAGGTGTCTTTTCAAGACTCATCTTGCTTCCTCTCCCACGTCCCTTTTTTTTTTTTTTTGAGACAAGAGTCTGGCTTTGTCTCCCAGGCTGGAGTACAGTGGCGCAATCTCGGCTCACTGCAAGCTCCGCATACTGGAATATGTTGAAAGGGGTTTCATATAAAACACATGAGTATTTGGAAACAGCAAAGATATTTCCCAAAAAGTACCAAACGGATGGTCTGGAAGAGGAATGGCACCCATAGTTGAGACAGAAACCAGAAGTACCCGAGGATAGTCCATATGCTCTGGGAAATTGTAATCTCACTTTTCTCCTCTCTTCGCAAAGCTTGATATCTCTTTGCACACATAAAAACAAAAGCCAAAGTGCTAAGAAGAAGCTGGAAAAATACAAAATTTCTGTCTTAGGGAGAGAGTCGGTAAAGAAAATCAACATGGCGGACACTGATGGCTGCCTGCTCAGTGAGAAACCCCTGTCTTCCTTGCCAAAGAATCCCCACTTTGGAGTCTCTCCTGACAGGACTGTGCGCAACCTCAGGGTCTGTATCCTGACTTCAGTTGAATTCTAGACATTTTCATCACAGGCTTAAATGGTCATAAAAAACGAGCACTTTATATCAAAGTAAGAGGTGGATTGGCTGTAATTGGAATAAATATGCCGTGTTGTGATTGAATAAAATAAAATTTTGATGTACTGTATTGAGGAATGCACACCACATCAGAAAGAAGCCACTTTTTTTTTTTTTTTTGAGACGGGCAGATCACTTGAGGTCAGGAGTTCGAGACCGGCCTGACCAATATGATGAAACCCCGTCTCTACTAAAAATACAAAAATTAGCCAGGCATGGTGGCTCGTCTCTGTAGTCCCAGCTATTTGGGAGGCAGAGACAGGAGAATCGCTTGAACCCCGGAGGCGAAGGTTGCAGTGAGACAAGATCATGTCGTTGCACTCCAGCCTGGGCAACAAGAGCGCAACTCCGTCTCAAAAAAAAAAAAAAAAAAAGGGCCTGTGCGAAGCTTCCTACTATGGCTTCCAGCGGGATCTGGATGAGCGCTGCCTGCTTGGCTAATGAAACTCCCGAAATACTGGACAATGTGGGAGATTAGCCTCAGGGCGTCTACCGCTTTGCCACTGATAGGAGTGACTTCTGGAGGAACTTGATCCTCGATTTGGGACTCTTTGCTGCGGGAGTTTGGCTGGCCAGGTACTTCAGTGACATTGACCTCATGGCACCTCAGCCAGGAGTGTAGCCAGGTAGACAAATGGAATCCTGTGCTGAGCCCGAATCTTCCAAGAACAGCCTGCAATCTGTGGCCACCACAAGATGTGCCCTGATAGCAGCTGAAGTTTGATTCAAATGGCCACTTTCCTTTTCCCTTTCCCTGCCTAGTTTCCTTTTGTTCCTCGAGTCCACGGAGAATTCCATTCTCTGGTCAGCAGAGAGGCTTAAGCTACAGTATTGCGTCTGTTCTGTAAAGTTCTGTACATAGTTCCTAAGCTTCTGCAGGGGCTGATCCTCGCTGTTGTCCTGAGAAATAACAATGCTATTTTAACAAACATTTGAGATAAATATTGCACACAAAGACAGTCATTTTATTATTTTAATAAGAAACTTTTGCTTACAAAAACAAGGTGTGAAAAGTCAAGATTCACAAAACTTGTAAAAACATGATTTATATTTCGCATTTGAGAGACAAAGACAAGCCCCAAACATGGGGGAAAAAAAGGTCAGCCTGGCCAACACAGTGAAACACCGTCTCTACTAAAAATATGAAAATTAGCTGGGCATGGCGTCAGGCGCCTGTAATCCCAGCTATTCAGGAGGCTGAGGCAGGAGAATCGCTTGAACCCGGGAGGCGGAGGGTGCGGCGAGCCAAGATTGCACCACTGCACTCCAGTCTGCTCAACAAGAGCAAAATTCAGTCTCACCAAAAAAAAAAAAGGAAAAAAAAGTGATCAAGGAAGGATATCCCTAATGAAGTAACATGAGCTGACACCTAAATGAAGTGACACATCCAGCCCAGTGCTGATCTTCGGGAAAAGCCTTGCAGAGGGCATAGCACATGCAAAGTCCCTGAGGCCTGCTTGGCACTGTCTTAACGCAGTGGCTATATGAGGCCTTGGGAGGCCGTGGGGTAAGTACTTTGGGTTTTATTCAAACTGTGATGAGAAGCCACCTGGCAGCTTTTGAGTGGGGAAGTGACATGATATACATTCTGAAAGGATTATTCGTCTGTTGTGTGGTCATAGAGTGTGGTTGGGTTTGAGGGGTGGATGGAACAGTATAAAAAATAAATTTAGCTGGGCGCGGTGGCTCACTCCTGTAATCCCAGCACTTTGGGAGGCCGAGGTGGGTGGATCACGAGGTCAGGAGTTCAAGACCAGCCTGGCCAAGATGGTGAAACCCCGTCTCTACTAAAAATACAAAAAATTAGCCGGGCGCGGTGGCAGGCACCTATAATCCCAGCTACTCGGTAGGCTGAGGCAGGAGAATCGCTTGAACTCGGAGGGCAGAGGTTGCAGTGAGCCAAGATCACGCCACAGCACTCCAGCCTCAGTGACAGAGTGAGACTCCATCTCAAAAATAATAATAATAAAATAAAAAAATAAAATAAATTTATGGGCCAGGCACTGTGGCTCATGTCTGTAATCCCAGCATGTTGGGAGGCCGAGGCGGGCGGATCACGAGGTCAGGAGCTCGAGACCAGCCTGGCCAACATGGCAAAACCCCGTCTCTACTAAAAATACAAAAATTAGCCAGGCGTGGTGGCGGGTGCCTGTAATCCCAGCTACTTGGGAAGCTGAGGCAAGAGAATCACTTGAACCTGGGAGGCGGAGGTTGCAGTGAGCTGAGATCGTGCCATTGCACTCCAGCCTGAGCAATAAGAGCAAGACTCCATCTCAAAAAAAAAAAAAAAATTATGGCCGGGTGCAGTGGCACATGCCTGTAATCCAGTGAGCCGAGATCATGCCACTGCACTCCACATTGGGCAACAAGAGTGAAACTATCTCAAAAAATAAATAAATAAATGTATATACTTACATAGTGGTATATAGAGCTATAGATATAGCACTGGTTTCTCATAGGACAAATAAAGAGGCTGAATTTAGGGAGGGATTTCCACGATACTGGTCATCCCCTATTAAGCTGGGTGGTGACTACTTGGTGTGCATTTATTATTTCATAAATTGTACATACATGTTATATTCAGATAGCTCTACATCCCATAGTGTAAATATATACATTTATTTTTATATAAATATAAATCTGTGAATACTTCTATATACATAGAACTATTTTGGAAGGGAGAACCATCAGGATATGCTGCTGGATTCGATGAGTACTTGGAGCCGGACTAGATGAGAACAAGTTCGAGCCTCTGATTTTACCCAAGTCATAACCAAAGCAACAGTGCAGAGACGGAAGGAAAGGCTGGAGGAGCAGAGGGACAGGAAGCTGCAGCATCTGCACAGACAGCAGCTGCCGACACAGTGGCTCCCCGAGGTCAGGCCAGAAGAAAGGGAAAGGGGTGATTCCAACTGCAGACTCAGGCAGGTCCCCTGAGTCCATCAGGCCAAAGTGTTGCTTGAGGATTTCTTTTTCTGGCCTCCATGGTGTGGTTGCATCAACACTCCCCGCATGCCCAGGGGGCTGTGGATATTGAGTCGGTGCCAGTTACTAAGTACGAGATGTGCCGGAGTTGATGTCTCAAGGTTGAGCTTCCCCACCTCCTCTCCAGCCCCCAGGGGAAAGCAGAGGAGAAAATATGACCACGCAACTTCAAATCCTCATCAGGAATAAAGATAAGAAAACGATGGGACCGGCTGGGCGCAGTGGCTCATGCCTGTAATCCCAGTGCTTTGGGAGGCAGAGGCGGGCAGATCACTTGAGCCCAGGAGTTCAAGACCAGCCTGGGCAACATGGCACAACCTCATCTCTACTGATGCCGAGCCGAAGCTGGACTGTATTGCTGCCATCTCGGTCCGGGAGGGAGGTGGGGGGTCAGCCCCCGCCCGGCCAGCTGCCCTGTCCGGGAGGCAGGTTGGGGGCGCCTCCGCCCGGCCGCCGCCCCGTCCGGGAGGCGGGGGGCGCCTCTGCCCGGCCGCCCCTTCTGGGAAGTGAGGAGCCCCTCTGCCCGGCCACCACCCCGTCTGGGAGGTGTACCCAACAGCTCATTGAGAACGGGCCATGATGACGATGGCGGTTTTGTGGAATAGAAAAGGGGGAAAGGTGGGGAAAAGATAGAGAAATCAGATTGTTGCTGTGTCTGTGTAGAAAGAAGTAGACATGGGAGACTTCATTTTGTTCTGTACTAAGAAAAATTCTTCTGCCTTGGAAAAAATAAAAATATAAAAAAAAATAAAACAATTAATAAAAGCAGGGCCCCAAGACTCTGGGTGAGTCTTACTTCACTAAGCCTAGGGTGAAAAACTAGAAACAAACTAAAGTCCTTCAACATGGGAACGGCAAAGTATAGTATAATCCATACTGTACAATGCTATGCACATCCACTAAAAACAATCACATTCACCTACAAACATCACAGTTCTCAAAGAGATTTTTTTTTAATAGAGATGGGGGCTGGGTGCAGTGGTTCACCCCTGTAATACCAGCACTTTGGGAGGCTGACGCAGGAGGATTGCTTGAGCCCAGGAGTTCAAGACCAGCCTGGGCAACATAGTGGGACCTTGTCTCAATAAAAAATAAAAAATTAGCCAGGCGTAGTAACATGTGCCTGTGGTCCTAGCTACTCAGGAGGCTGAGGAGGGAGGATCACTTGAGCCCAGGAGGTGGAGGCTGTAGCGAGTTATGATTATGCCACTGCACTCCAGCCTGGGTGACACAGCAAGACCCTGTCTCAAAAAATAAATAAATACATAAATAGAGACAGGGTCTCCCTATGTTATCCAGAATGGTCTCAAACTCCTGGGCTCAAGTGATCCTCCTGTCTCAACCTCCCAAAGTGCTGGGATTACAGGTATGAGCCACCACGCCCAGCCTCAAAGAGACTGTTGAAGAAGATAGAATAAATTGTAGAATGACACGTACAGTTGTAGAAAAATACATACAAGAAAACATTTGCGTTTAAAATTTTCTCTGTTGACATATATAAAAATAAATATATATATACATATATATACATATATGTATATATATATATATTTTTTTTTTAAGAGACGCAGTCTCACTCTGTCGCCCAGGCTGGAGTGCAGTGGCACGATCTCGGCTCACTGCAACTTCTGCCTCCTGGGTTCATGCCATTCTCCTGCCTCAGCCTCCCGGGTAGCTGGAACTACAGGTGCCTGCCACCACGCCCGGCTAGTTTTTGTATTTTTAGTGGAGACATGGTTTCACTGTGTTAGCCAGGATGGTCTCAATCTCCTGACCTCGTGATTCGCCCGCCTCGGCCTCCCAAAGTGCTGGGATTACAGGCGTGAGACACCACCACCAGCCTGACATATATATATTTTTTTCTATACATTAATGTATATGTGTAGAAAAAGAACTGGAAGGGGCCGGGCACGGTGGCTCACATCTGTAATCCCAGCACTTTGGGACGCCAAGGTGGGAGGTCAGGAATTCAAGACCAGCCTGGTCAACATGGCAAAACTCCGTCTCTACTAAAAATACAAAAATTAGCCAGGCGTGGTGGTGCACACATGTATTCCCAGCTACTCGGGAGGCTGAGGCAGAAGAACCACTTGTACCTAGGAGGCGGAGTTTGCAGAGAGCTGAGATCAAATCACTGCATTCCAGCCTGGGTGACAGTGAGACTCCATCTCAAAAAAAAAAAGTGTATTTTCTTATATGTCCGAAAAAATTCAGATGACTGTATTCTTATTCATTGAATCTAAATCAAGAAGATTAAGCCATAAAATGCCATTTTTGGTAAGTTGGTAAATCTGGAAAATTCTGCTAAATCACTGAATTGATTATTTGGCAAAATGACTTTCAATGAATTGATCTTTGATGAATCAGCCCACTTCTGCTGGGATCACCTGACCCCAACTCAGCCAGTCAACAACTATAGAATGTTCCTCCCCTCTCCACCCCCAGGCACTGTAAACATGATCTTGTTTTGCTTCTTTCAAGTGCAAGGCCAAATCATCCTTATTTGAAATTGATTATTACTTTCAATGAAATTAATACAATGAAATACAATGAAATTTCATGAAAGCAGGGACCTTTCGCCTTGTATTCACATGCGGCAGGCACGCAATAGATATTTGTTACATGAATGCATCTTATGCTACAGCTCACAGACATCTGCCACTGAGGACTCATAGCAAATACTTGGAAGACACAGCTACATTTCTGCTACTCTCTGTAGGACACCCTGTAATTCAACATCACCAACAACCAGGAGACATACCCTAAAACGGGGTTTAGAAAATACTGAAACTTATTAGCCTAATGCTAATAGTGAAACAAAGGATCTCCATCAACAGAGGCCTCATTTAATCCTAAAGAGACTCAGACCAGCCAGACAAGCCATCTGAAGCTTGCTATGCTCTGCTGTCTTGATTCTAACAGGGCAAGAAAAGATGACCAGATGAGGTGACACTCCATCCTCTGGCTTCTTTTTCCTCTTATGTAAGTGTGAAGTTCTCTCTTCAGTAGCCAGGCTTCTGGAGAAAAGGATCCTGAAAAATACAAAGTCCCTAGTGTATTAGCTGGCACATACGGTGAAGGGAGGGGATAGATGTTGTAATAAGATGCAAAGAAATCTTACTTGCGCGCACACACAAATGTCCCTTACCTTTTTTATACTATCTCTTATGCAGATGGTTAAAGACCTCGAGAAGGCTGCTCCTAGATTAGGAGCCTTACCCCACCCCATGTCATAGCACGTGGTTAAAATTCAGAGCACCCACATTCTCCACTCCATCACCCCATTGCACTTTCATCATCTGAAATGAAGCCCTTTATGTGCCTCCAAGAGCAAGCGCCATGACCGCCGGGCTCTGGTCCCCGTGGTTCCCTTGGGGGTTCCCCGACGCCTAGCACGAGGCAGGGCACAGAGCAGCAGCTCCTGAAACATTTCCAAAAAGACTGAAGGTATTAAGGCTGCAGAATTTGCAGGTCTCTTCTGTCTATACTGTAAGTCGATATTGTGCATTTCTTTTGGACATTTTGGGCACTTTAAGCCTTTCTTTTATTTTTATTAGCCTTTATTTGTTTTCATGATTCTTTTGGTGGCGTTCCTTTTTAATTTTTAAATTTATTGATTATTAATTTATTCTTTTTTTTTTTTTGAGACGGAGTCTCGCTCTGTTGCCCAACCTGGAGGGCAGTGGCGTGATCTCGGCTCACTGCAACCTCTGCCTCCCGGGTTTAAGCGATTTTCCTGCCTCAGCCTCTGGAGTAGCTGGGACTACAGGCGCCCGCCACCATGCCCAGCTAATTTTTGTATTTTAGTAGAGACGGGGTTTCGCCATGTTGGCCAGGATGGTCTCGATCTCGTGACCTCGTGATCCGCCCGGCTCAGCCTCCCAAAGTGCTGGGATTACAGGCGTGAGCCACCGCGCCCAGCCTATTAATTTATTCTTTAGTGTGTCACGCAAGAGTCTGAATTTGCAGGAGGGGTCCTTAGCAGTAGTGGAAGACTCCTGGCAAAGCTGCTCGGCTCCGCTCGGTTCTCCTCCATCTGCCAGCACACGCGTCCTCTCCGCCTCGCCCAAGTCAACCCCACGGGCCTCCTGCGCGTCCCCACCCCATCCCCTCCCAGTCCCCTCCCTTCCCGCGACCCCAACGCCCGGGCGGCGGAGGGATCCCGGACACACTCACGCGCCACACTCAGCCCGAGCGCTGATTGGCTGGCAGAGAGTTGGGCCACATCGGCCCAGGCCTCCGCGTCTGGAAGATCGGCCTGAGCGCCAACCAATCGCGACGCGTTCCGGTTCATAGGCCGCACCTCCCAGCCAATCCTGAAGAAGAACCAGAAAAGGGCGTGCCCAATCGGAGCTTAGCAATGGGGCGGAGTCACCCTTCGACCAAGGCCAGTGCCGGGCGCTGTCACCTTGATATCCTGACTGGCACCGGCGAGTCGGTCCTGCCCCACCCGCTCTGCTCCCCAACCCGAAACCACCGAGACTCCAGGGGGTCACGACCTCTAGCTTGACTTCTGCGCTGCCAAAGGAGGGTTGTGCCTGAAGTACCTGGGGGATGTTTATTCTTCCGTATGCGTATTCAAATACGCAGATGAGCCCCTAGGATGAGTGCGCTGGGGAATAGGAGGGAACCAAGCTAAGCCCAGTGGGAGAAAGTGGAACACGTTCGCAAGCTGAGTAAGTGATTAGTGCCCTGAGATAATAAAAGGACCACAGAATAGTGGCTGGTGCTGCTTTTGATAGATAGGATGGTCTGAGTTAAATCTGGGCTCTCTTGGCCCGGCGCGGTGGCCCACCTGAGGTCAGGAGTTCGAGACCAGCCTGGCGAACACGGTGAAATCCCGTCTTTACTGAAAATACAAAAAATTAGCCAGGCGTGGTGGCGGGCACCTGTAATCCCAGCCACTCGGGAGGCTGAGGCAGGAGGAGAATCGCTTGAACCCGGGAGGTGGATGTTGCAGTGAGCCGAGATCGCGCCATTGCACTCCAGCCTAGGCAACAAAAGCCGAAACTCCATCTCGAAAAATAAATAAGTAAATAAAAATAAATTTGGGCTCTCTTGCATATACCTTGTGGCCGGTGGCAGGGGCATTTCCCCACCATCACCTCTACTTGGCTATGGGGTGAGCAGAGGCAGGGAACCCCAGGCTGAATCCCCACAAACGCAGGCTCCTAGAACGGAGATATTTTTGTAGGGCAAGGACTAAATGCCATGTCTTCCTCCCTCTCCCTATTCCAATGGGTCCAAACCGAATTTCTTTTTTTTTTAATTATTATTTTTTACTATTATTATTATTATACTTTAAGTTTTAGGGTACATGTGCACAATGTGCAGGTTAGTTACATATGTGTACATGTGCCATGCTGGTGTGCTGCACCCATTAACTCATCATTTAGCATTAGGTATATCTCCTAATGCTATCCCTCCCCCCTGCCCCCACCCCACAACAGTCCCCAGAGTGTGATGTTCCCCTTCCTGTGTCCATGTGTTCTCATTGTTCAATTCCCATCTGAGTGAGAACATGCGGTGTTTGCAAACCGAATTTCTTATTACCCCTCCTAAACATAAAATGGATATGAGTAACTATCAGCTTGCCTCTTTAGGGCAGGGCCTGGATATGTCCGTTGTGATTTGCCTTTTACTTAGGTTGGGCCACCTTGGGGTGAGATCTGATGAGCTGAGGAACCTTAGGAACACACATGGTGACTAGTCAGATCTCATGACACCCATGAGCCAGGCAGGCATTTCGAGGCGGCATTGCATCTTGGAGAGTATACATCCCTTTACTACAGTGTGCCCCAACTCCCCTGGGATAAAACCACAGAAAAATGACCACTTTTCCTTGTAGGAATTTAGTCTTTCAATCTGTCCAGAGCATTTCTTCTCTAACCACCCAACCCAACTCAACTATCCACCCAAACTCAGAAGTTTAAAGAGAGGGCCAGACCACTTAAAATCTTTTTTTTTTTTTTTTTTTTAACTATAAGAAAAAAAGTAGGCCGGGCACAGTAGCTCACGCTTGTAATCCCAGCACTTTGGGAGGCCGAGGTGTGCAGTTCACCTGAGGTCAGGGGTTCAAGACCAGCCTGGCCAACATGGTGAAACCCCATCTCTACTAAAAATACAAAAATTAGCCAGATGTGGTGGCATGCGCCTGTAATCCCAGCTACTCGGGAGGCTGAGGCAGGAGAATCACTTGAACCTGGAAAGCGGAGGTTGCAGTGAGCCCAGATTGCGCCACTGCACCGCAGCCTGGGCAGCAAAGCGAGACTCAGTCTCAAAAAAATAAATAAATAAAAATCAAAGCTGTATAAAACGGGCTGGGCATGGTGGCTTATGCCTGTAATCCCAGCACTTAAAGAGGCCGAGGCAGGCGGATCACCTGTGGTCAGGAGTTCCAGACCAGCCTGGCCAACATGGCAAAACCCCGTCTCTACTAAAAATACTGACTGCACCACTGCACCACTGCACTCCAGCCTGGGTGACAGCAAGACCCTGTCTTGAAAAAAAAGAAAAAAAAAGGCCGGGTGCGGTGGCTCACGCCTGTAATCCCAGCACTTTGGGAGGCGGAGGCGGGTGGATCACAAAGTCAGGAGATCGAGACCATCCTGGCTAATATGGTGAAACCCCATATTACTAAAAATACAGTTAGTATTTTTGTACTAAAAATACAAAAAATTAGCCGGGCGTGGTGGCGGGCTCCTGTAGTCCCAGCTACTTGGGAGGCTGAGGCAGGAGAATGGCGTGAACCTGGGAGGCGGAGCTTGCAGTGAGCCGAGATCGCGCCACTGCAGTCAGTCCAGGCTGGGTGACAGCAAGACTCCGTCTCAAAAAAAAAAAGAGTAAAGAAATGCTGAAATTGCGTTACGCTATAAATCCCTGTTTTAAATGTTTACATTTAGTAATGTTTTTAATTCTAATTAAATATGTACAATGTTAGAACATATACACAATGCAGTCTTTTTTGCTATTCAGAGAAAAATTTCAGGATTTATTAAAGATTTTAATCATTGCAGGCTTACAACAGAGGCTGTGTTTAAAGTTTAAAGTTGCATGGTGAATACTGTGTGCTTTCAAAACTATCAGTGATTTCCAGGAAAGTCTTGATCCAAAAACAAACAAACAAACAAAAATGAATCTGTGACTGTGGGAATAATCATTTTTAGAGATAAGTTCTAAAGTTTATGTGAGACCTTTGTGAATGTGAGATCCATAGCCGAATTAAAATAAATGTAAAAACACGCACGTATGACTGATAATGCTAAAGTCGACTGATGGAGGAAAAGGATACTATAAGCATATAACTCTAGAAATGAAAAGATAATTTAGCCTGAGCTCACAGCTTCCAGCTCTGGTAGGGCTGCATACAGATCCATTTCCTTTTCTATTATTTTCTCCAGTTCTGTTCTTTTAAACATTTTTTTTTTCCAAGACGGAGTCTCACTCTGTTGCCCAGGCTGGAGTGCAGTGGTGTGATCTCAGCTCACTGCAACCTCTGCCTCCCAAGGCAGAGGTTCTTGGGAGGCAGCTTCTTGCCTCAGCTTCCTGAGTAGATGGGACTACAGGCGTGAGCCACCAGACCCGGCTAATTTTTGTATTTTGAATAGAGACAGGGTTTCACCATATTGGCAAGTCTGGTCTCAAACTCCTGACCTCAAGTGATCCACCCACCTAGGCCTCCCAAAGTGCTGGGATTACAGGTGTGAGCCACCGCGCCCGGCCTCTTTTAAACATTTTCTAAACATACAGATATGTATAGCATACTTATGTGTCAGTTATATATAGATTCTCAGCTGTCTAAAATCAGTTTTTTTGTGGTTTTTTTTTTTGAGACAAAGTCTCATTCTTGTCCCTCAGGCTAGAGTCAATGGCGCGATCTCAGCTCACTGCAACCTCCACCTCCTGGGTTCAAGTGATTCTCCTGCCTCAGCCTCCCAAGTAGCTGGGATTACAGGCACCTGCCACCACGCCTGGCTAATTTTTGTATTTTTAGTAGAGACGGGGTTTCACCATGTTGGCCAGGCTGGTCTTGAACTCCTGACCTCAGGTGATCTGCCCACCTCAGCCTCCCAAATTTCTGGGATTACAGGAGTGAGTCACCGTGTTCAGCCAAATCAGCTCTTTTTAATGATGGTATTATTTTTCAACCAACCCTTAAACAGACCTGCAACCATTGAACTAAAACCCTTTGAGAAAAATTTTGATACAGAAAAATAAATGTAAGAAAGGAGATAATTTATTGTCCTAATGTAGGGCCAATCGTAGGCACTCAATATTTAGTTATTGACAGATGCATTTTTACACATAAGTCTGACAGGTCACAAGGGTGGGGAGGCACTGAGGGAGAAAACATCATCTTAGAGGCCAGGCGGGGCGGTTCACGCCTGTAATCCCAGCACTTTGGGAGACCTAGGCGGGCAGATCGCGAGGTCAGGAGTTCGAGATCAGCCTGACAAACATGATGAAACCCCGTCTCTACTAAAAATACAAAAATTAGCCGGGCGTGATGATGCCGCCTGTAATCCCAGCTACTCAGGAGGCTGAGGCAGAATAGCTTGAACCAGGGAGGCGGAGGTTGCAGTGAGCCGGGATCGCGCTACAGCACTCCAGCCTGGGCGACAGAGTGAGACTCCGTCCAAAAAAAAAGAAGAAAACATCATCTTAGCATTGACTGGGGACTTTCTGACTTTTATCTAGACTTAAACGGGTTTGATCACTTCATTCTTTCTAAAGGTTCCATTTCTTACGCAAAGTGGTTGACCCTTAGATGCCAGTTTTACACTCTTATGTGCTAAGTTCTTTGCAGTGGTTTTTTTTAGCTAGTTCTGTTAATTTTCAATTTCATAGGCTGCACTTTGCATTTTCCCAAACCTTATGTTTTATGATTTAATCAATATCCAATCCATAGCCACCCTCTGATATTAAAGTCAGGTATAGATATAAGAATGAGAAAAAAATTTTAATTCACCAGTGATTGGAAGTAACTGGCATTATGTCTTTAGTAATTATAAGGATGAATGGCTAGGATGACTGTTTTGAATATTAAATACAATAAGTTGAAACTTTATTATAAAATATCTTGTCTGGCCAGGTGCAGTGTGGCTCACACCTGTAATCCCCAGAGCTTTGGGAGGCTGAGGTAGGAGGATCACTTGAGCCCAGGAGTTCAAGATCAGCCTGAGTGACATAGCAAGACTCTGTCTCTGCAATAAATTTTAAAGTATATTTTAAAATTATCTGCCTGGGACAGGTGCGGTGGCTCATACCTGTAATCCCACCACTTTGGGAGCCCAAGGCAGACAGATCACTTGAGGCCAGGAGTTCAAGACCAGCCTGGCCAACATGGTGAAACCCCATCTCTGCTAAAAATACAAAAAATTAACTGGGTGTGGTGGCGCATGCTTGTATCCCAGCTACTTGGGAGGCTGAAGGGGAAGAATAGCTTGAACCCAGGAGGCAGAGTTTACAGTGAGCCAAGATCAGAGCACTACACTCCAGTCTGGGCAGCAGAACAAGACCCTGTCTCAAAAAAAAAAAAAAAAATTGGCCGGGCATGGTGACTCACACCTGTAATCTCAGCACTTTGGGAGGCTGAGGCAGGCCGATCATGAAGTCAGGAGTTTGAGACCAGCCTGACCAACATGGTGAAACCCCGTCTCTACTAAAATATAAAACTTAGCTAGCATGGTGGCGCATGCCTGTAATCCCAGCTACTCAGGAGGCTGAGGCAGGAGAATCGCTTGAACCCGGGAGCTGGCGGTTGCAGTGAGCCAAGATCGCGCCACTGCACTCTAGCCTGGGCGACAGAGAGAGACTCCATCTCAAAAAACACACAAAAAAACAACCAAAACAAAAACAAAAAAGACCCTATCTCAAAAGAGCTCTAATCCCAACATCGTCAATTTGTGTTGAAGACTTGTAAACTTGCCTGTTGTGAGAAAATAATCTTTCTTTCCTTTTTTTTTTTTTTTTTAAATGTCTTGCTGTGTCACCTAGGCTGGAGTGCAATGGTGTGATCACAGCTCACTGCAGCCTCTGCCTTCTGGGATCAAGGGATCCTCACACCTCAGCCTCCCAAGTAGCTGGGACCACAGGTGTGCACCATCACGCCTGGCTAATTTTTATCTTTTTATTTTTTGAGACGGAGTCTCGCTCTTTCACCCAGGCTGCAGTGCAGTGTTGCGATCTTGGCTCATTGCAACCTCCACCTCCTGGGTTCCAGCAATTCTCCTGCCTCAGCCTCTGGGTAGCTGGGATTACAGACACGCACAACCACGACTGGCTAATTTTTGTATTTTTAGTAGAGAAGGGGTTTCACCATGTTGGCCAGGCTGGTCTCGAACTCCTGACCTCAGGTGATTGGCCCACCTCGGCCTCCCAAAGTGCTGGGATTACAGGGTGCGCCACCACACCCGGCCATGCTTGGCTAATTAAAAAAAAAAAAAATTGGCAGAGATGAGGTCTCATTATCTTGCCCAGGCTGGTCTCGAATTCCTGGGCCTTGGCCTTCCAAAGTGCTGGGATTATAGGCATAAGCCACGACGCCTGGCCAGAAAATAATCTTTAAAAAGTGTTTAAAGCCCCTCAGTCATAGCAGGAACTGTGCAGCGGTTCTGTGGGAGTGGAAAACAAAGCCTGGCTTGTTAGCACACCTCAAGATTCTGGGGTAGACGTTGAGCAGCAGACGTTCAGCCAGCATCACTACATGAGCCTGCACGCTTAGCCTCAGGAGAACACACACGATCTTCCTGACATGAACATCATGAAGAGCCCCAAATCCCTGGGCCTGAAAGAACTTAGGCCCACCTAAAACAATTGCAGGATTAAATAATACCACACATTGTTATTTCACCATGGCTAATAATGCTTCCCCTCACTGCCTCATAGCTGAAACACACAGAGCAAGTGAAGTGTTTTTTTTTTTAACCCATCAAGCTCATCTACCAGACCAATGATATAAATGCACATCTTCATTCAGTCACCATACAATCGATTTCAAATTTTCTGCATTAATAGAAGATGGATAAAATGAATCCATCTTTAACAGGCAGGGCACAGTGGCTCACATCTGCAATTCCAGAACTTTGGGAGACCAAGGCAGGAGCATCACTTGAGGCCAGGAGTTCAAGGCTGCAGTGAGCTATTAATGTGCTATTGGGCTGTGCATGGTGGCTCACACCTGTAATCCTAGCACTTTGGGAGGCCAAGAGGGGCAGATCACTTGAGGTCAGGAGTTTGAAACCAGCCTGGCCAACACGGTGAAACCCTATCTCTAATAAAAATACAAAAAAATTAGCTGGGCGTGGTGGTGGGTGCCTGTAATCCCAGCTACTCGGGAGGCTGAGGCAGGAGAATCGCTTGAACCCAGGAGGCAGAGGTTGCAGTGAGCCAAGATTGTGCCACTGCACTCCAGTCTGTGCAACAGAGTGAGTGAGACTCCGTTTCAAAAAAAAAAGTGCTATTGCACTTAAGCCTGGGCAACACAGCAAAATCCCATTTCAAAAAAAAAAAAAAGATGAAATTCACAACCTAGTTCCTAAAGAATTAGAGGCAAAAATGAACATTTAATGTTTTATAATTTGCACTAAGTCCAACAACTTGCATAACAGTCACAGAAACACCATGGGAACTAAAGGGTAAATAAGGTAATTTGGGAAGAGCAGCTGTTGATCACAACAAATTTACCAAGTGGGAAGAGGGTAAAGATTGAAAAACTACCTATCGGGTACTGTGCTTATCACACAGGTGATGAAATAATCTCTACACAAAACCCCCAAGACACACAATTTACCTACATTACAAACCTGCACACGTATCCCTGAACCTAAAATAAAAGTTTTAAAAAACCAAATTTACCAACAGCTTTAATGTCCCTCAATAAGGGAATGGTTAACTAAATTCTGGCATATCTGTAAAATGGGATATTATGTAGCCATTCAGATAAACTAGGGTCTAGAGAAGTGTAGATGCTATTTGTGTTTTTAAAGTGATACGCAAAAGGGCCGGATGTGGTGGCTCACGCCTGCAATCCCAGCACTTTGCGAGGTCAAGGCAGGAGGATCGCTTTAGCCCAGGAGTTCAAGACCAGCCTAGGCGACATAGTGAGACCCCATCTCTACAAAAAAGTTAAAACATTAGCCAGGTGTGACAGTGCACACCTGTAGTCCCACTTAGGAGACTAAGGGGGAAGGATTGTTGGAGCCCAAGAAGTCGAAGCCACAGTGAGCCATGATCATGCCACTGCACACTAGTCAAACATAGCAGGACTCTGTTTCAAAACAAAAAGATACGTACTTATTTGCTCATGTAGTCATTGAATATCCCTAACAGGAGCCACAAGATACTGGTAACAGGAGTTGCCTTAGGGCAGCAGAACATAGCGTCTGGGGACCAGGCAGGAGCTCAGTGTTCATTCAACACCCTAATGTAGCTTTGAATTGTGTACTATGTGGTGAATTGCCTTTGCCAGCAGGGTTTCAGGACATGTGTCCTGAAACTTACTGAGGACCCCAAGAGCTTTTGTTTCTGTGGGTTATATCTATCCATTAAAATTAGTAACACAACTAGAAATAATTACCAAATTATAAATAAAACTAAGAAACCAAAAAATATGTAAGTGTTAATTCATTTTAAAATAATGCTGGGCGTGGTGGCTCACACCTGTAATCCCAGCACTTTGGGAGGCCGAGGCAGGTGGATCACGAGATCAGGAGATGGAGACCACCCTGGCTAACATGGTGAAACCCTGTCTCTACTAAAAATACACACACACACACACAAATTAGCCAGGCGTGGTGGCAGGTGACTGTAGTCCCAGCTACTTGGCAGGCTGAGGCAGGAGAATGGCATGAACCCGAGAGGCAGGGCTTGCAGTGAGCCGAGATCACGCCACTGCACTCCAGCCTGGGCGACAGAGCGAGACTCCGTCTCAAAAAAAAATAAAAATAAAAAATAACAAGGATAGGCCAGGCACGGTGGCTCATGCCTGTAATCCCAGCACTTTGGGAGGCTGAGGCAGGTGGATCACCTGAGGTCAGGAGTTCAAAATCAGCCTGGCCAACATGAAGAAACCCCACCTCTACTAAAAATACAAAAATTAGCTGGGTGTGGTGGCATGTGCCTGTAATCCCGGCTACTTGGGAGGCTGAGGCAGGAGACTCACTCGAATCTGGGAGGCAGAAGTTGCAGTGAGCCAAGATCACACCACTGCACTCCAGCCTGGACAACACAGCAAGACTCTGTCTCAAAAAAAAAAATGAATAAATAAATAAATAAAATGAAATAACAAAGATAAACCCATTCCATGTGACCATAAACAATGTATTTGTTATGAAAAATAACTATACTTTGAGGTGGGGCGCAGTGGCTCACGCCTGTAATACTAGCACTTTGGGAGGCCAAGGTGGGGGGATCACCTGAAGTCGGGGGTGCAAGACCAGTCTGACCAACATGGAGAAACCGGTCTCTACTAAAAATACGAAATTAGCTGGGTGTGGTGGCGCATGCCTGTAATCCCAGCTGCTCAGGAGGCTGAGGCAGGAGAATCGCTTGAACCCAGGAGTTGGAGGTTGCAGTGAGCCGAGATCATGCCATTGCACTCCAGCCTGGGCAAAAAGAGCAAAACTCTGTGTCAAAACAAAAAAACAAACAAAAAGAACCTATACTTTGAAAAAACAAAAACAAAAAAAAATAGTGTTAATGAGAACGGCATGGTCCTACTTTTTTTTTTTTTTGAGATGGAGTCTTGCTCTGTCACCAGGCTGGAGTGCAATGGTGTGATCTCAGCTCACTGCAACCTCCACCTCCTGGGTTTAAGCAGTTCTCCTGCCTCAGCCTCCCGAGTAGCTGGAACTACAGGCGTGCGCCACCACACCCAGCTAATTTTTGTATTTTCAGTAGAGATGGGGTTTCACCATGTTGGCCAGGATGGTCTCAATCTCTTGACCTTGTGATCCGCCTGCCTTGGCGTCCCAAAGTGCTGGGATTATAGGCATGAGCCACCGTACCCAGCCATTGTCCTACATTTTTGCAAATCTCTGATATGTAGCTAAAGAGAAGACAGCTGGACCCTCATCTCCGCTTTTGCAGCTTTTCCATTCATTCTGTTTGGAGAGCACACATCTCGTGGCCTCTAGAAAATTCCATTGTACATTCATGAGAGAATGAAAGTGAAAAATATAAATAACCTGTTATTAATAGTATTTTATGTAACTGGAGGAACCCAGACCACACTTTGAGAACTACACACCTTTGCAAATGAATGAGTGAAAAGATGAATGAATGAACGAACCCTTTTAAGCCTCCACGTCTCCATGATTTTTCTATACTTAAAAAAAAAACCCTATTGGAATAACATTCCAATGATTTTCCACAACTCACACAGGGTGTGCAATATGAAGAAAGGATCTAAAAACAGGGGAGCAATTTTTCAGTCTTTCAAAATCGAAGTTGATGAGAGTAGAATTAGTCCACTTGTTTTATCTCCTCCCAAGGCGAGTAGCAAGAATAGTTTAACCCTGCCTGGTACGAGCTCCTAAAGCCTAGTCAAACATAGCCTCTTTGCATAGGGCAACTCAGACCCCTGCAGGCCAAAAAGTGTCCAGAAAAGATGAATCCTAGCAAAGGATCCCCTGAGATTGGTTTAACTGACTGAGAATGATGAAAGGCATGCATTTGAAAAAAAACTATTAAAAGATAACTCTGTAAATTTTCACAATACAGAGGGAACCCGTGGGCCTTGCACTCTCTGTGCAGTGCAGCAGAAAACAGAATTTGGAATCACAGCTGCTGGGTTTCAGTCCTGACTTCCATGATTCCTTATTAGCTGTTCCATTTTGTGCAGGTCACTTGACCTCTCTGAGCTTTATACAACAGAAATTTGGTTTTGGGGTTTTTTTATTTTTTGAGATGGAACTGTGCTCTGTCGCCCAGGCTGGAGTGCAGTGGCACAATCTCAGCTCACTGCAACCTCCCCCTCCCAGGTTCAAGCGATTCTTCTGCCTCAGCCTCCCAAGTAGCTGGGATTACAGGCGCCGGCCACCATGCCCGGCTAATTTTTCTATTTTTAGTAGAGACGGGGTTTCACCATGTTGGCCAGGCTGGTCTTGAACCCCTGATCTCAGGTGATTTGCCTGGCTTGGCCTCCCAAAGTGCTGGGATTACAGGCGTGAGCCAAGGCCTGACCTTGGATTTTATTCTATTCTATTTATTTTTATTTTTAATTTTTTTGAGATGAAGTTTCGCTCTTGTCACCCAGGCTGGAGTGCAATGGCACGATCTCGGCTCACCGCAACCTCCGCCTCCCAGGTTCAAACAATTCTCCTGCCTCAGCTTCCTGAGTAGCTGGAATTACAGGCACGCACCACCACGCCTGGATAATTTTGTATTTTTAGTAGAGACGGGGTTTCTCCATGTTGCTCAAGCTGGTCTTGAACTCCTGACCTCAGGTGATCCACCTGCCTTGGCCTCCCAAAGTGCTGGGATTACAGGCATGAGCCACCACGCCCGGCAGATTTTATTTTTAATTCAAAATTAAGTACTTTGAAAGCCACAAGCATCTTAGTTTTAAGTTTGAGAACTCATTTCTTTTAGAATAGGTTTAATATAGTGTCAAACATCGGATGCTTTATTCTGAGCTTAGAATTACTGCCATTTGAAGATAACCAAGAAAAGGCATCCCACATCCCCTTCCCTTGTTTTTTGATGGAACAGAACGGTGAACTTTTTTTTTTTTTTTTTGAGATGGCTGGAGCACAGGGGCACAACCTTGGCTCACTGCAAACTCTGCCCCCAAGGCACAAGTGATCCTCCCACCTCAGCCTCCCAAGGAGCTAGGAACACAGACGCACACCACCATGCCTGGCTAATTTTTTGTATTTTTGGTATGTTGCCCAGACTGGTCTTGAACTCCTGAGCTCAAGTGATCCACTCACCTTGGCCTCCCAAAGTGCTGGGATTACATGCATGAGCCACCGTGCCTGGCTAGAATTGTGAACTTCTACTGCTTAAGATCAGGGAGAATTGATGCCACACTTCTGATTAGAAGCCTAGAAACCAGCACTTTTAGAAATTCCAAATGCACATACACACGTGTACTTACACTTTCTCACATAAATGCATGCTCAACACACGTGTATACATGCACCAGTTTCTTTTTCTTTTCTTTTCTTTTTTTTTTTTTTTGAGACAGAGTCTTGCTCTGTTGCCCAGGCTGGAGTGCAGTGGCTTGATCTCAGCTCACTGCAATCTCTGCCTCCTGGGTTCAAGCGATTCTTCTGCCTCAGCCTCCCAAGTAGTTGGGATTACAGGCGCACAGTAACACACCCAGCTAATTTTTTTGTATTTTTAGTAGAGACGGGGTTTCACCATATTGGCCAGGCTGGTCTCAAACTCCTGGCCTCGTGATCTGCCCGCCTTGGCCTCCCAAAGTGCCGGGATTACAGGCGTGAGCCACCGTGCCTGGCCACACGCACCAGTTTCTTTCCACTAATTAGATAATTTCCTGACAGATGGGACTTCCTCCAGGGCACTAAGGGAATATTTCATCTACTATAGCTATGCCTAAATTAGTGTGTCCACAGGTTGCCAATCTGCTATCTGGGGGTGATTTAGGGACTAGATCAAATAAAGCCTTTTTGGCAGGGCGTGGCGGCTCACGCCTGTAATCCCAGCACTGTGGGAGGCCAAGGCAGGTGGATCACCTGAGGTCAGGAGTTCAAGACCAGCCCAACCAACATGGTGAAACCCTGTCTCTACTAAATACCAACAATTAGCTAGACGTGTGGCACGTGCCTGTAATCCCAGCTACTCAGGAGGCTGAGGCCGGAGAATCATTTGAACCCAGGAGGCAGGGGTTGCAGTGAGCAAAGATTGTGCCATTGCACTCCAGCCTGGGCAATAACAGCAAAACTTTGTCTCCAAAAACAAAACAAAGCCTTTTGTCATTTTAATTTTTTCATATGAAGACAACCATCTGTCTTAGTAAGGTCAGGATGCTGTAATACAATAGTATAGACTAAATATTTATTTCACACAGTTCTGGAGGCTGGGAAGTTCAAGAGCAAGGTACTAGCATACTCAGTATTTGGTGATAGCCTTCTCCCTGGTTAAAAAACAGCCACCTTCTTGTTGTGTCTTCACATGGTGGAGTCGAGGGGTATCTGGTCTTTTCCTCTTCTTATGAGGCCACTAGTCCCATTATGGGGGTCCACCTTCAGGATCTCATCTAGACTAATCACCTCCCAAAGACCCTGTCTCCAAATACCATCACATTGGGAATTAGGGATTTAACATATACATTTTGAGGGGCTGCACACATTCATTCTGTAGCACCGTGACCAGCTCACAAAACTTCATTATTCTACAAGGGACTTGCATGATGTTGAGTACTAAATCTCCCAATAGTGCCCTGTGTTAACATTGTGCTAGCTGTTGTTTCATGGTTAGCAATGGTTAAGATATATTTAGATCATATTTGGAGCTAAACCTAGCATTATCTACATTGAAGCCACCAATATAATCAATGATGAGCAGTTACTAAATAAAAAATATAGATCACCTGGCCAACATAGTGAAACCCTGTCTCTACTAAAAAAAAATAATAATAATAAATAAATAAAATAAAAAAAATTAGGCCGGGTGCGGTGGCTCATGCCTGTAATCCCAGCATTTTGGGAGGCCAAGGCGGGGGATCAGAAGGTCAGGAGTTTGAGACCAGTCTGACCAACATGGTGAAACCCCCGTCTCTACTAAAAATACAAAAATTAGCCAGGTGTAGTGGTGTGTGTCTGTAATCCCAGCTACCCAGGAGGCTGAGGCAGGAGAATCGCTTGAACCTGGGAGGCGGAGGTTGCAGTGAGCAGAGATCGCGCCATTGCACTGCAGCCTTGGTGACGAGCAAAACTCCATCTCAAAAAAAAACAAAAAACAAAAACAAAACAAAAAAAACTATAGATTACTCATTTTGTTAATTTTTTGTTAATCATCATCAAAGATTTGACCATGGACTATTGACTTGGTTTGCTTTTCTTTGGGGCTTCAGAACAGGTGCTTTGGATATATGCATGTTATCATTTTTCAGTGGATATTTTGCTACTGTGAAGATCAAGTGTTGGCTAATGTATGTAATTCATAAAATTTCCACAAGCTGTTTATTGAAATTCTGTTTACACTTGTCAGAAATAAGCATTTCCTTGTTTAATGAAAGATGGCTAGCTTCAGTTAAGACCACACCTGACAGGCCGGGCATACTGGCTCACATCTGTAATCCCAAAATGAAAAATGGAAAAAAAGTAAAAAAGAAAAAAAGAGGCCAGGCATGGCGGCTCACACCTGTAATCCCTGGGAGGCCAAAATGGGAGGATCACTTGAGTCCAGGAGTTGAAGACCAGCCTAGGCAACATAGTGAGACCCCATCTCTACAAAAAAAAAAGCATTAGCCTGGTGTGATAGCACACACCTGTAGTCCCACTTAGGTGGGATACTGAAGCATGAGAACTGCCTGAGCCTGGGAGGTCAAGGCTAAAGTGAGCTGTGATTGCACCACTGCACTCCAGCCTGGGCAAGAAAGCAAGATCCTGCCTCAAAAAAAAAAAAAAAAAGACAATACCTATTAGTAAGTGAATGTTTTGGGTGAAAACAGCTGATCATACCAACTGTCGGTGAGGCTATGGAGGAACTGGAATTCTCACACACAGTGGGTAGGAATGTAAAATGCTACAACCACTTTGGAAAACAATGTCTTAAAAAGTTAAACCTATACCCTCAATATAATCCAGCCATTCTGGTCCTAAGTATTTACCTGGGAGAAGTGAAAAGTATGTTCATACAAAGTCCTATACATAAGTGTTCATAGTCGCTTTATTTGTAATAGCCCCAAATAGGAAACAACCAAAAAGTCCATCAACAAGTGAATGGATAAGCAAATTGTGGTACATCCATACTATGGAATACTACGCAGCAATGAAAAAGAGTGAACTATTGATAAGGGCAACAACTGGGATGGATTTCAAAATAATTATATTAAGTGAAAGAAGCTGGGGGGTGGGCATGGGGAGACACATGCTGTTTCATCCCATTTACATAAAATGCTAGAAAATGCAAACTAGGGCCGGGCGCGGTGGTTCACGCCTGTAATCCCAACACTTTGGGAGGCCAAGGTGGGCAGAATACAAGGTCAGGAGTTCGAGACTAGTCTGGCCAATATGGTGAAACCCCGTCTCTACTAAAAATACAAAAATTAGCTGGGCGTGGTGGCAGGCGCCTGTAGTCCCAGCTACTTGGGAGGCTGAGGCAGGAGAATTGCTTGAAACTGGGAGGCAGAGGTTGCACTGAGCCAAGATTGCGCCACTGCACTCCAGCCTGGGCGACAGAGTGAGACTCCATCCCCAGCCCAAAAAAAAAAAATACAAACTAATGTCTAGTGACAGAGAGCAGCTCAAAGGTTGCCTGGGGATGGAGAGCAGTGAGAGGGACCCCAAAGGGCCCTGAGGTGATGGACATGTTTGCTATTTTGATTGTGGCAAGTTTGATGTCCATGGTGTACGCATATATGAAACGTTATCCAAGTTACATTCAAACATGTGCAGCTTATTGTATGTCAATTTTACATTGATAAAGCTGTTTTTGTTTTTCTTTTTTTAAAAAAAGGGGCTGGGTGCAGTGGCTCACGTCTGTAATCCCAACACTTTGGGAGGCCGAGGCGGGCAGATCACCTGAGGTCGGTAGTTCGAGAACAGCCTGACCAACATGGAGAAACCCCGTCTCTACTAAAAATACAAAATTAGCTGGGTGTGGTGGCACATGCCTGAAATCCCAGCTACTTGGGAGGCTGAGGCGGTAGAATTGCTTGAACCCAGGAAGCGGAGGTTGCGGTGAGCTGAGATTGTGCCATTGCACTCCAGCCTGGGCAACAAGAGTGAAACTCCGCCTCAAACCAAAACAAAACAAAAACAGCCTGGGTGGTGGCTCACGCCTGTAATCCCAACACTTTGGGAGGCCGAGGCAGGCAGATCATTTGAGGTCAGGGGTTCAAGACCAGCCTGGCCAACATTGTGAAACCCCATCTCTACTAAAAAATACAAAAATTAGCTGGGTGTGGTGGTGTGCGCCTGTAATCTCAACTACTAGGGAGGCTGAGGTGGGAGGATTGCTTGAACCGTGGAGATGGAGGTTGCAGTGAGGCGAGATCTCACCACTGCACACTAGCCTGGGTGACAGAATGAGACTCTGTTTCAAAAAAAAAAACAAAAAAAAACCAGAAAAACAAAACAGTACAGGGGGCCTTGGTTAGAAATAGGAGTGTAAACCAAAAAGTGACTGGGGCAGGTCTCAATGGATTAGTGGCTTATTTTGTCAAGGTTGACGCCGGGCCCAAGGAAAAGAAACATAAGTCACAGTAGGATCTGTGGCCTGTGCTGTTTCCAAAATGGGTTCTGAGGACTTAAATATTTAAAGGGGAATGCGCAAGCAGGAGGGGAAGGATGGAAGAAAAATGTGGGGAATGGTAGGCAGTGAGGCAGGGCTGAGTCTCACTCGGCTTTGACGAGCACTCATGAATCTACATTTTATGTATATTTATGTATTCATTTTTATCTATTTTTCTGAGACAGAGTCTCACTCCGTCGCCCAGGTTGGAGTGCAGGGGCGCCATCTCGGCCCACTGCAACCTCTGCTTCCTGAGCTCAAGTGATCCTTCTGCCTCAGCCTCCCAAAGTGCTGAGATTACAGGCTTGAGACACTACACCCAGCCCAAATCTACATTTTACACAAGATAAAGTAGGCAGCTATCTGTTTGGGAAGCAAAGGAAGGAAGTTTGTGTTTGTTTTTTTTGTTTGTTTGTTTTGTGGCTCAGTTCCCAAGCTTAACTTTGCCCTTGGCATAATGAGTTTGAGATCCCGAGATTCTATTTTTCCTTCATAGGTGCAAAGGGGCTGGTAGCAATGCCGCCAGCTGCTCTGGGGCTGCAGCGGGATTGGCAGCGGGCAGAAGGGGCAGTGGGAGATGGTGAGGCTGTAGCTGGTCAGGCTGGGGCAGGGTTCCCGGCACCCTCTAGGTCCGAGGAACACTGCCCTCGGTGACTTCTCCTGTGAAGTCTCATTCCTCTTGTACTTGACATTCCTCTTAATCCCCATCCGATAACCCACTCCCTCCTCCTCCTCGGCCTATGGTGTTTAATTCGAATGTTGCTTTCAATGCATTCTTACAAAATGATTATATTTTGAGATAGGATCTCACTCTGTTCCCCAGGCTGGAATGCAGTGGTGCAATCATGGCTCACTGCAGCCTCAACCACCTGGGCTCAAGCGATCCTCCCACGTCAGCCTCCCGAGTAGCTGGGACTGCAGGCACAGGCAGGCGCCACTGCACCCAACTAATTTATTTACTTTTCGTAGAGGCAAGTTCTCACTATGTTGCCCAGGCTGGTCTTGAACTCCTGGACTCGAGCGATTCACCTGCCTTGGCCTCCCAGTGCTGGGATGACAGGCGTGAGCCACTGCACCCGGCCACAAAATAGTAATTTTTTTTGTTTGTTTTTCAGACGGAGTTTCACTCTGTCGCCCAGGCTGGAGTGCAGTGGCGCGATTTCAGCTCACTGCAACTTCCACCTCCTGGGTTCAAGCAATTCTCCTGCCTTAGCCTCCCGAGTAGCTGAGACTACAAGCACTTGCCACCACGCCCGGCTAATTGCATTCTTAGTAGAGACGGGGTTTCACCATGTTAGCCAGGATGGTCTAGATCTCTTGACCTCGTGATCCGCCCGCCTCGGCCTCCCAAAGTGCTGGGATTACAGGCATGAGCCACCTCACCCGGCCAAAATGATTATTTTAATAGCAGGTATTGACTTTATTCAAATGAGCTGCCCCTCCTCATTCTGGTTTCCTTCTCACCCCACGCTGTTACTGTCATTACTACCTACTGCACGTCCTCCAGTGCCTCACCGCCCCCGCTCACCTGCCTGCTTTCCCAGTGACAGGCCACCCAGGCTGCCCCCAGATAACTTCACAATAACTAGCCTCAAATTGTCCCCTTATCGACCTATGTGAGATTGTCTTTGCGTAAAAAGCAGGAGCAGTACTCTTGGGTTAAGAGTAATTATACTTGGTCAAGGTAAATTATACTCCTGTTACATTTGCTCCTAAATGTTTACTAAGAATAGGATTTTTAAGGCTGGGCATGATGGCTCACGCCTGTTATCCCAGCACTTTGGGAGGCCGAAACGGGCGGATCACTGAGGTCAGGAGTTGGAGACCAGCCTGGCCAACATGGTGAAACCCCATCTCTACTAAAAATACAAAAATTGGCCGGACATGCTCGCTTGAGCCCAGGAGATGGAGGCAGCAGTGAGCTGAGATCTCGCCACTGCACTCCAGCCTGGGTGAGAGTCCATCTCAAAAAAAAAAAAAAAAAAAAAAAAAAAATAGAAAGAAAAGGATTGTTAGGACCTGAGAAAGCAGCATGGGTATGCGGGGTGGGGTGGAGAGGCACGCATCACTGTGCTAGGACTGTCAGATTTGGCAACTAAAAATACAGGAAACTTGCTTACATTTGAATTTCAGATAAGCAACCAACACTTCTACACTATACTAAAACACTACTGGTTGTTTATCTGAAATTCAAATTTAACTGGGCATCCTGTATTTTATCTTGCAACCTTACCTCCAACTGAATACATAAATTCAAGGTTTTATGACTCTTCTCAGATCGAGGAATAGAACCATAGAATCCTGGTTACACATCAAAACTGGGGAAACTCCACAAATGTTTGGTTAGAAGTGATGAGATATATTTTAAAAGTCCATACAACAAAATTACAATAAACATTTATTAAGCTGTAATTTTCACAATATTTTAATTCTGTTCTGAGATCTACAAATATCTCTACATAACACCAAAGCCAGTGATTTAATAAATAAGAGGAATGTATATATCGCTTTGCAAAAAAATGCCTGATACATTTATCTCTATATAAGATATTTGTAGAATCAGTTTCCCAAGGCTCACGAAACTAAAGTGCACACACACACACACACCATGTACACACACACACTATTCAAATCAAATGGATTTATATTAAGTGCCAAATTAAATGCTATACAAAATTTATAACCAGATACACAAAATATGAAGTCAATCATGAATCCACTGTTGATAATGGATACCATACCTCACAAGTGTGATTTCCAGTTAAGAAGAGGGAGACAATTGCTTCATTGGGTTTTTAGTGTGTGCTAATCACCATCACCATCACAAGTTAATCAGTTTAATTACATGGTATTCAGAGATTAAACACACATGCAGATATTAAATGGACACTACAATAAAACCTTTAAATCTGCAAAAAGACATGAGAACACATGGTCAATAATACCACTCGCTGCCACAGCTTTTCAGTAGACAATGCAAATGGCAATCAGCGTTTTAAGCCACCACAAGAGAAAAACTGGTACTGGTGCACCTCCTACATATCAAGGAAAAGCAAAACACAGAATAATTTAATATGCTGAATAAAATTTGTTTACACCAGATACTATACATCACACTGATGGTTGTCCAGTATGAATTTTAAGGGTATTATGTTAGATTCTGCAAAATATATTCCTATTATTCACAAGTGAGGAGTCAAAGTCCAACTATTCAAATGGCCATAAACAAAAATGTTGCAGAAGGTATAGACCATTAAAAATAAAAAAGTCAGGAGTGGGGCAGCTGACCCCTTAGGAGCCTCAGGAATTCCTTTTAATGCAAGATAGATGGCAAGAGCTGGCTTTTTGGTTAAGTCAGCCAGTTCGGAAACCCATCAGGGAGAAGTTATCAGGTGTCAACTTGTAAGGCAGATGACATTCATCAAAAGCATCTTAAGAAGTAGCAGTGATCACAGAAAGGAAGCAATTCAGGATTTCCACTAGCAACAAATTGCATTAACCATGTCTAGGCCATTTGACAGCTGTTATTCTTAACGCTCCATAAGCCTGAATCACAGGGCCAGATGAGCGACTAAGCTGCTCACATCCTCTCTACAAGGCAGCCCTCCCGGGCATGCACAAAGTCATATTATAGTCTTCCTAATCACTGACCCAAACCTTTGCGTTCTTACTCAGCTCCCCAGAGGGGACCACCCCACTTGGTTACCACCATCACAGTCATAAAGACATAGTCCCAGTTCCCTGACATCGCTGCCTCCCGACTCCTGCATGAGACAGGCTCTCATTTCTGGGGTAAGTGTATGAAACACCTTTCAACGGCATTCACTTACCCTTTGTGAATTAAGACACAGGCACGATTCACAAGGTCTGCTTCCCAGAAATTCTATTGCTGTGCTCTGTTACCAGAAATGATATGGGGGCTGAAATCCAAAGCAAAAGAAACCAAAGGGCGGGTAATGCCGACTGGTATTGGAAAGTGTGTGTGTGTGTATATATATATACATATATATACACACACACACACTTTTTTTTTTTTTTGAGACTGGGTCTCACTCTGTCGCCTCAACTGGAGTACAGTGGTGTGATCTCAGTTCACTGCAACCTCTGCCTCCCAGGTTCATACAATTCTCCCACCTCAGCCTCCTGAGTAGCTGGGACTACAGGAACCCACCACCACACCTGGCTATTTTTTTTTTTTTTTTTTTTTTTGTATTTTTTGGTAGAGACGGGATTTCACTATGTTGGCCAGGCTGGTCTCGAACTCCCGACCGCAAGTGATCCACCCGCCTTGGCCTCCCAAAGTGCTGGGATTACAAGCTTGAGCCACTGCACCCAGCCTGGAAAGTATATTTATGAAAGGTTTGCACTCCACAAAAGCATCTTTGCTAGGGTGTCAAGGAAGAGATCACTAAACCAACCCCAACACATCCATACAATTCCAGCAATCTAGAGAGGGCTGGTCCTTTTCCTTTTCTGGATTATTTTCTGTTCTCAGTAAAACAAGTATTTACTGTGATACTGAAACACTGGGAAATTAACACTGATTAAGATATTTTAAACACTGAGTCTTAATTATAACAGAACCAGTTTTCATCAGAATGCTTTTACGTCACATTCAGTGAAGTGTTACGCTAATATATTCTACAGCCCTGAAGATAGAAAAAAGGTTTCTCTCCAGGTATGAGATATGGTACAAAAATACATTTTTCCACATACAAAAGAGAGAAAAAAACAAAGACATGTGGCGGGTGGCGAGGGGAGGCCCAATCCCAACACCCTACAAGGTTCCATGGAATGGAGAAGGAACAAAAAAATCCCCAATTATTTTGGGGTAAGATGTGCCCCAGAAAAGGTGAAATCTATGCAATAAAACCCAGGTTTTCTTCAAATCTAGCATCTAGGATTTCTATCAGAGTTTCAAATAATCAGAATTTCTATCAGAATTTCTACCCTGAGGTGACACCTACTAACTGTAGGTTCTTTCATTAAAAATGAAGACATCTTTCACCAGAATGTATCAAGCTATAAAACTGGCTTCAGAGCCTACACTTAGCCAGAGTGGAAAAAAAAAATAGTGCATATTTTCGACAGCAATTTTGAATTGATGCTTGAGGTCTCAATCCACCAGCACCCAGATATCATGTTACCTCCCTCAGTTGAATACAAGTTAAAATGATGATCTTATCGAGATCTCAATAGAGCACAGTGCCCTTCATGTTTCGGGTAAGAGGGTGGGAGGAGGAATGAAGCGGGTATTACACCCAGCCCAGTGACAGCTTAAGCCTTAACATGCGGGCATCTTACAATGACCATAAACAAGGGAGGGGCCAAGGCAGGGCTGGCGATCATTAGCTTTGCGCACAGAATGCCATGTTTTCCCCTGGCCAACATAAGCAAAGCTGTTTTAGTACCTAAACGTGGTATAGCCAAATGCACAAAAGGAAAGAAGATAGAGATGACCTCCCGAGTTATTTATACCTTGTGCTAAAATAGATTCATCTACAAGTATCTAAATGACAAAACTAGAATGATTTCAACCCAGTAATCCTGTGTTCCAATGTGCATGGATAAAGATTTGATCTAGGCCCAGCGCGGTGGCTCACGCCTGTAATCCCAGCACTTTGGGAGGCCGAGGCGGGCGGATCACGAGGTCAGGAGATCGAGACCATCCTGGCTAACACGGTGAAACCCCGTCTCTACTAAAAATATAAAAAATTAGCCGGGCATGATGGTGGGCGCCTGTAGTCCCGGCTACTTGGGAGGCTGAGGTAGGAGAATGGCGTGAACCCAGGAGGCGGAGCTTGCAGTGAGCCGAGATGGTGCCACTGCACTCCAGCCTGGTTGACAGTGAGACTCCATCTCAAAAAAAAAAAGATTCGATCCAGCAAATAATTTTTTTTGAGACGGAGTCTCACTCTGTTGCTGAGGCTAGAGTGTGGTGGTATGATCTCAGCTGACTGCAACCTCCGCCTCCCATGTTCAAGCGATTCTCCAGCCTCAGCCTCCCAAGTAGCTGGGATCACAGGCGCCCACCACCAGGCCTGGCTAATTTTTGTATTTTTAGTAGAGACGGGGTTTCACTCTGTTGGCCGGGCTGGTCTCAAACTCCTGACCTCAGGTGATCCACCTGCCTTGGCCTCCCAAAGTGTTGGGATTATAGGGGTGAGCCACCCTGCCCAGCCTGCTCCAGCAAATCTTAAATATCCATGCACACTGAATAAACATGCACCTGAAACAGGTGCACGTTTCAGGAAGTGAATGGAACTCTCCAGGAGAGTTTGGGTCCCATCATGTGTACCTTAGAAACAGAAGTCTCAAAAGTCTCAACAACATCCACAAAAACATCTGCATCTGTTTTCCAGATACTTGCAACCAAAAATAAAACTTCACAGGAACACTACACAAGAAGTGGTAGACAGCTAAATCTTCTCCAAACTGAGACCTGGACCATAAGGTCTTGGTTGTAGCAGGTCTGGCAGGGGTTATCTATAAACCTGCACGCAGGGCACTGTGAGCGGGTTGCCAGGGTACATCTGTGGCCAGGTAAGGGCCACAGAGACAGTCGTGATCCCCAGCAGCTTCAAAGCTGCAAAATGCTGGGCTTTTTTTTTTTTTTTTAAGATGAAGTCTTGCTCTGTTGCCTAGGCTGGAGTGCAGTGGCGTGATCTCGGCTCACCGCAACCTCCACCTCCCAGGTTCAAGCAATTCTCCTGCCTCAGCCTCCTGAGTAGCTGGACTACAGGCACCCACCACCATGCCTGACTAATTTTTGTATTTTTAGTAGAGACGGGGGTTTCACCATGTTGGCCAGGCTGGTCTTGAACTCCTGACCTCAGGTGATCCATACTCCTCGGCCTCCCAAAGCGCTGGGATTACAGGCATCAGCCACTGCGCCTGGCCTAGGGCTTTCTTTTTTAAAAAACAAGTCCTAACAAAAGGGGGTTTCTACCAGCCCCTGAGCCACACCTTCTGAAACTCCCTTGCCCAGGATCCCCACAGCTGTCCACCTCGCAAGTCCCACTCTCTGCCCACAGAGACTGCCTAAAAGGAGGACACAACAGATTTCAGATAAAAAGCACCTGTGTATCGTAAATATTTCAGGAAAAAGAATTCAGATCTTTTCAAAGGCTTGCTTATTGCTGCTAATTGTTCCTGAGGATCTTTCTAAGCAGCAATATACTTGAGAATATTAGCTGCTACTGTTTGTTTTCCCTCTAAGGTCCTGAGGAAATCAAAAGAAAAAAAAAAAAACCCTCAAGGGTATAGCTTTTGTATATAGCCCTAGTGAGCAAACTGCAAATTGGGACATGCAGTAGATTCTGGAGCAATCTCCAATCCTTACCAGGTACTTCCTGGCATCAAATCCCCAGGACATTTCTTGGCCCCTCCTTGCATTTTCCGTTTCAAAATGTTGAGGTTAAAATACATCGAAGCACAGAGGGAAGAAAATCTCAGGTCTTCTAGAAATGGCGATGTCTTCATTTAAAAATAGGACTGATGGGGGCTTGGCAGGGGTCTCTAGGATCCAAAAGAGGTTGAGTTGCATCCTGCAGCCCAACTGTCCACATTTAGAAGTGACAACATTCATGAACTAAGTCAACATCCACCAAAAATAACATGAAATAAAGCTCACAGTTTGGGAACATGAAAATAACGCACACAGACCTCACCCACCAATCCCTAAGCTGTGAAAACAAACGCTCGCATTTAAACTTTTCTCAAATGTCAAATTAGCATATTCTTCCCCTCCATGTAAAGTTTTAATAAACTTGACTCAATCTGCCTTTATTAAAAAACCTTACAAAAGATGTATTTAAATGCTTGAAAAAATTAACTTTATGCTCTATGCACAGATAAATTTCTCTTACTGTACAACTAAATATGGTTATATCCTTTGTTTAAAAAATATTTTTTCCCCCACTAATTACACTTCGTGTGTAGTTCCACGTCAATGATCTTTCCGCTCTTCTGGGAATGTGTCCTAAGAGCTGCCGGGTGGGTGGAAATAGCCCTACACAGCGCCACTTTCTTGCTCAGTCGTGTTTATTAAGATTGTTTGGGGTTTGGGGTTTTTTTCCTCCGTTTTCGTTTTCTGAGACAGCGTGCTGGTAACTGTGGACCCGCCCGGCCGGCTGACCTTCACTTGTCCTTGGAGCGGTCCAGGCTCTCGAGCACCCGGTTGAGACGGATGTTGAGCAGTCTGACCTGCTTCTCCAGGTGCTCCAGCTTCTCCTCCACGCTGGGGTTGCTGGGGTTGCTGGGGCCGCTGGGACTGCTTCGCCAGTAGAAGCCCATGGGCCCGGTCATGAAGTAGACGGCCACCACGAAGCACAGCGGCAGCACCGCGTTCTCCGGCTCGCCCTCGTACTTGTGCAGGATGTACACGCAGGACATGGAAAACAGGACGACCCGCACGATCCAGAAGAAGCGGCCGAACACCACGTGCAGGACGCTGAAAGTGAAGCCCAGGGTCAGGGACAAGAACCAGTAGGCCAGGAGGACGACGCCGACCAGCAGGAGCGCGCGGGCCGGGCTGCTGGACACCGAGGCTGGGCTGAAATACTGGGACAGGTTGGAGACTGCGGGACAGAAAAGAGGAACAGGGCTCGTTACGCAGGGGCCAGGGGTTTCTTAACAAGCTAGAATTGGATAGTTGAGCTGGCCTGTGGGGCTTAAAAGGCCTTTGCAACAACCAAAGGAACTCAAGGAAGTTCCTCTGTGAATAGTCACACTTTGCTCCATGAGGACACACAGGGAAGCCTCTTTTTTTTGAGATGGAGTCTTGCTCTGTTGCCCAGGCTGGAGTGCAATGGTGTGATCTCGGCTCACCACAACCTCCGCCTCCTGGGTTCAAGCAATTCTCCTGTCTCAGCCTCCGGGGTAGCTGGGATTACAGGCATGCGCCACCACACCCGGCTAATTTTGTATCTTTAGTAGAGACGGGGTTTCTCCATGTTAATCAGGCTGGTCTCGAACTCCTGACCTCAGGTGATCCACCTGCCTCGGCCTCCCAAAGTGCTGGGATTACAGGCATGAGCCACCATGCCCAGCCAGGGAAGCCCTTTAAGACGACCTGCCATGTTGAGTTTTAAAAACCTCTCCATATACTGGTTTCTCTTCAAATCATATACATCTTTCACCTTTAGCCTGGGCAACATAGTGAGACCCTGATATGGACTGGCTCTGTGCTCCCACACAAATCTCATCTTGAATTATAATCCTCACGTGTGGAGGAAGGAACCTCGTGGGGGGTGATTGGATCATGGGGGTGGTTTCCCCATGCTGTTCTTGTGACAGTGGAGGGGGGGGGGTTTCATGAGATCTGATGGTTTAAGTGTTTGGCAGCTGCCCCCTTTGCTCTCTCTTTCTCTCCTGCTGCCTTGTGAAGAAGGTGCTTGCTTCTCCTTTGCCTTCTGCCATGATTATAAGTTTCCTGAGCCACGCAGAACTGTGAGTCAATTAAACCTCTTTTATTTATGCATTACCTAGTCTCAGGTTTTTTGGTTTTTTTGTTTGTGTTTTTGAGGTTGGAGTGCAGTGGCACAATCTTGGCTCGTTGCAACCTCTGCATCCCAGGTTCAAGCAATTCTCCTGCCTCAGTCTCCCAAGTAGCTGGGATTATAGGCACATGCCACCACACCCAGCTGATTTTTGTATTTTTAGTAGAGATGAGGTTTCACCATGTTGGCCAGGCTGGTCTTGAACTAGTGTCCTCAAGTGATCCACCTCCTCAGCCTCCCAAAGTGCTGGGATTACAAGTGTGAGCCACTGCGCCTGGCCTCGGGTATGTTTTGATAGCAGTGTGAAAATAGACTAATACAGACCCAATCTCTAGAGAACACAAATTTTAAAAAAATTAGACAGGTGTGGTAGCACACACCTGTAGTCCCAGCTACTCAGGAGGCTGAGGTGGGAGGATCACTTGAGGCTGGGAGGTAGAGGCTGCAGTGAGCCATAATGTGCCACTGCACTCCAGCCTGTGTGACAGAGTAAGACTTTGTCTCAAAAGACAACTTTCACCTTTTACTAAAACACCTCTGGAAGTGGGGCATAGCCTGCAAATTGTCCTTCAATTTCCATAGTAACAAATGCCCACCTTCAGGCTGGGCACACAACTACCTAGGATTAAAGCATTTCCTAGCCTCTCTTGCAGCTACATAACTAAGCTTTGGCCATGTGTTCCCTAAAAGTAGCAGGAATGTGTCCTTTACCTCTTCTGCCTGCTGGAACATGGATACAATGGCTGGAACTGGAGCAGCCATTTTGGAAGGCACTCATGGAGGAACAATAAAATGGAAGGTGCTTTGGTCCAGAGCACCACATGCATCAGAGCCATCAAACCCGCCTCACCACCTCCCTGAGAACTTTCATATAAGAGGGAAATAGGTGTCCATCTTGGTTAAGCCAATGTTATGTTGGATTTCTGTTTCAGCCAAACCTGATCCTAACTGGTACCCACACACGAAGTTCCATCTCAAGAATGCAGTGAAATGTAAGAGTAGCATCTTCTGTGTGCCTGACTTGAAGAAATTCAAACAAAAAAGTTAAAAGAACAGTAGAATATTCCTTTTGAAACCAACTAGACTGAACAATTATTAAAAATTCTGAATGTTGCATTCTCTATTTACATACTTTTTAGATTAACCCATTTGAAAGATGTACACATCATACTTCATCATACATCTAAGAATAAAGACATCATTCACCTCAAAACCATGATACTATCATCATTCTAAGAATATTAACAATTCCAGGCTGGGCACGGTGGCTCATGCCAGCATTTGGGAGGCCAAGGTGGGTGGATCACCTGAGATCAGGAGTTTGAGACCAGCCTGGCCAACATGGTGAAACCCCATCTCTACTAAAAATATAAAAATTAGCTGGGCGTGGTGGCGCACACCTGTAATCCAAGCTACCTGGGAGGCTGAGGCACGAGAATCGCTTGAACCCAGGGAGGCAGAGGTTGCAGTGAGCCAATGGCGCCACTGCACTCCAACCTGAGACACAGTGAGGCTCTGTCTCAAAAAATAAATAAATAAATAAATAAATAATAAATTAACAATTCCATATAACATCACTTGAATTTCTCAGTTATCCAGGAATAGCTGTTTCCTCCCAACCCTCACCAGGACCCAGCGACAGTTCACGTTCAGCATTTGCCATCACTTTAGTCTCCATTAATTGAGAAGAGACCCATGACATTTTAGAAACACTGAAATTCTGAAGTCTAATTTTTCCAGGATGGTTTTCTTGCAGGAGGTCCCACATGCTGCAATTGTTTGTTTCCTGACAGTGTTGTTTAATGAGTTCAAGGAGAGTTATATCCTAAGCCTTCTCACACAAGCAGTTCTCAAACTTGTGTGATTCCTCCAGGAATCCCCTGGAGGGCTTAGGAAAACAGGTTGCTGGGCCCCACCCCCAGGACATCTGATTCAGTAGGTCCTGGGTGGGCCCAAGAATCTGTGGTCTTTTTTTTTTTTTTTTTTTTTTAAGACAGGGTCTTTTTCTGTCACCCAGGCTGGAGTGTGATGGTGTGATCTCGGCTCACTGCAGCCTTGACCTTTTGGGCTCAAGCGATCCTCCCACCTCAGACTCCCGAGTAGCTAGGACTATAGGCATGCACCACCACAGCTGGCTAATTTTTGTATTTTTTTGTAGAGACAGTGAAGTGGTTTGGTTCTGTGTTCTCACCCAAATCTAATTTCAAATTGTAATCCCCACGTGTCCAGGGAGGGACCTGGTAGGAGGTGATTGGATCGTGGAGGTGGTTTCCTCCATGCTATTCTCATGAAAGTGAGTGAGTCTCACGAGATCTGATGGTTTAAAAGTGTTTGGCAGTTTACCCCTCGCTCTTGCTTCCTCTCTCCTGCCACCACGTAAGACGTGCCTTGCTTCCCCTTTGCCTTCCGCCATGATTACAAGTTTCCTGAGGCCTCCCCAGCCATGTGGAACTGTGAGTCAATTAAATCTCTTTTATTTATAAATTACACAGCCTCAGGTAGTTCCTTATAGCAGTGTGGAAACCAGCAAATACAGATAGGATCTCGCTATGTTGCCCAGGCTGGTCTCGAACTCCTGAGCTCAAGCAACCTGCCTGCCTTGGCTTCCCTAAGTGCTGGGATTATAGGTGTGAGGCACCACGCCCAGCCAAAGAGGACCAAAGTGTGACACAACGATCTGGAGTGGGCAAGCGCAAATCCAGAGCAGGCCTGAGATGGGAAGCCTCAACCCTGGAGCTCCTCCGGTCAATAACGACACCTACGGCGTGAACATCTCATAGTTCCCCAAAATGATCAGACTCCGCACAGCTGGCCAGTGTCTAGAGTCCAACACTGTAAACAGCAGCCATCTCTGGGACTAAAGGCTTGGGGTCACCAGGACTCCCCAGAAGCCAGAGTGTGTTTGCTACACTGTGCCTTCCTGAGGCATCGTGAGCATTTTGACTAAATGTGGTTGACTTGGGAGCTGACTTTCACACCTGTCCCCTGCAGACTGGAGGCTAAACCAGTGTTTCCCAGACCTCTCAGTCTCAAGACCGTTTGCACTCTTCAGTATTATTGAAGCGTCCCCAGAGCTTTCGTTTATGTGGGTTCTACCTAACTGATATATTTTCCATAGCAGAAAATTAGGTAGTTTTTAATTAGTTGTTAATTATCTTTTAAATTTTATTATTTATTTATTTATTTATTTGAGACAGAGTCTTGCTCTGTAGCCCAGGCTAGACTTCAGTAGCATGATCTTAGCTCATTGCAACCTCTACCTCCTGGGCTCAAGCGATCCTCTCACCTCAGCCTCCCAAGTAGCTGAGACTACAAGCATGCACCACCAAGCTAATGTTTTGATTTTTTGTAGATACAGGGTCTCACTGTGTTGCCAAGGATGGTCTCAAACTCCTGGGCTTAAGCAATCCATCTGCCTCAACCTCCCAAAGTGCTGGGATTACCAGATGAGCCACTGTGTCCAGCCATTGTTAATAATTTAAAAACATTGCTATCATTAACTCATTTTCAAATAACAACCCATTACAGATGCTAGGCTTTGAGTATTTGTGTCCCCCACAAAATTCCTATGTTGAAATCCTAACCCCAAAAGTGATGGTCTTAGGAGGTGGGGTCCTGGGGAGGTGATCAGGTCGTAGGGGTGGAGCCCCCATGAATGGGTTTAGTGCCCTTATAAAGAGGTCCCAGAGAACCGCCTTGTTCCTTCATGTGAGACACAGTGAGGCATCGTCTACAAGAAAGGGCTCTCCCCACAGCCTGCATCTGCCAGTGCCTTCATTTTGGACTTCCTGCCTCCAAACTGTAAGAAATGAAAATGTCTGTTAGGCCGGGCACGGTGGCTCATGCCTGTAATCCCAGCTCTTTGGGAGGCCAAGGTGGGCAGATCATCTGAAGTCAGGAGTTCGAGACCAGCCTGACCAATATGGCGAAACCTTGTCTCTATTAAAAAAAATACAAAATTAGCCGGGCATAGTGGTGCATGCCTGTAATCCCAGCTACTCAGGAGGCTGAGGCAGGAGAATCACTGGAACCCGGGAGGCTGAGGTTGCGCCACTGCACTCCAGCCTGGGCAACAGAGAGAGACTCCATCTCAAAAAAAAAAAAAAAAAAAAAAAAGTCTGTTGTTGATAAGCCACACAGTCTATGGAATTTTGTTATAGCAGCCTGAACTGACCAAGACAATAGGTTAACACAAAATATTTTTCACAAAAAGCAACTGTTTCTAAAGCAGAACAAACCACTCTGAGAACAGTGGCAGTGCTTTGAATGTTTGCCAGTCTCTTTCCTATCTAGCTATTTAGAGGAGACCTGGCCCCCAAATCTGGTTTTGAATTCAGAGGAACAGAACACCAGCCACAAATGTGAGCCATGTTTGTCACTGAAAATTTTCAAGTACTCACAGCAAAAAAGGCAAAAAAAAAAAAAAAAAAAAAAGGGTGGAATTAATGTTAATAAGATATTTTGTTTAATCCAATCTATCTAAAATGTCATCATCTTAACGTGGCATCAATATATATGGAAGTATTAAAGTACGTACTGAATCCCTGACCTCAGAGACATGTTACGGGAGAAGAGAGGAACTCACAGTCACCCCTCCTAACCAAAAGGGTCTCAGGGACCTCCTGGGGTTCCTCTGAGCATACTTTGAGAAGCATCGTGTCATCAAGGGGCCAAGATAGTGATCAGCCAGGAAAGATGCCCAGAGACGAGAATGCCACCCCTGCCTTCCACCTCTCGGTGACTTCAGTGAAAGCTGTCCTTTAAACCAAGGAAGGGTGGTCCAAAGCAACGTCACTCCGAGGCCCTGAAAATCCTAAAGAAAACACGAGTGGCCCTGCACGTTCTGACAGCAAAGGGGCACCGTCTGACTTCCCTAGCGCTGCCATGGCCAAGTAGCTAAAAAGGAGTAGAAGGCCGGGCGCAGTGGCTCATGTCTGTAATCCCAACACTTTGGGAGGCCAACGCAGGTGGATCACCTGAGATCAGGAGTTCGAGACCAGCCTGGCCAACATGGTGAAATACCGTCTCTACTGAAATATAAAAATTAGCCAGGCGTGGTGGTGGGTGCCTGTAATTCCAGCTACTCAGGAGGCCGAGGCAGGAGAATCGCTTGAACCCGGGAGGCGGAGGTTGCAGTGAGCCAAGATTGCGGCATTGCTCTCCAACCTGGGCAACAGAGCAACATTCTGTCTCAAAAAAACAAAAACAAAAACAAAAACAGAATTAGCCAGATTTGGTGGCATGTGCCTGTAATCTCAGCCACTCGGGAGGCTGAGGTACTAGAATCGCTTGAACTCAGGAGGCGGAGGCTGCAGTGAGCCGAGATAGCGCCACTGCACTTCAGCCTGGGCAACAGGGCAAGACTCCATCTCAAGAAAAGAAAAAAAAAAAAAAAAAAGAACAGAAGTTTATTCTCTCAGTTTGTTTGGAGGCTGGAAGTCTGTGAACAGCGTGTCAGCAGGGCTGGCTCCAGAGGCTCGAGGGTGAATCTGCCCGGGCCTCTCCTAGTGTCTGCGGATTGCTGGTGATCCTTGGCACTCCGTGACTGCCAGACACACTCCTCTCTCTTACTCTGCCTTCACGTGGCCTTCTCCCTACGTGTGTCTGTGTCTAAATTTCCCCTTCGTATAAGGACACCGGTCACATTGGATTTGGGACTCACCCTACTCCAGTATGACCTCATCTTAACAAATGACACCCACAATGACCCCATCTCCAAATAGCATCCCATTCTGAGGCTCTGGGGGTTAGGACTTCAACAGATAAAACAGATGAATACGGGGACACACAATTCAACTCCTAACAGGCACTGTTCAAGCAAAGTGAATGTTTTGGTGGCCAACTTGTTCCTCAGCGTGGGTCGGGTTTACACCTGCACACTTGTCAAGTCCTGATGGCTGCAGCAGGGGAAGCTGGCTCTGGGTGCAGCTGGCCAGCCGCCCCTCAGTGTGGAGAAGTGAGATTGGCAGGTCCCAGAACTGCACAGTGATGTACATTTTGAAGGAGGGCCCCTTTGTAAGCCCCCGAGTGTTTACTGAATACCGACCATGGGCTGGGCGCCATCCCACCACCCTACACACACAGTCATCCAGTCCTCATGACTCGCTGATAGGGTAAACAGCATTTTCCACACAAGGACTCCTTGCCCAGGGTCCCACAGCTAGGACAGGGCAGAGCTGGGATTTGGAACCAGGGGATCCAGTTTCCGGAGCCACACAACCCCTGCCCTGTGCCGACGCATCACTGAAGCACGATTCCTATTTTCCCCAGTTTACTGGAAACTTTGTTGGAAGTGGCCTCAGCAGCTTCAGAGGGGTAAGCAACACGATGAAGACATGAGCCTTAAATCCATCCTTCTAAGCCATCCTTCCAACTCCTGGACATGTGCTCTGTGCCAGCAGATCTAGAATGGGGACAAAGGCTGTGCCATCTATCGTGTGCTGAGCCCTTGAAATGTGACAAGTCAGAACTGATGTGCGCTCTAAGTGTCAAATAGAGACTGTCTCAAAGGCCTTAGTTACCCAAAAAACTGTGAGACACCTGATAATTTTCTATTAATTATAAGTTGTTTTTAATATATTGGGTTAACTAAAATATCTTATTAAAATTAATTTCACCTGGGCATGGTGGCACATGCCTGTAATCCCAGCACTCTGGGAGGCCAAGGCAGGCAGATCACTGGAGCTCAGGAGTTCGAGACCACCCTGGGCAACATGGCAAAACCCCATCTCTATAAAAAAAAAACATTAGGGGGGCACGGTGGCTCACGCCTGTAATCCTAGCACTTTGGGAGGCCGAGGCAGGTGGATCATGAGGTCAGGAGTTCGAGAATACCCTGGCCAAGATGGTGAAACCCCATCTCTACTAAAAAAAAATACAAAAATTAGCCAGGCATGGTGGCAGGTGCCTGTAATCCCAGCTACTCGGGAGACTGAGGCACGAGAATTGCTTGAACCCGGGAGGTGGAGGTTGCAGTGGTGAGATGAGATCGGCCACTGCATTCTAGCCTGGGCGACAGAGCAATACTCGGTCTCAGAAAAAAAAAAATAATAATAATAATACAAACGTTAGCCAGATGTGGTGGTGCACACTTGTGGTCCCAGCTAGTTGGGAAGCTGAGGTGGGAGGATCACCTGAGCCTGGGTTGGTGGAGGTTGCAGTGAGCTGGGATTGCACCACTGCACTCCAGCCTGGGCAACAGAGCAAGACTCTGTCTCAAAAAAAAAAAAAAAAAAAAAAAAAAAGGCTGGGCGCAGTGGCTCATGCCCGTAATCCCAGCACTTTGGGAGGCTGAGGCGGGCGGATCACGAGGTCAGGAGCTCAAGACCAGCCTGGCCAACATAGTGAAACCCTGTCTCTACTAAAAATACAGAAAAATTAGCCGGGTGTGGTGGTGCATGCCTGTAATCCCAGCTACTTGGCAGGCTGGGGCAGGAGAATCACTTGAACCCAGGAGGCAGAGGTTGCAGTGAGCCGAGATAGCGCCATTGCACTTCAGCTTGGGCAATAGAGTGAGACTTCGTCCCTCCTACCCCCCACTCCCCACCCCCTCCCCCCCAAAAAAGGAAGAAAAACTAATTTCACCATTTCTTTTTACTCTTTTGACATGGTTACTAGAAAACTTCACATCACCTAGGGGGCTCACATTTTTTTGCTATTAGACCATTCGGGGCTACAGAGTTCCCATTTTAACCAGACTCAAAAAAAAAAAAAACACTGAAGAAAGAAATTATAGAATTGTGCTCACAGAAACCTTTTTTACCAGAATATCCAACGTTGGTGTATGGCTTCCTGTAAAGCATTTTGCACTCAAACTTCTACGCATAAGACACGAATTCCAAAGGGCTTCGGATGCCTTGAAGCTTACGCATCAAACAGAACTAGAAAAGCTTCGACACGGAAGCAAGCTCGTTTCGCCTCCAGAACGCGCCAGCTGCTCCCCTGATGAATGCAGGCATTCAGGGCTCGTGGATCCGCTGCCGATGCCTCTATTCTGGGCTTCTTCCATATGATTAGGAGGCTGTTCCTACTCTGTAGTTTTTCATTCCAAGCTGCGTGCGATTTTCTGCAATCAGGTTTGTTTCTCCAGGGTTCAATGGGTGGCGACGAAAACACAGAGAGTTTGACAATCCGGGCAGGTGGTGGATACGGAAGCTAAGAGGATTGCACGCGGTGGCTGCATCTGGGGGAGGGTGCGTTAACTCTGCCAAGTCCCTGGAGGGGCCATGAGTGGCCCCAGGGGGCTGCCAGGTGCACAGTGTCCTCTGGCTATGCTGACGCCTCTGATTCTTTGTCTGAGCAGTGAGGTGACTGAGTTGGCCTAAGGCCTCTTAAAGGTTGAACTCAATGAATTAAGGCTGGAGACATTTCTGAATGGCCTGGGGTGTCAACAGGTATGAACCAGTGTGCCCATCATGGCCAGTGGACCCCACTCCCCCATCTCTGGGTGTCAAGCACCAATGGGCGCTGCTGAGAGATTCCGCATGTAACAGGGCTATGGTATAATGGTTTCCCGTGACTGCCGCAACAAACCACTACCAACTGGGTGGTTTACAACAGAAATTCATCCACTTGCGGTTCTGGAGGCTGGAAGTCTGAAATCAAGGTCTTGGTGGGGCCACACTCCCTCTGAAAGTTCAAGGGAGGATCCTTCCTCGCCTCTTCCAGCTTCTGGTGGTCCCAGTGTTCCTTGGCTTGTGGCTCCGTCCCTCCAGTCCCTGTTTCTCATTTCGCATGGCCGTCTTCTCCCTATGTTTCTTGGTGTTTCTGTGTCCAAATTCCCCACTTCTTATAAGGACAGCAATCATTACACTGAGGGTCCACCCTAATCCAAGACGATCTCATTTAACTTTATCACATCTGCAGACCCCACTCCCAAACAAGGGCTCACTCACAGGTCCAGGATTAGGACTGGAACACATATTCTTGAGGAGCACATTTCAGCCCACATGACTGGCTAAGCAGTGGGACCCACAGCCCTCCTGCTCTTATTAACCAAGGGTGGGCTGGGTGTGGTGGCTCACGCCTACAATCTCAGCACTTTGGGAGGCTGAAACAGTAGAATGGTTTGAGCCCAAGAGTTTGAGACCAGCCTGGGCAACATGGTAAGACCCTGTCTCTACAGAAAATTCAAAAATTAGCCAGGTGTGGTGGCATGGGCCTGTGGTCCCAGCTACTCGGGAGGCTGAGGTGGGAGGATCACGAGCCCAGGAAGTTGAGGCTGTAGTGAGCTGTGATTGAGCCACTGCACTCCAGCCTGGGCAACAGAGTGAGATCCTAAACAAAAACAAACAAAAAGGGCCTCTTTGTGCCAGGTGCAGAGCTGGGGCCAGAGTGCAGCCTGGAGATGCCAGGCCTAGGCTGTTGACACAAATGATGTGGTTTATGACAACACCTGCGTTCCCTCTGGGAGTCTAGAATTTTGACACGTGTCAAGCAGAGGGTGACTACATGACCAGCCCCCAGTAAAAAGCCTGGGCAGGGAGTCCTTGGTGGGCACCCTCTGCTGGGGGAATTAAGTGTGTCCCGTATGACTCCACAGGGAGAGAACTCTGAAGCTTGGGCCTGGCCTGCCCGGGAATTCGCGCACCTTTTCCCTTTGCTGATGGTGTTTGCGTCCTTCCGTCACAATAAATCACGGCTGTGAGGACAACTATATGCTGAGTCCTGCCAGTGCTCCTAGGGAACCGGTGAGCCTGTAGATGGTCTTAGGAACCCTGCCACATGCAGCAACTGCAGACCTTCCCGTGAGACAGGTGGCAGCTGGGACCAGGGACCAGGGCGGTGGGGCTGGAAAGAGCCCAGCTGGGGAATTTCCTCTGGAAAGGCCCAGGGGAAGAGCGGCCTCCACCTTGTGGACAGAAGGAGAGCAGTGGAGCGGGGGCAGCTAGGAGATCCCTGTTTACCTGGCACACCATGGGGCACGGTAGAGAAAACGGGAAGGTTACTTCATCCTGAGAGCATGGGATGCCTCTGAAGCTCTTAAGGCGGTAAGGGACAAGGTCTCCTCTGGGTATAAAAGCTGTACACCCTGGGCACTCTGCCCGGGTTAGCTCCTGTCACCCACCGATGGAATGCAGGTGGAGGTGGGGCAGAGCCACCTGGGAAGGGGAGTGTAAGGCTGGGGGTAGCACAGGCTGCAGGACTGGACTAGGAGTGCCCAGCTCAGTTACCATGACCGTTGCTGCCTTGCCATCCGCCAAGACCAGTATCAGTGCCCCCTCCCACATGTAGAAAGGGAGGGGCCGTGCCTCACCAATGTTCTCTTCCTGATTATAAACGTGTGACTAGCACTGCACTATCAAACTGGACTACCCTCCTCCCCTAGCCCACAAAACCAGGGGCCAGCTCCCCTGGCAATTCTTGCCCTGTGCGGTGGGTATGGTGGATGGGCTGGTGCAGCATCAGGTGACACCTGCTCCCAGGCTGCCTTCCTGGATGGCAGAAGCTGGAGAGCTAAGAACCGCATTAGCCTGCCTCCCTCGCAGCTAGGGACTGGACAGAAAGTAAGTTCCACCTGGCAGTTCCCCCATACACACACGACTTTGGAAATTAAGTGAAGTGTTGCAGCTGATATGCATGGTTCCAGAAATGGCAAGGGTCCCTGCACCCACATGCAAAGTCTAGTTGTTGTGGCGGCAGCAGTGGCCTCCTGGTCCTCAAATTATACTACAGTTGTGTGACTTCGAACTCAACGGTTTCAACAGCTGCAACCCTGGACAGCCAGTTCGGCAGTGTCTGAGGCCATGCATCTCTTCCTCAGCCTTTCTGATGGTTCTGTGAGTGTCTCTGTCTCATGAAATCCCCTTCTGCCTAAATAACTAGTCATTTCTTGCACGGATGCCAGTAAGCCAGAGCACTATACCTCTGGTCCATGTGTTTTGCACACAAATTGGCACTCCCACTACCCAGTCGCACCTTATCCTAAGTGGCATCTGGGAAATCTCAGCTTTGATGGGCCATTTGTTTTTTATTTTTATGATTATTTGAGAGGAGTCTTGCTCTGTCGTCCAGTCTGGAGTACAGTGGCATGATCATAGCTCACTGCAGCCTCGAATTCCTCATCTCAGGCAATCCTCCTGCCTCAGCCTCCCAAGTGGATGGGGACTACAGGTGCACATCACTGCACCCAGCAATTTTTTTGTACTTTTTTTTTATAGAGATGGGATCTCACCATGTTGCCCAGGCTGGTCTTGAATTCTTGGGTTCAAGCAACCCTCCCACCTTGGTCTCCCAAAGTGCTGGGATTACAGGCATGAGCCACCATGCCTGGCCTATATATGAGACTATTAAAATAAAAAATGTTCACTCATATCCTCACTGACCAGCCCTCCGCAACCTTCTCATGTATTACTCACTGTGAGTACCAGTTCCACACTATGAGAACCACCAAAATAGAATGACACCTTACGTGAATGCCACCCCTACACCTACCGTCAAGTCCAAGAACATCCAAGAGCTCGGTCCAGACTTTCCACAGTGTCTCCACGAACATATCCACTCCCAGCACAAATCTCTCAGTCAGCCTGGCCAAGAACTGCAGAAACAAGAAAACGGTCATCACCCAATCACTGTTTTCCTCCATCAGTCAAGCAGTGAACTGGGGAGCTTGGGAGTTTATACCTGGGAAGGGAAAAATAGTGAGCCCATGATGAATACCACACATGTGGACTACTGGCCCAGGGGATTGACTTGAACTGGGTACTGATCACAGCCTAACTGAGAAAAACTGGTGAAAACGACCCCTTCCTTGCAAGGGCTGAACAAGGCACCTATGGAGGCTGGGACTCTCTGCAGGGCCGCGTTACGCCGCTTGCCATTGCTCCTGCTGTCTTTCATGCTTCCTCTTGGGTCAGGATCTCTGCCTTCCTCTGCCTGATTTCTCTAAAGAGACAGGGTCTCACTGTTGACCAGGCTGGAGTGCAGTGGTGCAATGATAGCTCACTGCACCCTCAAACTCCCGGGCTCAAGCAATCCTGCCTTAGCTTCCCAAGTAGCTAGGGCTACAGGTGCAGCCACCACACCAGGCTTTATTATTATTTTGTAGAGATGGGCTCTTGCTATGTTGTCCAGGCTGGTCTCAAACTCTAAGCCTCAAGCAGTCCTCCTGCCTGGCCCTCCCAAAGTCCTGGGATTATAGGCGTGAAACACTGCACCGCACCCTGCGGGTTTCTCATTTTTAAAGAGTGGAAGTTTCTGCTCCAAGGAAGCTGGTAATGATACAGCCCCATGCTCTATCCAACTCTAAGGACCCTGAGCCTCTGAGGTCTTTATTTGCCCTCCAGGTGACACAGGGCTAAAGAAACATGAATACAAGGTACAGCCTCATTTTAACTTTTTTTTTTAAAAAATTAGTGATATTGTATACATGTAGCATAAAACTCAAGCCTACCAACAGGTATTCAGTGGAGACTAAGCCTTCCCTCTCATTTCCTGGCAACTGGAATCCCCCTCCGGAGGAACCCTTCCTTAGACGTGCCAGGTGAATAATGGCACAGACATATTCTTTCTGCAATGGCAGCACAGGTGTACAGCTGAGCTGCTTTGCTCATGCAACACTCTGTCTTGGAGATACTCACACTCAGACCACACAGAGCTGCCTCATCCTTTTTAAACATGGTACACCTGGAGCCAGGCCCATACTCATGGATACCTACATGGTTTCCAGCCTTGGCTATTACAGGGGAAAAAACAGCGAGCCCATGATGAATGCCACCAAGTGGTCTACTGGCCCAGGGGATTAACTTGAACTTGATACTAATTGATGACAGCCCAACAACTGAGCAAAACTGAGTAAAACACGCCCCTTCCCTTGTAAGGGCTGACCAAGGTATCTATGGGGGCTGGGACTCTGCAGGGCTGCATCACGCAGAGTGCTGCCATAATAGAACCCACCTACATGGGCCACTCGGCTCACGTGTGAAGGGTAAATGCCTCCGTGAATTGGCTACAGCTTTTTTTTTTTTTTTTTTTTTTTAAGACAGGGTCTCGCTCTGTCACTCCGGCTGGAGTGCAGTGGTATGATCTCGGCTCACTGCAGCCTCCACCTCCCAAGTTCAAGCAATCCTCCCACCTCAGCCTCCCGAGTAGCTGGTACTACAGGCACGCACCATCACACTCAGGTAATTTTCATATTTTTAGTAGAGACGGGGTTTCACCATGTTGGCCAGGCTGGTCTTGAACTCCTGACCTCAGGTGATCTGCCCACCCCGGCCTCCCAAAGTGCTGGGATTATAGGCGTGAGCCACCACACCCGGGCAGCTACAGTATTTTATGTTTTAATTTAATTTTATTTTATTTGGAGTCTCGCTTTGTCGCCAGGCTGGAGTGCAAGTGGCACGATCTCGGCTCACTGCAACCTCCTCCTCCCAGGTTCAAGTGATTCTCCTGCCTCAGCCTCTCGAGTAGCTGCGACTACAGGCATGCGCCACCATGCCCAGCTAATTTTGTATTTTCAGTAGAGATGGGGTTTCTCCATGTTGGCCAGGATGGTCTCGATCTCTTCACCTTGTGATCCACCCATCTCAGCTTCCCAAAGTGCTGGGATTACAGGCATGAGCCACCATGCCTGGCCGGCTACAGCATTTTAAACTGGATATCCTGACTGGATGGTTCCTACAGGACAGAGGAGATAAGAGCAGGGCTGAATCAGGGACCAGGAGAGTAGAAAATGCCAATAACCTCAGAGGTGGCACTGTGGCTGAGAAAGCACAAGCCAGGCTGTCGACTGCATGGGTTCAAATCCCAGCTCTGCCTCTTACTAGCTGGGTGTCCATGAGCATATTATATATATTCATAAGCTCTCTGGGGCTGCAGGGTTTCCACTAACAATGGAGATAACAGTACCTACTTCATCTGGTTATTGCGAGCTTTACATGGGATATTCACGTGAAATGCTTTGAGCACATGGTAAGTGTTCAAGACTCCTGTTGACATCCACATCCAATATTCTTCTTCTTTTTTTTTTTTGAGACAGGGTCTCACTCTGTCACCCAGGCTGGAGTGCACTGGTGCAATCTCGACTCAAGGCAACCTTCGCCTCCTGGGTTCAAGAGATTCTCCTGCTTCAGCCTCCTGAGTAGCTGGAATTCCAGGCGCCTGCCATCATACCCAGCTAATTTTTGTATTTTTAGTAGAGATGGGGTTTCACCATGCTGGCCAGGCTGGTCTCGAACTGCTGACCTCAAGTGACCCGCCTGCCTAGGCGTCCCAAAGTGCTGGGACTATAAGCATGAGCCACCATGCCCGGCCGATGTCCAATATTCTAACAGAAGTATTGACTCCACGATGTCCTGTGAGGACACCAACATTTTAGCCCTAAAAAACAGTATAGAGGCTGGGCACGGTGGCTCACACCTATAATCCCAGCACTTTGGGAGGCTGAGGTGGGAGGACTGCTTTAGCCCAGGAGTTCGAGACCAGCCTGGGCAACAAAATGAGACCCCCCCCCCATCTCTAATTTACCTTAAGAAAACATTATAGGCTGTGCCTGGTGGCTCACGCCTGTAATCTCAGCACTTTGGGAAGCCGAGGCGAGTAGATCACCTGAGGCCAGGAGTTCAAGACCAGCCTGGCCAACATGGCGAAACCTTGTCTCTACTGAAAACACAAAAATTAGCTGGGCGTGGTGGTGCACGCCTGTAATCCCAGCTACTTGGGAGGCTGAGGCAGGAGAATTGCTTGAACCTGGGAGGCAGAGGTTGCAATGAGCCGAGATCATGCCACTGCACTCCAGCCTGGGTGATAGAGGGAGACAGCATCTCAAAAAAAAAAAAAAAAAAAAAAAAGATGGCTGGGTGCGGTGGCCCACACCTGTAATCCCAGCACTTTGGGAGGCCAAGGCAGGTGGATCACCTGAGGTCAGGAGTTTGAGACCAGCCTGACTAACATGCTGAAACCCCATCTCTACTAAAAATACAAAAAAAATTAGCTGAGTGTAGTGTTGTGCGCCTGTAATTCCAGCTACTTGGGAGAGACTGAGGCAGGAGAATCGCTTGAACCTGGGAGGTGGAGGTTACACTGAGTCAAGATCACGCCATTGCACTCCAACCTGGGCAACAGAGCGAGACTCTGTCTCAAAAAAAAAAAAAATTTTCATAGGAGTGTGAACCCTATTGTGAACTGCATGCGAGGGATCTAGGTTACATGTTCCTTGTGAGATCCTAATGCCTGATGATCTGCCACTGTCCGCGTCACCCCCAGAAGGAACAGATGCAACTGTCTAGTTGCAGGAAAACAAGCTCAGTGCTCCCACTGATTCTACATTATGGTGAGTTGTATAATTATTTCATTCTATATTACAATGTAATGATAATAGAAATAAAGTACACAATAAACGTAATGCGCCTGAATCATCCCGAAACCATCCCCCGACCCAGTCCATGGAAAAACTGTCTTCCACAAAACTGGTCCCGCTGCCAAAAAGGTTGAGGACCGCTGCATTAGAAAGAAGAGGAGGGTGGCCAGGCGTGGTGGCTCATGCCTGTAATCCCAGCACTTGGGAGGCCGAGGCGGGCGGATCACAAGGTCAGGAGATCTAGACCATCCTGGCTAACACGGTGAAACCCCGTCTCTACTAAAAATACAAAAAATTAGCCATGCGTGGTGGTGGGCGCCTGTAGTCCCAGCTACACAGGAGGCTGAAGAAGGAGAATGGTGTGAACCCGGGAGGCGGAGCTTGCAGTGAGCCGAGATCGCGCCACTGCACTCCAGCCTGGGCGACAGAGCGAGACTCTGTCTCAAAAAAATCAAAAAAAAAAAAAAAAAAAAAAGAAAGAAGAGGAGGGTGACTGCCCCTCCCTTGGGTGGGGGTAGGCGGCGGGATCTGGGAGGAGGGCCTGCAGAAGACCAGCATGAATCAGAACCACACCCATGAAGAGGTCTTCCAGAGATTCCATGTCACGGTACACATCCCAGCTCAGTGGTTCTCAGAGTGTGGTGGTGCCCGGACTAGCAGCAGCAGCATCACCCAGGAGCTTGCCAGAAATGCAGACTCTCAGGGCCCCATCCAGATCCACTGCCTCAGACTCTCCAGGGATGGAGCCCAGCAATCTGTTTCCACAGCCCTCCTGGTGATGCTGAGGCACACTCCAGGTTGAGGACCTTGACTGAGAGAGGCAGTTGCACATGTGCCTTCAGAGCGCCACTGCACTAAAAAGCTGCAGGCAGGCCAGACATACGTGCACAATGGAAGAGACGCGTAGTAAGACATGATCTGCTCACAGAATGGAGTCCAATTCCACAGCAACAAAAACAACGATGGACATATCCAGCAACATCGAGAAATAGCAGAAAATAATAATAATGAGTAAATAAATAGATTACAGAATGTACGCTCTTTTTTTTTTTTTGGAGACAGGGTCTTGCTCTGTTGCCCAGCCTGGAGTACAGTGGGGGTAATTACGGCTCACTGCAGTCTCAAACTCCTGGGTTCAAGCAATCCTCCCACCTCAGCCTCCCACGTAGCTGGGACCACAGGCAGCTGCTACATGCCCAGCTCTTCCTGTTACATTTTTTTTTCCTGAGACAGAGTCTTGCTTTGTCACCTGGGCTACAGTGCATTAGCGCCATCTCAGCTCACTGCAACCTCCCCATCCCAGGTCCAAGCAATTCTCTTGCCTTAGCCTCCTGAGTAACTGGAATTACAGACACATGCCACCAAGCCTGGCTAGTTTTTGTAAAATAGTAGAGACAGGGTTTTCCTATGTTGGCTAGGCTGGTTTCGAACTTCTAACCTCAGGTGATCTGCCTGCCTCAGCCTCCCAAAGCACTGGGATTACAGGTGTGATCCACCGTGCTCAACCTACAATTATTTAAAGTATGTGTGACTTGTACATGTTTGTCAATACATGGCAATTTATTTGGGGGGGGCGGAGACAGAGTCTCACTCTGTCACCCAGGCTAGAGTACAGTGGTGCGACCTCGGCTCACTGCAACCTCTGCCTTGTGGATTCAAGCAATTCTCCTGCCTCAGCCTCCTAAGTAGCTGGGATTACAGGCATGTGCCACCATACCTGGCTAATTTTTATATTTTTAGTAGAGACAGGGTTTTGTCATGTTGGCCAAGCTGATCTCAAACTCCTGACCTCAGATGATCCACCCACCTTGACCTCCCAAAGTGCTGGGATTACAGGCGTGACCCACCGCGCCCAGATAATATATAGCAATTTCTATAATTTGTTCAAATGGAGGGAAAAAGAAAGGTTTTTGTGAGAAAAGAGTAGCAGGCCTTTAAAATGCCACCAAGTGCCCAGGAAAGGGTGCGTGGAAGCAATTATTCTGGGAGGAAGAGACTTTCCTGCTCACACTGTTGAACCTCTCTGTGCCTCAGTTTTCTCTGCTGTGGGAGAAATGGGACTAAGAGAGGATTCAAGAGCAGAACCTGTAAAGACCTCGGCGTGGCGCCCAGCACACGGCAGGTGCCCAGCGTGTCGGAGCAGCTGAGGTGGTTCTTGTCAGATTCATGGGTTGCAGGGTGGCAACCTGGAACTCCCTGCAAGCTGAGCAGTCACCTCCCATGTAACACAAGCTGACAGGCAGGTGCTCTGAAAACTGCCATGCCTGAGAAGCTGGCGTGCCTGAGGAGCTCCTAGCAGTGCTAAGAAAGGTGTAGGTCAGAGGTTCTTTCTCACGGTGGAAAGAACGGCACCTGTCCCCTCCTGAAAACTGGCCCCGGGCAGGAGAGGGTGAATTCGGGGAGGATCCCATCTCTTGCCGTTGAACCATTTGGCTGGAGAATTTGCTGTTCCCTGTGGGGCTGGGCCTGCCTGCTCTGGTGTGTGACACCCTGACCCACTTTGTGTGGATGGAGACACAGGAGCCCTAAGGGGAATAATATGGGCTGAACTCTGTCCCCCAAAAGGCTTATGTGGAAGCCCTAAACCCTAGGACCTCAGAATGGGACTGTATTTGGAGACAGGGTCTTTACAGAGGTGATTAAGCTGAAATGAGATATTTACGGTGGGCCCTAATCCGATGCGACTGGTGTCCTTATGCAAGTAGGAGAGCAGGACCCAGATAAACAGAGGAAAGACCACTCGAAGACACAGGGAGAGGGCGGCCATCTGCAAGCCAAGACGAGGGGCCTCAGGAGAAAGCAACCCTGGCACCTCGAGCTCAGATTTCCAGCCTCCAGAATGGGAGAAAATGTATGTCTGCTGTTTAGGCGACTGGGCTGCAGTGCACACAAACACAGGAGCTTACAGCGAAGCCCAAAGCCTGGAGGCAGTTCCAGCAGAAATCCGGTGAAAATGCAAGCCTGAATCTTATCGGGCCTCTAGATCTTTTTTTTTTTTTTAAACAGTCTTGCTCTGTCACCCAGGCTGAAGTGCAGTGGCGCGATCTCGGCTCACTGCAACCTCCGCTCCCCACCCCACGGGTTCAAGCAATTCTCATGCCTCAGCCTCCCGAGTAGCTGGGATTACAGGCGTAAGGCACCATGTCTGGCTAATTTTTTGTATTTTTAGTAGAGATGGGGTTTCAACCATGTTGGCCAAACTGGTCTTGAATTCCTGACCTCAAGTGATCTGCCCGCCTCGGCCTCCCAAAGTGCTGGGATTACAGGCATGAGCCACCATCCCTGGCCAGGCCTCTAGATCTAACCACTGGTTCTTGGGGATCTGGGAAATGGGACACAGGGAAACACCACCATGAGGATGCACCCAGCCAGATGCAGATGGTGGAGATGCTATGGGGTGAGACCCAGTTTCTCCACAGAATAAGATGGCATCCAAGAAAAAGCATGAGGTGGGGGCATTAAAATTAAAAGTGACTTAAATCATGATGATTTGCTGTACCCTGGATGTGATGGGATGAAAATGGTCCTTAACTCTGTGTCTTCCTCCCCAAAACCCATCACCCAGTCTCATTATGAGAAAAACATCAGACAAATTCCAATTGGGAGCATCCTACAAAATCCCTGACCGGCTGGGCGCTGTGGCTCACACCTGTAATCCCAGCATTTTGGGAGGCCATGGCAGGCAGATCACTTGAGTTCAGGAGTTCAAGACCAGCCTGGCCAACATGGTGAAACCTCTTGACTCTACTAAAAACACAAAACTTAGCCGGGTGTGATGGCATGCAACTGTGGTCCCAGTTACTCAGGAGGCTGAGGCAGGAGAATTGCTTGAATCTGGGAGGCAGAGGTTGCAGTGAGCAGAGATCACACCACTTCACTCCAGCCTGCGTGACACAGGGAGATTTGAAAAGAAAAGAAAAAGGCCTGATCAATGCTCCTGAAAACTGTCAAGGTCATCAAAAACAAGTAGAGCCTGAGAAACTCCCAGCCGAGAGGACCTCGGGAGACCTGAGGACCAAATATCGGGTGGGATCCCAGATGGGATCCTGGGACAGAAAAGGGTGGCAGGAAAAACTACAGAAGTCTGAATAAAGTACAGACTTCAGCGAATAATTGATGTACCAATATTGGTTCATTAATAGAACATGAATATACAACGTTAATAATGGGGGAAACAGGGTGAGGGGTATATGGCGACTCCCTGTATTATCTTCACAATTTTTCTATAACTCTAAAAGAAAAGACTATTTTTTAAACTCTACTTATAAAAAGAATAAAGTTAATTTTTTTTTAAAAAAGGCTTAGGGCCAGGCATGGTGGCTAACGCCTGTAATCCCAACACTTTGGGAGGCCAAGGCCAGAGGATCGTTTGAGTCTGGGAGTTAGAGACTAGCCTGGGCAACATGGCCAGACACTGTCTCTACAAAAAATTAAAAAATTAGCTGGGCATGGTGGCATGTACCTGTGGTTCCAGCTACTCGGGAGAAGGCTGGGGGATCATCGAACCTGGGAGGTTGAAGCTGCAAGTGAGCTGTGTTCGTGCCACTGCACTCCAGTCTGGGTGACAAAGCAAGACCTTGTCTCAAAAAAATTTTAAAAAAATTTAAAAATTTAAAAAAGAGACTTAAAAGACACTTCATGTGTAGACTTTGTTTAGATACAAATTCAAACAAAAAGTTTTGTAAAGACATTTTGGGCCAGGGAAATCAGAAAATGGACCTGCATTAGATGTTAAGGAATTGTTATAAGCTGTAATGATGGTATTGTGTGTTGTGTGTGTGTGTGTGTGTGTGTGTGTGTGTGTGTGTGTGTGTGTGTTTTTGAGATGGAGTCTCGCTCTGTCGCCCAAGCTGGAGTGCAGTGGTGCAATCTTGGTTCACTGCAACCTCCGCCTCCTGGGCTCAAGCAATTCTCCTGCCTCAGCCTCCTGAGTAGCTGGGATTATAGGTGAGCGCCACCATGCCCAGCTAATTTTTATATTTTTAGTAGAGATGGGGTTTCACTATGTTGGCCAGGCTAGTCTCAAACTCCTGACCTCTAGTGACCCACCCGCCTCGGCCTCCCAAAGTGCTGGGATTACAGGCATGAGCCACCATGCCCGGCCGGTATTGTGGTTTTGATTTTCACAAAATTTTTATTGTTAAAGATGCTAACTGAAATATGCAAAGGTGAACTAATGTATTGGATTAGCTTTAAAATATTATTCCAGGCACCCTCAAAAAAATTTAGGAAGGAAAGAAGTAACCAGAATGGCAGAAAGTTGCTACATGGGAAGACCTGGGTGAACAAGGGTTCACTCTACTCTCCCTACCTTTGGTTATGTTGGACAATTTTCAGAATGGAAAGTTGAAATAAGGGGACCAGGTGAGCAAACTGTGGATGCCTGAGGACTCAGACAAACAAGGCCCAGCCATCGCCTCCATGGGAGGGAACAAGATTGCTTCAAGCCTGGGATTTCATCAGCGCTCTTCTTGCAGCAGTCAGGCGGGGGACATCCAACACCCGGGGACATCCAACACCGGGGTTGGGTGACAATGGCCTTCCTGCATCCTAATCTCGCTTTACCTCCATCACCCTCAGGCACATGCAAACGGGTCCTATGGAAAATCAGGCCATGAGGGCAAAGGCATCTTGATAAGCAAGCCAGGGAGAGGGGACGGGAGATTCTGCCATTCAGAGGTTTCCCAAGCATCTGAAGAACACACAGAAATGCAAAAGCCAGATGAACGGAAAATGCTGGAACATAACATACAGACCACGTATGAACCACAGAGGGGAAAGGGCACCCCCAGCGCAGTGGGCCTGCCCAGCCTCAACCCAGAGATCAAATTCAGCGTCAACCAACGAGAATGCGATGGCACAAACAGACACCACGAGCCCCGATATGGTACTGCCTCAGCAAGGACACATGATGCCTTCTGCAGAATTCTTGCCATGAAAGCTAAGTCTGAGCCTAACCCGGAGGAGATAATCAGAATAATACAATACACACTGTGGGACATTTCAAAAGACAGTTCTGGGCCAGGTGTGGTGGCTCACGCCTGTAATCCCAGCACTTTGGGAGGCCAAGGTGAGTGGATCACGAGGTCAGGAGATCGAGACCATCCTGGCTAACACAGTGAAACTCTGTCTGTACTAAAAATACAAAAAATTAGCTGGGCGTGGTGGCGGGTGCCTGTAGTCCCAGCTACTCGGGAGGCTGAGGCAGGAGAATGGCGTGAACCCCGGAGGCGGAGGTTGCAGTGAGCAGAGATTGTGCCACTGCACTCCAGCCTGGCAACAGAGCGAGACTCTGTCTCAAAAAAAAAAAAAACAAAACAAAAAAAAAAACCAGTTCTGGACTGTCAAAACCACAGCAATACTACTTCACGTCTGCCAAGATGGCTAGAATTAAAAAGGTAGACCATAGCAAGTGCTGACAAGGATGTGGGGAAACCAGGCCCCACATGCTGGTAGGCAGGTAAAACGGTACATCTGCCTTGGAAAAGGGTGACGGTTCCCCAAAGTGTTAAACAAAAAGTTCCTGTATGACCCAGCAACTGGACTCCTAGGTATGCACCGCAAAATACTGGAAACAATGCCCACACAAATATTTGCACATGGATATTCACAGCAGCATCCATTCACAATAGACAAAAAGTGACATAAACCGAAATGTGCATCAGTTGATGATCAGGTAAATAAAAAGCCATAAAGAGGAATAAAGTATTGATCCTGCAGTATGGATGAACCTTGAAAACATGAGGCTAAGTGAAAGAAGCCAGACACAAAAGGCCAGACTGTACAGGACTCCACTCCTATGAAAAGCCCACAGTAGGCTCAGAAATAGAGACAGAAAGCAGATTGGCAGTTGCTTAAGGCTGGGAGTTGGGGCAAAGGAAAAAAGTAGTGACTGCTAATGGGTACAGAGTTTCTTTTTGGGGTAATGCAAATGTTCTAAAACTGACTGTAGTGACAGCTGTACAGCACTGTGAATATACTACAAACCGCTGAGCTTTCAATGAATAAACTGTATGGTATATGAATTATAGCTCAAAAAAAAAAAAGACATTTAGTCTGTGATCTTCAGAAATGTCAATGCTGTAAAAGTCCCTTACTGGGCCAGGCGAAGTGGCTCACGCCTATAATCCCAGCACTTTGGGAGGCCAAGGCGGGAGGATCGCATGAGCCCAGGAGTCAAGAGACCAGCCTGGGCAACACAGGGATTTCGAGGAGAAATCCTGTCTCTACGAAAAATACAATAAATAAATAAATAGGCATGGTGGCACATGCTTGTAAGCCCAGCTACTCAGGAGGTTAAGGTGGGAGGATCGCTTGAACCCAGGAGGCAGAGGTTGCACCGAGCCGAGACTGCGCCACTGCACTCCATTCTGGGCTACAGAGTGAGAGCTTGTCTAAAAGAAAAAAATGCATAATTGGGGCCGGGTGCGGTGGCTCATGCCTGTAATCCCAGCACTTTGGGAGGCCGAGCCGGGCAGATCACGAGGTCAGGAGATCCAGACTATCCTGGCTAACACGGTGAAACCCCATCTCTACTAAAAATACAAAAAAAATTAGCCGGGCGTGATGGCGGGCACCCTTGGTCCCAGCTATTTGGGAGGCTGAGGCAGGAGAATGGCGTGAACACAGGAGGTGGAGCTTGCAGTGGGCCGAGATCGCGCCACTGCACTCCAGCCTGGGTGACAGAGCAAGACTCCGTCTCAAAAAAAAATAAAAATAAAAAAAAATTCATAATTAAGTCCCTTCCTCCACCAAAAGTGAGGAAACTCTGACAGACTAGAGACATGAACACTAAATGCATGAGCAGTCCTTGACTGGGTGTTGGATTTTTTATGAGCTATAAAGACAATTTGAATATGGACTATCTGTTACAAAATACTGTACTATATTTAAGTTTCTTGGCTGAGACAATGGTATTGTGGTTCTGTAGGAAAAAGTATTAAGACGTCTGCAACTAACTTTCAAATGATCCTGCCAAAAAATAAAAATAAATGTGTGTGCATGTGTGTATGTGTCTATCGGATGTGTTTGCAGAGAAAAAAGTTTGAGGGGAAATGTAAGAACTGGTGACTTTAGGGGAGATGTTTGCAGCTATTCCTTGTTCTGTTCTTTCAGCATTTTAGTACTTTGAAAAATTATCAACATAAAAAATTATAGGAAACAGGCTGGGCGTGGTGGCTCACGCCTGTAATCCCAGCACTTTGGGAGGCCGAGGCAGGCAATCATGAGGTCAGGAGATCGAGACCATCCTGGCTAACATGGTGAAACCCCGTCTCTACTAAAAATACAAAAAATTAGCCGGGCGTGGTGGTGGGCGTCTGTAGTCCCAGCTACTCGGGAGGCTGAGGCAGGGGAAAGGTGTGAACCCGGGAGGCAGAGCTTGCAGTGAGCCGAGATTGCGCCACTGCACTCCAGCCTGGGTGGCAGAGCGAGACTCCCTCTCAAAAAAAAAAAAAAAAAAAAAAATCATATGAAACTTTATCTTAACTGTGGTAATTTTTCACAAGTGTGTATGTCAAAAGGTGTCAACCTGTACACTTTAAATACGCACAGTCTATTGAGGTGTAGTGCAATTACACCTCAAAAAAGCTGTTAAAATGTTGGTAGGGGAAAAAGGACTGGAAAGTGTCAAAGTTATTTTGCTCAAAATACTTTCTTGCAAACAGCAAAAAATGCAAACCTCTTTACAAAAAAAAAAAAAAAGCAAAAACAAAAGAACCCAACAGCTCAATAGAACGGCAAAAAAAAAAAAAAAAAAGAAAAACCAAAAGGCAGTTCCCAGAACATATCGATGGATTCTGAATAAATGAAAAGACCATCTGTCTCATACATAATAAAGCCAAAAAGTTTAATGAGGCTGGGTCGGGTGTCTCACACCTGTAATCCCAGCACTTTGGGAGGCCGAGGCGGGCGGATCACGAGGTCAGGAAATCGAGACCATCCTGGCGAACACAGTGAAACCCCGTCTCTACTAAAAACACACAAAAAAATTAGCTGGGCATGGTGGCAGGCGCCTGTAGTCCCAGCCACTTGGGAGGCTGAAGCAGAAGAATGGCATGAACCCAGGAGGTGGAGCTTGCAGTGAGCCGAAATTGCGCCACTGCACTCCAGCCTGGGCGACAGAGGGAGACTCCGTCTCAAGAAAAATAAATAAATAAATAAATAAAAATAAAAAATAAAAAACTTAGCAGGGCATGGCGGTGCAGACCTGTAATCCCAGCTACTTGAGAGGCTGATGCAGGAGGATCATTTGAGCCCGGGAGGTAGAGACTGCAGTGAGCCAAGATTGAGCTACTGCACTCCAGCCTGGGCGACAGAGGGAGACTCTGTTTCAGGGAAAAATAAAATAAAAATACAAAACAGTGCGCATAGTGCAAAATAAACAAAAACCAACAATAGGGAGCAGATCTATAGATCCATATATTTATACATGTTCAGAATATCTGGCTGCTTCGGGGAAGGGGGTGGTAGACGGGTCGGTAGTGGGAAGTGGAGTTAGTTTCTTAACCTTCAGAACTACATGAAATTGTATTCCATGCAACTACGACCAAGGAGCAAGGGAAAAAAGTACTAGTTTCTCGACCTGGCATTCAGGATGTTTCCACCACATCAGTCCAGCTATATTCTGCCTGAGAGGAATCATTTTCTCCACATACAGTAGGTGCTTGAAATTTTTCATTTGTTTGTTTTTTTTGGAGACAAAGAGTTTTGTGCTGTCCCTGAGGCTGGAGTACAGTGGTGTGATCACAGCTCACTGTAGTCTCAACCTCCCAGGATCAAGCGATCCTCCCTATGCAACCTCCCAAGTAGCTGGGACCACAGGTGTGCGCCACCATGCCTAGCCAAAGGTTTTGGTTTTTCGTAGAGATGGGGTCTCACTATGTTGCCCAGGCTGGTCTCAAACTCCTGGGCTCAAGCAATCCTCCCACCTAGGCCTCCCAAAGTGGTGGGATTACAGATGTGAGCCACTGCACCAGGCCAATTTTTTTAAAAAACTGTAGTCATATACACATAAAGTTGGCCATTTTAACCATTTTAAAGTGTACAATTCAGTGGCATGAGCACGTTCACAATATCATGCAACCATTATTATCTAGTTCCACAATCTGTCATCACCCCAAAAGGAAACCCTAGATCAATTAAGCAGTAATTCCCCCATTGCTCCCTCCCCCAGCCCCTGGCAACCACCCATCTGCTTTCTGTCTCTACGGATCTTCCTATTCCAGATATTTCATATGCTGTAAATGGAATCATATAATGTGTGCCCTTTCGTGACTGGCTTCTCTCATTTATTCAAGGTTCGTCCAAGTTGTAGCATATAGCAATACTTCATTCCTTTTTATGGCTGAATCATATTTCATTATACAGACACATCACATTTTATCCCTTCATCAGCTGATAAGACATTTGGGACATTTCCACTTTTTAGCTATTGTAAAAAGTGTTGCTATGAACACATGTGTATAAGTTGCTTAATAATTTTTTTTGAGACGGAGTCTCTGTTCCCCCGGCTTGAGTGCAGTGGGGCGACTCAACCTCACCGCAACGTCAGCCTCCCGGGCTCAATCTATTCTCCTGCCTCAGCCTCCCAAGTAGCTGGGATTACAGTCGTGCACCACCACGCCCAGCTAATTTTTTTTTTTTTTTTTTGAGACGGAGTTTCACTCGTTGCCCAGGCTGGCGCGCGCAACGGTGCAATCTTGGCTCACTGCAACGGCCGCCTCCCGGGTTCAAGCGATTCTCCTGCCTCAGGCTCCCAAGTAGCTGGGATTACAGGCATGCATCACCACGCCTGGCTAATTTTTTGTATTTGGTAGAGACAGGGTTTCACCATGTTGGTCAGGCTGGTCTTGAACTCCTGACCTCAGGTGATCCATCCACCTTGGCCTCCCAAAGTGCTAGGATTACAGGCGTGAGCCACCACACCTGGCCTAATTTTTGTATTTTTAGTAGAGACAGGGTTTCGCCATGTTGACCAGGCTGGTCTCGAGCTCCTGACTTCAGATGAGCTGCCCACCTTGGCCTCCCTAAGTGCTGGGATTACAGGTGTGAGCCACCATGCCAGGGCATCACTTAATAATTTTTAAAGGAATTAACAAGTCTATTACCTCCTACCAGACAAATTCCCTTCATATAGAAATATTCTACCATTTACTAAATGCTTATTCAGTCCCTGGCATTGTGCAGCCCAACCAATCTCCTTTAATTCCCCAATTTATCTCCTCTGAACAAATGGGACACAGATAAGTAAAGCAACTGGGTGGTGCACGGTGGTTCACGTCTGTAAATCCGGCACTTTGGGAGGCCGAGGCAGGCAGATCACCTGAAGTCATGAGATCGAGACCAGCCTGGCCAACACAGTGAAACCCTGTCTCTACTAAAAATACAAAAATTAGCTGGTCGTGGTGGCATCTGCCTGTAACCCCAGCTACTAGGGAGGCTGAAGCAGGAGAATTTCGTGAATCCGGGAGGCGGAGGTTGCAGTAAGCCGAGAGCTCGCCATTGCACTCCAGCCTGGGAGAAGAAGCGAGACTGCATCTCAAAAAAAAAAAAAAAAAAAGAGAAGTAAAGCAAAAAAAAAAGAGAAGTAAAGCAACTGGCTCAGGGTCACAGAGCGAGTGAGAAACAGCTAGGATTCAAACTCATGTCTGTTCCCATGCTCCAAACAGGATGGTCATAGGTGTATTTCAGACAAGTCCTAGATTAGAATATGGGAGGCCGGGCACGGTGGCTCAAGCCTCTAATCATAGCACTTTGGGAGGCTGAGGAGGGCGGATTACGAGGTCAGGAGTTCGAAACCAGCCTGGCCAACATGGTGAAACCCCATCTCTACTAAAAATACAAAAATTAGCCAGGCATGGTGGCACACACGCCTGTAATCCCAGCTACTCAGGGGGCTGAGGCAGGAGAATTGTTTGAACCTGGGCGGCAGAGGTTGCCATGAGCCAAGACTGAACCACTGCATTCCAGCCTGGGCGACAAAGCAATACTCCATCTCGGAAAAAAAAAAAAAAAAAGACTATGGGGTGTTTTTTTAAATACCATTAAACTTCACAAAGCAGGTTTGGCTCTAATTCGTAAACCCAGGCATGCTGAAAACTACAGTTGCTGGCAGACCCAGTTTTCCTTTATTTAAAATTCACAAAACAGGCTGGGCACGGTGGCTTACGCCTGTAATCCCAGCACTTTTGGAAGGCTGAGGTCGGCAGATCACTTGAGGTCAGGAGTTTGAGACCAGCCTGGCCAACATGATGAAACCTCATCTCTACCAAAAACATAAAAAATTAGCCGGATGTGGTGGTGCTCACTTGTAATCCCGGCTACTCACTTGTAATCCCGGCTACTCAGGAGGCTGAGGCAGGAGAATTGCTTGCCCAGGAGGCAGACGTTGCCGTGAGCCAAGATCGTGCCAACGCACTCCAGCCTGGGTGACAGAGTAAGAGTCTGTCTCAAAAAATAAATTAATTAATTAAATTTAAAAAAAAACCCATAAAATTAACAAAACAATATCCCCAAGCCTGGCCAGTGTGGGCTACACTCAGCAGGAAATAAAATAAGTCAGGCCAGGTGCAATGGCTCACACCTGTAATCCCAGCACTTTGGAAGGCCGAGGCGGGAGGATCACTTGAGGTCAGGAGTTTGAGACCAGACTGGTCAACATGGTGAAACCTCTTTTCTACTAAAAATACAAAACTTAGCCAGGCATGCTGGTGGACACCTGTAATCCCAACTACTTGGGAGGGTGAGTGGGGAAGATCGCTTGAACCTGGGAGGTGGAGGTTGTAGTGAGACGAGATCACTCCACTGCACTCCAGCCTGAGCAACAGAGCCAGACCTCCGTCTCAAAAAAACAAAAAGGAAAGAAGTCAGGTCAGCCTCTGGATGCTGTACTGACTCGGGGAACAGGGAAGGGGTCATGAAGCAGGAAAACAGGCGAGAGATACTAATGTGGGCTCCATGTCCACTCTGCCTAGGTTCACATCCTGGCTCTGCCACTCATCTGACCTGAAACCAGCCACTTCACTGCTCTGTGTCTCAGTTTCCTCATCTGTCAAATGGGAACAGTAACAGTACCTACTGCACAGGGTCATTCTAAGGATTACATAAGATTATTCTATCTACAAAAGCACTTAGTAATCATTAGTATCTCTATTAAAGGCACAAACCCCGGTTTAGCCCAGGAAGAGCTCTGACCCCCAGATTCGGAGATGCTCTGCCAGAATACAGATTGTCTTATTTAAGTAAAAGTCTTAAATAACCACTCGTATTTCATGTTTGTTGGCCTTAGATTGTCACATGGAACCACCGTCAGTTGAGACATGGGGATCCTGTGGTCACCCTGCGTGAAAAAGACAGGCTTATTTTTGCTCTAAAACAAATGATTTCTGCCTTCAAATAGCTCCGAAACGGCATCAAGAGGAAGTAAGTGAGACTCCCTGCACTCACACCCCTGATCCTTTCCCGCGCCAGACTCCAGGGCAACCTTTTCACATTCAGGCGTTCAGCCCTGCTTCCTTGCCCCTCTTTGGCCACCTACAAAGCGTTCTCTCCCCTACATGTATGAAGACACAGACCCACCTGTGCAAGAGGTGCCCCTGCCCACAGGAGAGGGAGGTCAAAACTTACTGTTTTCCTAACAAATTAACCTTTCATGTTATCCAGTAAGAACATGCAGTCAATCTGATTTCGGCCTTCATATTCCCTTCTATTCCCCACTCCCTCTCAATGAGCAGAAAACTTTAACTTTTTAGCCATGATTCTGGGCCAGGAAGGTACCAACTAGTCATAATTACAACCTCGCAATGAAGGGGAATGATTACTATCCCCATTTAACAAATAAAGAAACAAGCTCAAAGAAGTGAAGTCACTTCCCCAAAGTCATCCAACTGGTAGAGCTCCAACTTGAACCCAAACTTCTCTGACTCCAAAACCCCAGGAAGGCTGGCGGCAAGCAAGAGCCCCCTCCTCCCCAGGGAACAGCAAAGGAACCGCAATACCACACACAACTGTCCCCAGTAACTTCCTCCTTCTCAAGAGCTAGTCGGCGGACTTCGGCCCGGAATGGCACCCCTATCGCACCTAGCTCCAGAGAGCAGGAATTGGGGAAAACCCCCTGCGATCCTCCTGGGACTCAACACCCTTCCCAGGAGGCTGCAGGATCCGGGACCTCCCCAAACTAAACAAAAGGCTCCACGCGAAAGGCCCCGCACACAGTAGGTGCTCGGTTTCCCAAAGCCACCGAGCAAATCGCATTGCTCCCTTCTTTTCCTGTAAAGTAAAAACAACTCCAAGTATCTTCAAAGCAGGAGGAGGAGTGGGGCAGAAGGTCCCAGGGGAAGTGGGTCGGGATGCGAGGCTAGGACAAACCCGGGGTAGCTGGGGAGGGCGCAGCCGCGTGGGGACCGAGAGCGCCAGTGTGCTGCCTGGCTCACAGTAGGAGCCATTCAAACGCGGTGAATGAATGAATGAGACGCGCGGCAGGCGTCAGCGCAGCCGGGAGAGACTCTGGCTGCGCCGACCGCGGAGGCAAGGTCCAAGGAGAAGCGCGGCGCAGAGGAGAGGGCGCCCCGAGGCCCGGCCGCCCAGACCCGCACTGGTCAGGCCCGGCGGGGGCCGCAGGCGGCAGGCCCCGAGGCGCAGGCCGGACCCCCTCTTCCCGCGCGCTGGCCGGGCGGGCAGCCCCGGAGGCCGCGCTCCTCCCAGGTCGGCCCCGGTAGCCAGGTGCGTGGCGACCGGGGCAAGGTGACCGCGGGCGCGGGCCCGGCGCCCACCTTCTGAGCGGCGCGCACGTTGTCCTCGCCGAACAGGCTGCTGACGCTCTGGGAGAAGGTGTTGACCGTGCGGCGGTAGCTGTTCTTCTCCGCGCCGCCGCGGCCCCGCGCCCCCTGCGCGCCCGGGGCCAGCAGCCCGAGCAGCAGCAGCAGCAGCAGCAGCAGCAGGAGCCCGGCCCGGGCCAGGGGCCCGCCTGAGGCGCGCGCGCCCATGCTCGGCCGGCGGGGCGCGGGGTCGCGATGCGGGGTGAGGGCCGTGCGCTGGGCCGCAGCGGGCTCCGGCTAGGGCAAGGTTGGCGCGCTCGGGGGCCGCGCGCCGCGCCTTTACCCACAGCCGCCGCCGCCGCTGCTGCGCCACCTGCCCCGCCCCGCGCGCAAAGGCGCACGGCCCAGCCCACGCCGCGCCCCGCCCCCGGCGCGGGACCAACGCGACCCGGCCCCGGGGCCCCGCGCCCGCCTCCCGGAAGCCTGCCCCGACCCGGTGCGGCTTCTCATCATTTAAAAAAAAATTCTCTTTTTTAACTTATCCGTGGAAAAGCAACCCGTGCCTGTAAAACTTGCAACAGCTTCAACCAGGAAAGTGACTGCAACTGATTGAAAAACATGAAATAGACATATATGTAATCTCCCTGAATGTATTATAATGGTACCCCAAAATTCGCCCTCGTGGGCATCAGCTCATTCATCCTGAAAATTTTAAATAACAAGAAAGCATCAGGCATCCTCCTGCCCTTCCTGAATGAACTGTATTTCAGAGCCCCAAAATAGTTGGGGAGGGACTTTCTTTTACAAAGTCCAGCTAATACATGAGGATGAATGAGAGAATCCGAAAATTATTTGGCACCCCTCAATAGAATGATGGATTCACGCGATGATCATCAGAAATGGGTACAACCAAGAGGGGAGGGTTTGGCGGGGAACTTGAAAATGGAGGGGCTAAGCCGCGAAGTCCCGGTCCCGCCAATCGATCTTAGTGCCAGGAAGTACCAGCGCCACCTGCGATGGATTCTTGCCAAGACAAGTTGAGCATGAACCTGATGGGGCCTCTAGATCAAACCTACAGTTTACAGGAAATATGGCAGATAAGGAAAACTTAGAAGCAGCAGAAGCAACCAACCAACTCCAGCATGTGGGGCATTCTACCAAACAAACGACCCAGTTTGTTCAATAAATAATTGGTATAAAAGGTGAGCGAAGAGGAGGATAATTGGTTTTAAAGACTTAAGAGCCATAATAACCCATGCAATGCAAGGACCCTGTTTGCATCCTAAATCAAACAAATCAAGTCTAACCAACATTTTTTTTAGACAACCAAGAAAATAAAACTCAATTTTTGCCAATCCAAAGAATACAAAATGCTCTTATTTTTGAATTTACATTTTCTGGATTCCTAGTAAGATTTTCATAGATTTATTGGCCATTTGAATTACTTCTCTGTGAATTACCTATTCATATCCTTTGCACATTTTTTCCTGTATTGTTTATCTTTTTAAAAACTTTTTTGTAGGTCGGGTGCGGTGGTTAACGCCTGTGATTCCAGCACTTTGGGAGGCTGAGGCGGGTGACCTGAGGTCGGGAGTTCGAGACCAGCTTGACCAACATGGAGAAATCCCTCCGTCTCTACTAAAAATACAAAATGAGGCCAGGCGCCGTGGCTCACGCCTGTAATCCCAGCACTTTGGGAGGCCGAGGCGGGCGGATCACAAGGTCAGCAATTTGGGAGGCCGAGGCGGGCGGATCACGAGGTCAGGAGATCGAGACCATCCTGGCTAACACAGTGAAACCCCGTCTCTACTAAAAATACAATAGCCGGGCGTGGCGGCGGGCGCCGTAGTCCCAGCTACTCAGAGCCTGAGGCAGAAGAATGGCGTGAACCCGGGAGGCGGAAGTTGCAGTGAGCCGAGATCGTGCCACTGCACTCCAGCCTGGGCGACAGAGCGAGACTCCGTCTCAAAAAAAAAAAAAAAAAAAAAAAAAAATCCAAAATGAGCCAGTTATGGTGGTGCCTGCTTGTGATCCCAGCTACTCGGGAGGCTGAGGCAGGACAACCGCCTAAACCTGGGAGGCGGAGGTTGCAGTGAGCCGAGACTAAGCCACTGCACTCCAGCCTGGGCAACAAGAGTGAAACTCCGTCCCAAAAACAAAACAAAACAAAACAAAAACCTTTTTTTACGCCAGGTGTAGTGGCACAAGCTTGTTTTGGGAGGCCAAGGCAGGAGGATTGCTTGAACACAGGAGTTCGAGGCCAGCCTGGCCAACATAGTGAAACCTATCTCTATAAAAAATGATAATAATAATAATAATAATAAACTTTTTAATTAAGGTATAACATACAGAAAAATACACAATCATATAAATTTTTATGAATTTTCACAAACTGAATACCCAAGGTAACCAGCACCCAAATCAAGAAACGAAACATTACCAGTTCCCCCACGAAGCCTCCCTTTGTCCCCTCCCATTCACTATGTTCCTCTTAAAATTTAGGGGATTCATTTGCCTGTGTTTGAAGTTTATGTAAATGAACCACACAGTACTCTGGGGGTTGGCTTCTTTTGTTCAACTTTTTTTTTTATTTATTTTTTATTTTTTGAGACGGAGTCTTGCTCTGTTGCCCAGGCTGGAGTGCAGTGGCATGATCTCGGCTCACTGCAACCTCCGCCTCCGGGGTTCAAGCGATTCTCCTGCCTCAGCCTTCCGTGTAGCTGGGACTATAGGCACGCGCCACCACACCCGGCTAATGTTTGTATTTTTAGTGGAGACAGGTTTCGCCATGTTGGCCAGGCTGGTCTCAAACTCCTGACCTCAGGTGATCCGCCTGCCTTGGCCTCCCAAAGTGCTGGAATTACAGGCGTGAGCCACCACGCCCAGCTTTTGTTCAACTTTATATTTGTGAGATCCATCCATGCTGTTATGTATCTGCCTTCTTCTTGCTGTCTAGAATGGTCTATACCTTCTGGAAGGTAATTCACTGATATATTATATTTTAGAAGGAAATATAGGCAAGTGTACTACTACCTACTTAACATTTTTTAAACGTTTCTTAAACTTTTAATTTATTTAAATAAACATATTTAAAGAAGAAACTTTAGATCACTATCATCCTGAGCAACAAAATCCATAAAAACACAGATTTGAGCCTGGGTGCAGTGGCTCAGGCCCGTAATCTCATCATTTTGAGAGGCCAAGGTGGGCCGATCACTTGATGTCAGGAGTTTGAGACCATCCTGGCCAACATGGTGAGACCCCATCTCTACTAAAAATACAAAAATTAGATGGGCATCTTGGTGGGTGCCTGTAATCCCAGCTACTTGGAAGGCTGAGACAGGAGAATCGCTTGAACCCGAGAGGTGGAGGTTGCAGTGAGCCGAGACTGCTCCACTACACTCCAGCCTGGGCGTCAGAGGGAGAGTTCTGTCTCAAAAAAACAAAAACAAGCAAACAAACAAAAAACCCCATAGATTTGATACGCTAATTATGATTTTTTTAAACGTCATTCATTAAGGCCTTCACAGTGGCTTATGCCTGTAATTCCGGCACTTTGGGAGGCCGAGACAAACGGATCCCTTGAGCCCAGAATTTTGAGACCAGTCTAAGCAACATAGGGAGACACCATCTCTACAAAAAAATAGAAAAATTAGCCCGTCGTGGTGGTGTGTGCCTGTAGTCATAACTACTCAGGAGGCTGAGGTGGGAGGACAGGTCAAGGCTGCAGCGAGTGGTGATTGCACCACTGCACTCTGGCCTGGCCCACAGGGCGAGATCTCATCTCTTAAAAAAAAAAAAAAAAAAGTCGGGCGCGGTGGCTCATGCCTGTAATCCCAGCACTTTGGGAGGCCCAGGCAGGCAGATCACGAGGTCAGGAGTTTGAGACCAGCCTGGCCAACATGGTGAAACTCCGTCTCTACTAAAATACAAAAACTAGCTGGGGGTGGTGGCGGGCACCTGTAGTCCCAGCTACTCGGAAGGCTGAGGCAGGAGAATCGTTTAAACCCGGGAGGCAGAGGTTGCAGTGAGCCGAGATTGCTCCACTACACTCCAGCCTGGGCAACAAAGCCAGACCTTGTCTCAATAATAATAATAATGCATTGTTTCCCAGTGTGTTACAATGTGATGCGGTAATGGGAATTTAAAGTTATGTAATAGACAACTTTATTTTTTTTTTTTTGAGACAGAGTCTAGCTCTGTTGCCCAGGCTGAAGTGCAGTGGTGCAGTCTCGGCTCACTGCAACGTCCACCTCCCGGGTTCAATCAATTCTCTGCCTCAGCCTCCCAAGTAGCTGGGATTACAGACGCCTGCCACCAGGCCTAGCTAAATTTTTTTTGTATTTTTGGTAGAGACGGGGGTTTCACCATCTTGGCCAGGCTGGTCTTGAAATCCTGACCTCGTGATCCGCCCGCCTCGGCCTCCAAAAGTGCTGGGATTACAGGCGTGAGCCACCGCGCCCGTAGAGGCCTCCTTTTAGATCTTCCATCTATCCCTGTGATGGAAATATTTGGTGCCTTTTTAAAAGTACACGACTAATACGTTTCTTGTAGGAATATCAGAAAATACAGATGCGCAAACCAGGGTTGGGGGGAAGAAGTTTGGAGTACTGGGGGCGGGGTATATTTTAAAAGGTGGCAAAACACTTCCACTCCCAAGAAGCCAAATTAGTATCAGTAGATATAATTCATATTTAAACCCAGACTACCCCAAGCGAGAACAGCCCAGGACTTAAACTCCGGCCTCCGCTGGGACCTCAGGCCCCGCCTACTTCTCTAAATAGTCCCGCCCCCTGCCCGGCCCGGCTCCGCCTCTCCTCTTCGCTGGGTTTCTCTTGCAACCCCGCCCCTCAGCGGCAAAGTCAGTTACAGTTCTCGCGATAACACAACCCGGAAGTCTCACGGCCGGAGTTGGTGGTCTGGGAACCCACGTGGGCTGGGTTTCGGATTGCTCTGCTGGTCCGGCCGCTGGAGCGCCCACCCTGGCCTAGTCGCCATGGGGAAGCTGCGCCGGCGCTACAACATCAAGGGGCGCCAGCAGGCGGGCCCCGGACCCTCGAAGGGCCCCCCCGAGCCGCCCCCCGTGCAGCTGGAACTGGAGGGTAAGACATCCCCGGACCGGGGCTGGATTTCGGAGATTTCCCAGGGCGGCCTGTGCCCTGCCTTCAGGACTCTCGGGTGGGGATCCCAGAGGGGTGGGATGGATCATCTGGAATGGGGGAATGGGTCCCCCCATTCCAGATGATCCAAAGGAGAGGGGCTTAGTGACAGCCTAGTTTTAACAGTGTATATGGAATACCCGGGATTTCTCTCGCCCTCAAATAGTAACATGGAGAATTTGGCAAAAAAAACAGGAGTAGTTCCATCCCTTCCCATGACTTCGATTATAATCTCTTTATAATCTCCAGCGACCCCCAAATGTGTATTTTCAGCCCAGTCTTGTCTGCTCAGCTCCAGGCTGGCTGACATTTCTCTCAGACCCCTTTTTAGGAGTAGCCCTTATTACATGCCAGGCACTATTCTAGGCACTGGAGACATAGCAGAAAGGGAGATTTTTAGAAAATCCCTGAGTTTACCTGCTGTATAGGAGGAGACAGGCAAAGAATAAACATATAGAAATTTATGCGGCTATAGTGAGCAGATAAAACAGAAGAGGCCATTGGGTGGGTTGCAGCATCCCATAGAGTTGCTGGAGAAGACATCACTCTGTTAGAGTCAAGATCTGAAGGAGACCTGAGTGGCTGCCTGGAGATGAGAGAAAAAACAGGGGGCCAGGGCAGGTCGGGCCTGGACTGCAGTCTTGGCGAGGACTGGGGCTTTTTCTCTACGGGAGAGGGCAGCCATGGGAGCATTTAGAGCAGAGGAGGCGTGGTGGTGGGCACCTGTAGTCCCAGCTACTTGGGAGGCTGAGGCAGGAGAATGGCTTGAACCCAGGATACGGAGGTTGCAGTGAGCCAAGATCGCACCACTGTACTCTAGCCTGGGTGAGAGAGCGAGACTCCATCTCAAAAAAAAAAAAAAAAAAAAAAAAGTTCCACAGACAGGCTGGGAGTTGAGGCAGATCCCCTAACATCTCTGTGCCTTCGTTTTCACATCTGCAGAATGGGACCAGTAGCACACGTTGAGCAGCCTTAATCCAAAATACTCCAAAATTCAAAAGTTTTTGAGTGTCAACATGACACTTAAGGAAATGCTCATTGGAGCATTCCAGATTTCAAATTTTTAGATTAGGGATGCTCAACCAGTGAATAGAATACAGATGTTCCTAAAGCTAAAACAGGTCTGGTTCCTAGCATTTCTGGAAAGGGATATTTAACCTGTAGTAGCCGTCTTACCTCCTATCAGAGTTTTGGAGATGGTAATTTGGGAAAATATGTTGCTTTGAAAAGTAAAGAAAGGTTACAGAGGTGGGGTGTGTCCCAGGACAGGTGACAACCGTTATGATGGCAGTGACAATTCAGGATGGCACCTCAAAGACAGCCGTAGACACTGGGCTGACACTTGGAACTGGACCACCTGAGCAGAGGGGCTGAGGTCTCTCAGACCCAGAGATTTGGGGAAAGTTGTTTCTCACATCAGAACAGGACATTTCCATGTATCCCTGCCTTTCTCAGGGGCCAGAGGAATCTCATAAGAACATGACTCAGATTACCTTCTTTTATTTATTTATTTATTTGAGATGGAGCCTTGCTCTGTCGCCTAGGCTGGAGTGCAGTGGCGTGATCTCTGCTCACTGCAACCTCCACCTCCCGGGTTCAAGCAGTTCTCGTGCCTCAGCCTCCTGTGTAGCTGGGATTATAGGTGCATGCCATCACACCTGGCTAGTTTTTGTATTTTTTGTAGAGACGGGATTTTGCCATGTTGGCCAGGCTGGTCCCCAACTCCTGGCCTCAGGTGATTTTCCCAAAGTGCTGGGATTGCAGGCGTGCGCCACCGCGCCCGGCCCCACCGTACACTCTTAGGAGAACATCAGGCTGGGTGCAGTGGCTCACGCCTGTAATCCCAACACTTTGGGAGGCTGAGGCGGGTGGCTCACTTGGGGGTCAGGAGTTCGAGACCGCCTGGCTAAGATGGTAAAACCCCGTCTCTACTAAAAATACAAAAATTAGCTGGGGCGTGGTGGTACATGCCTGTAATCCCAGCTACTTGGGAGGCTGAGGCGGGAGAATTGCTGGAACCTGGGAGGCGGAGGTTGAAGTGAGCTGAGATTGCGCCACTGCACTCTAGTCTGGGGGACAAAGTGAGACACCGTCTCAAAAAAACAAAAAGAGAAAATCATAGTATTTTTTGGGGGGTTTTCTTTTTTTTGAGATGGAGTCTCACCCTGTCGCCCAGGCTGGAGTGCAGTGGCAAGATCTCGGCTCACTGCAACCTCCACCTCCCAGTTTCAAGAGATTCTCCTGTCTCAGCCTCCCAAATAGCTGGGATTGCAGGCACCCACCACCACACCTGGCTAATTTTTGTATTTTTAGTAGAGACAGGGTTTCGCCACATAGGCCAGGCTGGTCTCGAACTCCTGACCTCAAGTGAGCCACCTGCCTCAGCCTCCCAAAGTGCTGGGATTACAGGCATGAGCCCCTGCGCCAAGCCTTGAGAACATCATAGTATTGTTATGAAAATAGATTTGAGCTCACAGATCCCCCTGTTCCTGTGTGCAGACTCAGGAGGCCCCCATGCAAGTCAGGGGGCTTGTGGGAGGCGGGACCAGAGCTACCTCAAGGAGAATGGGGACTTAATAACTGTGCTCTCTCAGACAAGGACACGTTGAAGGGAGTTGATGCAAGCAACGCGCTCGTTCTACCGGGGAAGAAGAAAAAGAAGACCAAAGCCCCTCCCCTGTCGAAGAAGGAGAAGAAGCCTCTGACCAAGAAGGAGAAGAAAGTGCTGCAGAAAATCTTAGAACAGAAGGAGAAAAAGAGCCAGGTACACCCCACTCGGGCAGGGTCTGCAAGTGGCTCTCCAGCATAGAGAGAGATGGGGGGTCTCTCTCCTCCTGAGGGTGTCTCTGTGGTGCAACTAATAGAACTTTCTGGAATGAGGAAAATTCCAGTGCATGGTCCAGTGCGGTAGCCACTAACCACATATTGCTGTTGAGCACTTGAAATGCAGCTACTATGGCAGAGGAACTGAACTGAACTGTTCCGGAGAATGTCAAACTTTTTTCCTTGTTTTTTCTTCTTTTTTTTTTTTTAATTTAAATTTAATTTTTTTTTCTTTTTTGTTTTGTTCCCCCACCCCCGACATCTTTTCTGGCTCTACCAAACCTTAAAAAAATTTTTTTTTTTTGAGATGGAGTCTTGCTCTGTTGCCCAGGCTGGAGTGCAGTGAAATGATCTTGGGTTCTCCTGGTATCAAGTGATTCTCCTGCCTCAGCCTCCTGTGTAGCTGGGATTACAGGCGCGTGCCACCACGTCAGGCTATTTTTTTTTTTTTTTTTTGTATTTTTAGTAGAGGCGGGGTTTCATCATGTTAGCCAGGATGATCTTGATATCCTGACCTCGTGATCCGCCCGCCTCGGCCTCCCAAAGTGCTGGGATTACAGGCGTGAACCACCATGCCCAGCCAACCTTAATTTTTTCATAGAGGAAAAAAGTTTGTCATGGGAAATTCAAACATTTGCAAGGGAAATTCAAACATTTGCAAGAGTAAAGAGAACAGTATGATGAACTCCCATGTGCCCATCGCCAGCTCCAACATTGATCAGCCCCTGGTCAATCTTGGATTATCTCCACTGCTGGTCACTTTCCCACCTCTGGGTCATTTTGAAGCAAATCCCACATACAGTGAATCTGTACTAGTTTCCTGGGGATGTCATACAAATGACCACAAACTGAGGGGCTTAGGACAATAGAAATTTGTTCCTTCCCAGCTTAGGAGGCCAGAAGTCCGAGATCAAGGTATTGGCAGGGCGGTGCTCCTCACTGGGCTCAGGGGAGGGTCATTCCTGGCCTCTTCCTGCTCCTGGCGGCTCCAGGCGTTCCCTTGGCTTGTGGCTGCGTCACTCCAATCTCTGCCTCCCTCTTCCCTCGGCCTTTCCTCCGTGTGTCTCTTCGAAGGGCGCTTCTCATTGGATTTAGGTCGCGCTCAGATACTCAGGATCATCTCATCTTGAGATCCTTCACGTAATTACGTAATTACATCTACAAAACCTTTTTCCAAATAGGGTCACGTTCGCAAGTTCTGGGATACGAACACGTCTTTGAGGGAGGCTGCCATTTAACCCACTATACATAGCATTATATCCATAAATATTTCAATTTGTATCTCTATAAGTAGAGACTTTTAAAAATGACCAGAATACCATTAGCACACCTAATCTTTTATTTTAATATCAAACATCTAGCAAGTGGTTAAATTTCCTGTTGTTTCATGGATACTCCTCACCCTTTTCTTGTTTTTTTTTCCCATTGTAGTTTATTTGTTGTTTGTCTTACAGTTTCCTACCTTCTGGATTTTTAAATTTTTATTTTATTTTATTATTTTTTGAGATGGAGTTTTGCTCTTGTTGCCCAGGCTGGAGTGCAATGGCATGATCTCGGCGCACCGCAACCTCCACCTCCCGGGTTCAAGTGATTCTCCTGCCTCAGCCTCCCGAGTAGCTGGGATTACAGGCATGCACCACCACG